>NC_000002.12:241527632-241855580 GCF_000001405.40 Homo sapiens
TACCACGCTGGGCTAATTTTGAATTTTTGGTAGAGACAGGGTTTCTCCATGTTGATCAGGCTGGTCTCGACCTCCTGACCTCAGGTGATCCACCCACCTCGGCCTCCCAGAGTGCTGGGATTACAGGCCCAGCCTCTTATTTTTTAAATTAGAGATAAGGTCTCACTATGTTGCTCAGGTTGGTCTCAAACTCCTGGACTCAAGCAATACTCCTGCCTTGGCCTCCCAAAGTGCTGGGATTACAGGCATGAGACACTGCACCCGGCCCCTTTAAAGAGATATTTGTATTCCATGTTCATAGCAGCATTATGCGCAATAGCCAAGAGGTGGGGAAAAACCCGAAGTCCATCAACGAATGGATATATAAAATGTGGCCTATCCATGCACTGGAATATTATTAGCCTTAAAAGGACAGAATTCCTGACCACAACATGGATAAACCGAAAGGACTTTATGCTCAGTGAAATAAGCCAGTCACAAAGGGACAAATGCTGCATGATTGATTCCTTTTATATGAGGAAATCTAGTCAAATTCATAGAAACAAAAAGCAGAAAGGTGGTTGCGAGGGGCTGGGAGGGGGCTGGGAAGCTGTTCTTTAATGGATAAAGGGTTTCAGTTCTGAAAGATGAAAAGACTTCTGGAGACTGGTTGCGCAACAATGTAAACATAACGCCATTGAACTGTACAAAAATGGTTAAGATGGTAACATTTATGTTATGTGTACTTTACCACAGTTAAATATAATAGGCTGGGCCGGGTGGCTCACACCTGTAATCCCAGCACTTTGGGAGGCAAAGGTGGGCAGATCACTTGAGGACAGGAGTTCGAGACCAGCCTGGCCAACATGGTGAAACCCCATCTCTACTAAAAACACAAAAATTAGCTGGACATGGTGGCACACGCCTGTAATCCCAGCTACTAGGGAGGCTGAGGCAGGAGAATCTCTTGAGCCTGAGAGGTGGAGGTTGTGGTGAGCAGTCATTCCAGTCTGGGCAACAGAATGAGATACTGTCTCAAAAAACAAATAAACAAACAAAAAGCCGGGCATGGTGGCACAAGCCTGTGGTCCTAGCTACTTGGGAGGCTGAGGCAGGTGAAATCGCTCAAACCCGGGAGGCAGACGTTGCAGTGAGCTGAGATGGCACCACTCCACTCCAGCCTGGGTGATAAAGCAAGACTCCATCTCAAAATAAATAAATACATACGTACAATATAATATAATGTAATATAATTAATAATGCTCAGATGCATGCTACAGCATAGATGAACCTTGGAAACATGCTGAGTGAAATAAGCCAAACACAAAAGGCCAAACATTGTGCGATTCCACTTATACTAGCAGCAGGAATAGGCAAGTTCACAGCAACAGAAAGTGGAATCAAAGTTACGTGGGGAGGGGACCAGCAGATGCTGCTGAATGAGTACAGAGCTTCTGTTTGGGGTGATGAAAAAGTTCGGGAACTAGATAGTGGTGATAGTGACACAACATTGTGAATTTACTTAACGCCACTGTACACTTAAAAATGGTTAACGTAGGTTGGGTGTGGTGGCACGCGGGTGAGCGGAGATCGCACCACTGCAAACTGTAATTACACCTGTAATCCCAGCACTTTGGGAGGCTGAGGCAGGCAGATCACGAGATCAGGAGTTCGAGACCAGCCTGGCCAACAAGGTGAAACCTCATCTCTACTAAAAATACAAAAATTAACTGGGTGTGGTGGCACGTGGGTGAGCGGAGATGGCACCACTGCAATCCAGCCTGGGCGACAGAGCAAGACTCCGTCTCAAAAACAATGGTTAACATGGTACATTTTACATTATGTATATTTTACCATAAAAAAGTAGTGATAAATTGGACTTTATGAACATTTTTAAGTTTTGTTTTGAGAAAGACACTGTTAAGACAAAAGACAAACTAGTCCAGGTGCAGTGGCTCACGCCTGTAACCCTAGCACTTTGGGAGGCTGAGGCAGGCGGATCACTTGAGATCAGGAGTTCGAGACCAGCCTGGCCAACATGATAAAACCCCATCTCTACTAAAAAAAACAAAAATTAGCTAGGCATGGTGGCGGGCACCTGTAGTCTCAGCTACTTGGGAGGCTGAGGCAGGAGAATCAGTTGAACCTGGGAGGCAGAGGTTGCAGTGAGCTGAGATTGTGCCACTGCACTCCAGCCTGGGTGACAGAGTGAGACTCTGTCTCAAAAAAACTAAAATTAACTAAAGACTGGGAGAAAAAAAATGACACGTCACATATCCATCAAAGGATATGTCTCAAAAATGTATAAAGAACTCCCAAAGCTCAACAGTAAGAAAATCAAGGCCAGGCATGATGGCTCACGCCTGTAGTCCCAGCAGTTTGGGAGGCCAAGGCAGGTGGATCACCTGAGGTCAGGAGTTCAAGACCAGCCTGGCCAACATGGTGAAACCCTGTCTCTACTAAAAATACAAAAATTAGCCAGGTGTGGTGGCGTGTGCCTGTAATCCCAGCTACTCAGGGGGCTGAGACAGGAGAATTGCTTGAACCCGGGAGGCAGAGGTTGCAGTGAGCCGAGATTGAGCCACTGCACTCCAGCCTGGGTGATACAAACGAGACTCCGTCTCAAAGAAAAAAAAAAAAAAAAAACAACCAACAACCCAATAAGAAAAAAATTGAGAAGAGATTGGAATAGACACTCCATCAAAGGAGGCCTACAAGTGGCTAAGAGACACATGAACAGCTGCTCAACACCTTTAGCCCCCAGGGAAACGCAAACTAAGACCACGATGAGATCCCAACTACACAACAATTAGAATGGCTAAAATTTAACAAACCACTGATAATACCAAGTGTTGACAAGTATATAAGTCAGGGTTCTCCATAGAAACTGACCAACAGGAGATATATCTGTATCTATCTATGTATCTGTCTCTCTGTATCTATATCTATATGGGGTGGAGACAGAGAGAGAGAGAGATTTATTATAGGAATTGACTCATCCAAACGGAGGCTGAGAAGTCCCACAGTGTTGTCTGCAAGCTGGCACACCAGGAAAGCCAGCAGTCTGACCCAGTCCAGGTCCGAAGGCCCAGGAACCGGTGGGCTGATGCTGCGGGCAGGAGAAGATGGAGGTCCCAGCTCGGAGAGAAAATTCACCCTCCCTTGCCTTTTTGTTCTACCCGAGCCCTGAGTGGATTGGATGCTGGCTGCCTGCATGGTGAGGGCAGATCCAGTTTACTAAGTAGGAGGCTCAAATGCTCATCTCCTCCAGAAACCCCTTCACAGACACCCTCAGAAACAGTGTCTCCCCAGCATCCAGGCATCCCTCAGCCCAGTCGAGCTGACGTAAAATTAACCATCAAAGAGAAAGGTGACCCATGTCCTAGTTTGTCCAGGAGTTTCCTGATTTTTGCATGGAAAGTCTCAAATCCCAGGAAACTCCTCAGACCCGGACAAAGTGCAGTGATTGGTCACTCTGGGCGAGCACGGGCAGCATCTGGAGCTCACACGTTGGGACAGTGGCCATGCGAGATAGTGTGGCCACTCTGGACAACAGCCAGGCAGTTACCTACAAACTGAATATTGAGCATTCTCACTACCAGGTGTTTATCCTGGAGAAACGGAAACCTGTCCTCACACGAAAACCCATACATAAATGTCTAGAGCATGACTGCTTGTGACAGCCAGAACCTGGAAATGACACAGACGTCCTTCAAGATCTGATCAAGTGAGCAGCGGCCAGGCTGCGGGGCACGCATGCAGCAGATCACGCTCCCGAGTGGAAAGGGTGAGCCTTGGAGGCACGTTGGAGAGAAAGAAGCCAGCCTCAAACATTACATACTGTAGGATTCCATTTACTTATTATTATGTATGATTAGTTTTTTGAGACAGGGTCTCACTGTGTTGCCCAGGCTGATCTCCAGCTCCTGGACTGGAGTGATCCTCCCGCCTCAGCCTCCAGAGTGGCTGGGATTACAGGCTCTAGCCACCACATCTGGCTATGATTCCATTTGTCCAATGTTGTCAAAAGGACACAAGCCATGGAGAAGTAACCGGCGGCTTCCAGGGGTCAGGAAGCCTGGTCCTGCAGAGGAGCGCCATGAGGGGCTTTCTGGGGTGATGGGATCACGCTGCGTGTGGATGGTGTGTGCAGAGGGGAGCATCGCACAAACCCATACAGGCAGGAACATTGCTAGAACTCCACACTAAAAAAGTCCGTTCTGCTGTACGTTAATTTTGTTTTATTTTATTTATTTTTGAGACGGAGTCTCACTCTGAAGCCCAGGATGGAGCACAGTGGCATGCTCTTGGCTCACTGCAGCCTCCATCTCCCAGGTTCAAGCAGTTCTGCCTCAGCCTCCCGAGTAGCTGGGATTACAGGCATGCACCATCATACTCGCTAATTTTTATATTTTTAGTAGAGATGGGGTCTCACCATGTTGGCCAGGCTGATCTCAAACTCCTGACCTCAAATGATGCGCCCTCCTCAGCCTTCCAAAATGCTGGGATTACAGGCGTGAGCCACCATGCCCGGCCCTGTATGTTAATTTTTAAATGAAAGCTTTTAAATTAATAATTCCTAAATGTCATCCCATATGGAGTCAGTGTCCAGATTTCCTATCTGTACATAGGATTTCCCAAGAGCAACTGCATACCATTGGTTCACACTTCCATCCCTCCACACCTGTTTCCTTGTCTCTTAACTCTCTTTTTGCCCCTGCAACGGAGCAGCGGAGGATATCGAGCCTCCAGTCTGTGGAGGCCACAAACTGGCCTTTGGACCCGGTGCCACCTCCCTGTTCCTCAGCGCCCTTCTCCTGCGCTTGGCAGTAGGTGGCAAGGCTCGTGGGCTTCTTGGCTTCTGTGGGAAGCCCACCTCCTCTCCCGCAAGCCCAGGTGGTCTTTATCAGACTGCACACTCCCTCAAGTTGGGGTACAGTGGTGTGATGGTGGCACATCTTCCTGGAAAGTCCCATACCCCAGGGTGTCTAAGGACACCCCACCAGGCCCCCAGCCCCGTCTCCTGCAGAAGCTGCAGCTTGGCCTTGGGGAGGGGCTGGAGGAGGGCAAAGCCCCCAGGATGGGTGAGCACCACCCTCCAACCAGGGGCCACGGAAACGGAGGGAAGAGGAGATGTGGAGACAACAAGCAGGGCTGCCTCGCCCGGGGGAGCTGAGGGCCCAGAGCCAGCTGACCCACCACGCCAAAGCAAGTTCAGCCTCAGTCCCACCGGAGTGCCACGACTGGGCAAGCCACCCCTCCAGTACAAACCCCCAAGTCAGAGGGGCACGGCCGCAGGGTGGCAGCAGCTCTGTCACTGCCCTGGGCTGCACATTTGGCTGTAGGCCTCACGGATGAGGACCTTGCCCTTTTGCAGACCTCCAGGTGTGACTCCAGCCAGGGCCCCGTGACGGAGCCTCCAATGGGTCCCACCGGTCCGTCCGCTCAGCAGCTGCTTCTGGAAGGCCATCATCAGCTCCGCCGGTCCGTCCGTTCGGCAGCTGCTTCTGGAAGGCCACCATCAGCTCCCCAGCCCCTTCACTCACTGTCCCTTGAGGGGTTCCAGGAGGCCATGGCTGAGAGGTGCTGCAGCCAGGAGTGCAGACCCCATCGCAGGGAGGACAGATCACTCCCCCACGACACAAGGAAGGCCACCCCGAGGTGTGGGGGCAGGCCTGGGGGTCTCACTTCTGGGACTACGACCATGCTCTTCCTCCAGGTCGCCCACCTTCCTCCTTAGCACAGGGCCCCAGGTCACAGAATGACTCAGGCCTGGGAGCTGGGTGAGGGCGAGGACTTCCCCAGGGCTGCTCCAGACCTGGGTTTTCTCAGCCCACTGCCCTCACCAATTGTTAACCTTAGTGGCTGCCCTTTGTGTGGTCCAGCGGATCCCACAACCACCGGAAGGCACCAGGGATCTCTGCAGGCCCCCCCCCAGCCCCTGCCACCTCTCCCTCTTGCTGCCAGTCAGGGAGTAGCTACTCAATGCACCTGCTTCATCAAGGTATCCATGCCAGCTGCAGGGTGCCCCTGTGCACCTTCTGTCCTTAAGAGCTGGCCCAGGGTGGCATCCCCCCACCAGAGTAAGTCTTTTTTCTTTCTTTTTTTTTTTTTTTAGACGGAGTCTTGCACTGTCGCCCAGGCTGGAGTCAGCTGGAGTCAGCTGGTGTGGTCTCAGCTCACTGCAAGCTCCGACTCCTGGGTTCAAGCGATTCTCCTGCCTCAGCCTGCCAAGCAGCTGGGACTACAGGCACCCGCCACCACACCCGGCTAATTTTTTGTATTTTCAGTACAGACGGGGTTTCCCCGTGTTAGCCAGGATGGTCTCGATCTCCTGACCTCGTGATCCGCCCGCCTCGGCCTCCCAAAGTGCTGGGTGGCATGAGCCACCACGCCCAGCCCCACCAGAGTATTTCTAAGCCCCTTGGGAAGGGAGGGTCTTTGGGTCCCTCTGGGGGCCTAGGTAGAGTAGGGTGCAGTGTTATCTGCTATAATATGCTTGTCTCTCTCAGTCTTTGCATTCCTTTTCTGCATCATGCCATATGGCATTTTAGCCATTTTGACCTCATTTAGAATGTGCCACCTTTGGATCCAGGTGCCAGCAGCAACGGGGCAGATGATGGGAATCCCTCCCCAGCACCCGGCCAAGAGTCCCGGCCCACCCAATGTCAACTTCTATTCTTTAATCTCAGCCCCAAATGACTGTGAATTCACAGGGCATTCTTCTAGCTCCAACTACATCAATGAGGGATAAACTAGAAAGAAGACATGGCTGGACTCTGGTATAGAAACGGATGAGGAACTCAAAGCAGTGGGCTGGGATTGCTGTGCTCTGTGTCTGGAAGCAGGCGACAGTGGCCTGGCGTCCAGCCTCAGCCGGCGGGGACCAATGTCCCACAGGAGGACGGGGTTCAAGCCCCACTGCAGAGATGAGGCTGAAAAGCCAAGCAATGAATGAAGGTATTAAGTCAGAGCCAGCAGGAACTGGAATTGAAATTGCTTCAGTCTTGGTGAGCTCAGTGGTAGGACTTGCTCCCTGGACAGGGCCAGACGGGACCAGGTGGACACTCCCTGGTGGGGTCTGCAGGGTAGAATGAGGGGTAGGGCCCCGGGAAAGGTGGCAGGAGCCAACGGGTGCAGCCCCAGAGGTTCTGAGTGGGCGTCTCTCAGTGCGCAGACTGAGACCCCAGGGACGCTGGGACCAGACGCAGGTGAGCTGGTGCGGGTCGGGGCTGCTTGCCACCCACAGTGTACTGCTGTGAACTTCACTCTGCCCCGCTGCATCCTGAGTCGACCCATCCCCCTCCAGACAGTGCTCTCAGGCCACCTCGGGTCGGTCAAGCCCATCAGCCTGGACTGGCTTTAAATGGCAGGGTCCTGACCTTGCTTCACCCAGGGAGGGTCACTGACCTCAGGATGGAACAAGAAGCACTTCTGGGCCCCTCTCTTCCTCTGCGGAAGTGGCCACAGCTGGGAGACTGACCCAAATCTGAGGCCTGTGCCTGGGTAACTGGCTTGGAGAATCACCATTAGCCCGGGCACCAGGAGGCCCAGGGTGGCTTACAGACAGTCTCATCTCACTCCAGGACAGACGCCCAGAGACTGCTGGGGGGCACTTCCTGAGATATTCACAGAGGGCCTATGACAGCAACTGGGTCCCCCAACCTTGGACAATTCCAGAGAAAATGTGGCCACACGTAGATCAGGCAGGCACTGGAAAAGGCACTGGGTTGAGAGTTTGGGGTGACAGTTTTGGAGGTGCGGAGGCTGCTGTTGTCTGCATCCCAAGGTCGTGGGGTTCAGACTGCAAAAGGGAACCCAAGAAACACTGTAGGAGCTGCAGGGCCTCGAGATGTGCTGGAGCCAATTCCCGGGGGTCTCGGGAGCCCAGCCTTAAATTTACAGGAATTCTGAGCTGGTTGTTAAAACACAGTCATTATTAAAAATTAATTATAAACACTTATAACCAAATGAGTTATATTTTAAAAACACAGATAATAAGAGGTGGGTGCAGTGACTCATACCTGTAATCCCGGCACTTTGGGAGGCCAAGGTGAGTGGATCATTTGAACCCAGGAGTTTGAGACCAGCCTGGACAACATAGTAAAACCCCATCTCTTAAACAATAAATTATCAGAGCATAGCAGTTCATGCCTGTAGTCCCAGCTACTCAGGAGGCTGAGGTGGGAGGATCACTTGAGCCCAGGAGTCAGAGACTGCAGTAAGCCGTGATGGTACCGCTGCATTCTAGCCTGGGAGTCTAGCTAAGTCAGCTGAGACGCTGTCTCAAACACACACACAAATACAAACATGGATAATAAATACTGGAAACTCATCACTTCCTAATTATTTTACTACATTTTTCTACTCTTGTTGTGTTTTACTCTAGTTTGGTCTAGGGTTGCTCTCTCTGGAGAGTGGACATAAAATCTAGCTCCGGGGGAGCTGGTGGTGGTGGGTGGGCACAGTGAGCTTTCAGGGACACTTCTTTATCCTGGCAGACGGCTTAATGCCTGGGGGCCTGACCTGTGACCAGGGGCTTGTTTACACCAGCAGGTGCCCTTGTGGCTCTGGTCTGACCTGTGTTGGGTTTATTCCTGCTAAGTGGTCCACTCTCTAGGAGAGCCCTAACTGGGAAAGAAGTTAGGTTCAGGTGTGTCAGTCAGGGGAGACACAGAGGAGCTGGCCCCACTAACACGTGAAGCTACAGAAGCAGTTTCGTGACTCAGATCCCAGAGGGAACAGGGCAGCAAACCTCGCAGGGCCAGTGGGAAGGAGGAAGCCTTCCGGGACACACATGTCAGCCAGCAGGTGGGAGCCGGACAGCGCGGGAGGGGCTGTGGCTGAGCCCTTTCCTGGGCCCCAGGGTCCTACCCAGGCAGGCTCCCCTTGGGGAGTTCCAACTAGCAGGTTTAACCCTTTTCCCATTTGCCCCAAGAATAGTCACCAACAGCGCTTGCGGCTGCAGCATTTACCCAGAGATAACTTTGCCACACAATATCTCACTTTCATTATTTTCACATCACTCTGGTATATTGACTTCGGAAACAAAAGACGTCACGATTCATAGCATTCTGGCTTTAGTAGTGATGTTTCCATTCACAAAATATAGTCATTCTCTATGGCTGAAAACCTCAAGTCCTAGAAAACACAGCATTCCTACACGTGATGTTAATATTGTCCTCAAACAGTTGTTGGCTGAAGATCCGTTTGATAAATTTTTCACAAATAGATTACTTTTTTTTTTTTGGAGATGGAGTCTCACTCTGTCACCCAGGCTGGAGTGCAGTGGCACCAGCTCGGCTCACTACAACCTCCGCCTCCTGGGTTCAAGCAGTTCTCCTGCCTCAGCCTCCCGAGTAGCTGGGACTAAAGGCATGCACCACCACACCTGGCCAATTTTTGTATTTTTAGTAGAGACGGGGTTTTACAGTGTTGGCCAGGCTGGTCTTCAACTCCTGACCTCAAGTGATCCACCCACCTCGGCCTCCCAAAGTGCTGGGATTACAGGCGTGAGCCACCACGCCCAGCCCCAGATGGATCATTCTAATGATTCAGATGATTTTGACGTTAGTTCTGTTTAGAAATAACTCCAAGAACAGTTTTTTCTTTTCTTTTTTTTGAGGCAGTGTCTCACTCTGTCACCTAGGCCGGAGTGGGATGGCACGAACACAGCTCACTGCCACCTTGACCCCCTAGGCTCAAGCGATCCTCCCACCTCAGCCCCCTGAGTAGCTGGGACCACAGGTGTGCACCACCACTCCTGGCCTCCAAGAATAGATTTATATTTTATTTTCACATTAAAAATTAGTCAGATTTGCTTCAGCCTCAAAGAGTATGTTTATGTAAAATTAAATGAGCGCTAGCAGGGAGCTGAATTTTTTTTTTTCTAAAATGGAAAAAGGTTAAAGCGAGTGGCCAAGTTTCATGAACTGTCGGAGCCTGTCCTGCTTCAGATACAAGAAAGTTGAACTCATGCCGAGAGTATCCGACTTATGATGGTTCAATTTAGGAATTTTCAGCTTTACAATGATGCTAAAGCAATATGCATTCAGTAGAAACTGTACTTTGAATTTTGATCTTTCCTGGGCTAGCCATACGTCCTACCATACCCATGGCAGGAAGCTGAAGCTCCGGGTCAGCCGCACCAGGCGGAGGGTAAGCGACTCACTCTGCAGGCCACTGTGTCCCCAGGTGAGTTTGCCCAGCTGCAGGCTGATGTTAGTGTTCTGAACACGTTTATGGAAAGCCAGGCTAAGCTATGATGTTTGGTAGGTTATGTGTATTCAATGCATTTTTGACTTGCGATATTTTCAACTTATGATGTGTTTATTGGGATGCAGCTTCATCGTAAGTCCAGGAGCATCTGTATGCAAAATGGATGCTTTATAGTTAACAATAATATCTCCTATAGCTTCAAATAGCCAGAAGGAGAATACTGAATGTTTCCAACATGAAAAAATGATAAATGTTTGAGATGATAAGCTAATTACCCTGATCTAATCACTATATATGTATGGAAACATCATTATGTACCCCATAAATTTATACAATTATTGTATCAATTAAAAAATAAAGTAAAATATGCCAGGCACGGTAGCTCACGCTTGTAATCCCATCACTTTGGGAGGCCGAGGCAGGTGGATCACCTGAGGTCATGAGTTCAAGACCAGCCTGGTCAACAGGGTGAAACCCAGTTTCTACTAAACATATAAAAATTAGCTGGGCATGGTGGTGCATGCCTGTAGTCTCAGCTACTTGGGAGGCTGCGGCAGGAGAACTGCTTGAACCTGGGAGGTGGAGGTTGCAGTGAGCCAAGATGGCACCACGCACTCCAGCCTGGGTGACAGAGCAAGACTCTGTCTCCAAAAAAAAGTAAAATAAAAGTATTTAAAATTGAAAGCTGGGGCAACATAAAATGATATGAATTCACTGCGATTACATCTGTGTCCCTAATGGGGAGTCCTGGCTGTGGGTCTGATGGGGGACACCCCTGGAAGGATGAGGATCAACCGCCTGGGGAGTAGGGAGGGAGGTATGCTTAAGTCATGGAAGCTGTTGGCAGATGCAGAATCCGTGACGTGATACGAGACTCACTGAAGGAACACGCCAGAAACACACATGTCAGGCCCAGAGGCGAAGGAAAAGCAAAGCGGATGTGCAGACACTGGGCTGACAAGGAGAGAGGTGAAAGCCAGGAGGGCCCAGGTGAGCCTCCTGGAGGGAGGAGTGGCCAAGCCAGAGGCAGGAAAGATGTCCCATGGGGAGAGAAAATCTTTCCACCAAATTTAAAGGAGTCAGAAAGGGGCTGCTGATTTAGGCTGCAAGGTTCAGCGTAAACGAAGGTGCAATTTCAGTGTTGTCAGAAACACTCTGAGGTGTGGGGTGGCAGCCACTTCCAACTTAGCCAGAGGCCCACCCAGAAGCTGAGGTTGGGGGTCACCACACAGGGCAGAGGCCACTTCAAGAGAGGGGCAGGGGGAGGGGGGCAGAGACTGGGCATTGTTCTGAGGTTTCAGTCACGGCCCACAGCCAAACGTAACATGCATTTCAACTGAGCGCTCAAGCACTCTGAGGAATTAGGAGAGTGGATGAGAGATTTAAAAATCCATGCTTGTGAGAGAATTCACATTTGTACAAAATTCACGTGCGGCTCTGAAACGTGTTTTTGCCAAACATCGTGCCCTGGATGTGTTCCCAGGTGTTTCTTCACGTTCCTAAAGGCCGTGTGACGTCCCCCATACCTGGAACAGAAAGGAAGTGGCCGTAGCCAGGCTCTGAATGTGCTGAGTGGGAAAGAAAGGTGCTGGGGGAGGAGGACCTGGACTTCACACTTAACAAGAAGGCTGGGATGTGGCCCACACCTCTCTCCTTGCCAGGCCATGCTGTGTGAGGGCAACGGTCTCCCAGGTGGGTAGATGATTAGGCCAAAGACAGAGGCTCGTCTGCTAGAGTTCAGATTCTCCCTTGGGGTCCCAGGGGCCTAGAGGAGGAGGGGAGGTGAAGCTGTTGTCTCTCTCCGCCTGTCCAGTCTGTCCTGTGGCATTTGAGTGGCAGCAGTGATGCTGTGACCTGGGTGCTGGGAATAGAATTCTGCCAGCCACCCCTGCTCTGGGCCTAGGCTGGAGGCCTCTGTGCCACCCAGTGGGCTTCTCCCACTTTGGGAGAGTCAGAGAAGCACCCCCTTCCAGGGGGCTCCCTCACAGAGAACACGGGGCGGGGGCGGTGAGCGGCTCGGGCTGTCTTTGGGCTTCACCTTCCTGGCCAGGTACTTTGCTTTCTCCCTGGGAGTGGGTTCCAGAAGGGAATCCCCAGGTTCCATGGGCCCTCAAAGAGGGGTGGGGTAGACTGCTGACTCTCCCCCAGGGGACCCCCAGTCACACAGTGGGCCCACCCATCTTGGCCATGAAGCCTGGTGGATCAAGAGAAGTGGGGGAGCTGAGGACAACATTGGGGGCTACAGGAGAAGGTCCTTTTGGGGAAAGTGACTCTGACAGCAGGTGTCAGAGCCCCTGGGGGTGTCCCTGGGATGCTCTGGCAGCTTTGCATCATCAAGGAGGATGCCCCCAACAAGGAGGTCTCACCGCCCCCTGGGTTGTCAGGTGAGCTCCTGGGGCAGAGGTGGCCCTGGGTCGTCCGACCATCCTGGTGTGGGCTCAGTCTGGACCCCTGGGGGTCTCTCCCACCCCGAGACTTTTATCCACCTCCCCACCAACTCACTCTGTACAGGCAAGCACTCCCCTCGCTGGGCCTGTTTCTCCTCTGTCCAATGGTGAGTGGGATTCTCCTTCAGCTTGTAAGTGGGAACTGTCCCCAAACCAGGGACACCCTGGGGGCTCCTCTGGAACTGGAAAGGCCGGAAGAGAAACTGGCTTTCTCTTCTGAGCCAAAGGACAATGTTCCTCCAGCAGCTGGGAGTCCACACCCCAGGCAGGCCTCGCCTTCCCACTTGTGATGCGGGGTCCCACCTCTGCAGCTTCGGGTGTCTGAGTCTGAGGCAGTGCTGAGGATGAGGTCACTCTGGAGGGTGGCCCGGGGTTCCAGGTATGGGTGCATTACCAGGCCTTTAGGAATGTGAAGGATCGCCTGGGAACATGCCCAGGACGCGACGTTCAGTGAAAAGTCATGTTTCAGAGCCACACACGAATCACATTTCCTTATCTCTGCACAGTGACCGTGGATTTTTAAATCTTTCATCCGCTCCCCTAATTCCCCAGAGTGCCGGGGCGCTCGGTTGAAATGCGAGTTGCGTTTGGCTGCAGGCCGTGACTGAAGCCTCAGAACAATGCCCAGTGTTTCAAAACAACATATTTGTGCAAAAAGAAGGCCTCCAGATCTCAGGAAGCGGGAAACAGCTGAAGAAAAAGAACGCCTGCGAAGGGAAAGGACAGGTGTCCCTGTGGGAGGACAGGGCCTGCCGTCCGTCGCTCGGCTGCAGGTGGGGCCCGGCCGCCCCAGATGAGCCCCGCTCCGCGCCCGCCCTGCTTGCACCCAGCCGGCAAGTCCACCGCTCGCTCGCGACGCCAAGGAAAGCAGCAGCCCCGGCGCCCACGGAGGACGACACCGGCCGCGGCCAGGGGCGGGGCGCGGCCATGAAAGGCGGGGCCAGGCGAGGGGCGGGGCCGAGGCGGGTGTGGTCGTGTGGGGCGGGGCCGCGGCGGGGGCGGGGCCTGTCACCAGGGGCGGGGTGAGAAGGGGCGTGGTCATGAGAGGACCGAAGAGAGGGGTGGGGCTGCCTCCGAGGCGAGGACCGTGCGGGGCCACGCGTGGGGGCGTGGTTGTTGGGGCGTGGCCGCTGGGAGGGGCGGGGCTTCTCTGCGCACAGGTGCGAAGCTCCCGGCTTCAAGAGCGCAGTAGCGGCCCCACAGGGCAGAAGTGCCCTTGTTGGAGACGGGTGCCTGGGGCAGGTGGGGGTACCCGAGGGTTTCCAGCCACAAGGAGGGGTGTGGACGATTGGGGGATTGGGGCCGGTGCGTGGTCCGCGCAGCCCTCCGTTCCCCAACAGCAGATCCCTGTCCCTCGGCCCCGTCCAGCATCTCGCTCTCCAGCCCCACTCTCTCCATCGGCAGAACCTTCAGAATGTGCCGCGGAAGGGAAGGGGCGCGGCCGGAGGGACCCCTGCCCCGCGATTCCGGCGCCACCTGACCTGCCGGGCACCGGGCACCGTCGTCCCCCGGCTCCAGGAGGGTCCTGTCCTCCTGCTTCATCGGCCCCAAGATTCCTCGGGTCACGACTCTGACCCCCGCTCCCAGGGCGCCAGGCGCGGACAGCGGGGAAGCGGCACCAGGGAAGCCCAGGGACGCAGGCTTCCGCTAGGCTGAGACGCGCTGACCAGCTGGGGCCCCGCTGGCCGGAGCCTCCGTTTCCCCCTCTGCAGAGCAGGCTTGGCCGAGGAGTAAGCGCGGCCGCTGCGGAGGGTTTGGCAGCGGGGACAGGGCTGCGCCCGGTGTGTGCGCGGACACCTGCCGCCCGTCCTCAGCGCCCGGTAGCCTCAGGCCCCAGCTCCGACCAGTGCGCCCTGACCTGTCCTGCCCTGCACGGGACGTCCGCCCCAACCCCACCCAACCCAACCCCCGAAGCTGTGTAACCCAGGGACAAGAGTCTGCCCCAAGGGGACGCCCAGCTCTGTCCAGTGTGCCCACCACTGTCTCCGGCGCCTGGCCAGCTGGGCGTAGAGTGGGCATCCCGTTCAGGGGCGAGATGGGTGAAGGACACAGGGAAGGCGCGTGCGGTGTGGCAGCCTGGGCCTCCCGGCCTCGCCAGACTATGGGAGACGGCTGCTGGGACGGACGGGAGTCAAGCTCTTCAGTGCCAGGACTGGACACTGTGTCTGCCACTCTGGGGCACTCAGCGTTTCCAAGTGGATGGCAACAGCGTCCCTCAGTGTCCTTCACAAAACCCTCCTGAGCCGGGACTCACCCTGTGCCCGCCTGGACTTGGGCCAAGCAGCCTGGCCCACATATCCCAAGAGGTTGCAGTGCTGGGCAGCACCCCAGGGATTCGGTCACTTCTCTGTCCTCACCAGAGGCAGCTCTTCATCTGATGAAGATGATTTTTTTTTTTCTATTTTTGGAGACAGTCTTGCTTTGTCGCCCAGGCTGGTGTGCAGTGGTGTGTCCTCAGCTCACTGCAACCTCCGCTTTCCAGGTTAAGAAATCCTCCTGCCTCAGCCTCCCGAGTAGCTGGGACTACAGGCATGCACCACCACGCCTGGCTAATTTTTCTGGTATTTTTAGCAGAGACAGGGTTTCACCCTGTTGGCCAGGCTGGTCTCGAACTCCTGACCTCGGCCTCCCAAAGTGCCGGGGTTACAGGCGTGAGCCACCACACCCAGCCCTGAAGCTGAATTTAAGTTTTGGGAACATTCAAACCCGTTTTGGTGATGCCCAGGTGCCTTCGGGTGCCTCCTAACTGGCTGCCCAGCCTCTGGCTCCCGCCCAGCCTCCTGGAGGCAGCCAACACCAACCCTGGTCACTAACTGGACTGCATCAGACCCCAGACCAAACACTGGCTTTACCTTCTGAGCCTAGACTCCTTGGCCCTCTCTGGCATGCAGACCCTGGCTGTGGGCTTGCGCAGGATGGCACTCTCCTTTGTAACTTGTTCCAAATGCAGAGCTTTAAAAACGCCCCTTCCCACTGAGCCAGCGGCTCCACTTTTGAGTGTTAGTGCTGAGAAAATGTCAGAGATGCACAATGATGTAGCTCAAATGTCACTGGGCTGTTTCAACTTAAATACGCAATGACATGAACAATTTATATAAGACATCCATCCCATGGAGTATGGCGCAGCCATCAAACTATTGTGCATAAAACATGGTAATGGCTTAGCAAGGTGCTCACAAGCTACAATGTAAGTGGGGAAAACAGACAGAAAAAGTGCTCCTATTAGGTCCCAACTTCCCCCTTCCCCTTCTCCCTCTTTCTTTCTCTCTTCCCTCCTGTAGTTGCATAAAAATATTTCAAACATTTGGCCGGGTGCGGTGGCTCACACCTGCAATCCCAGCACTTTGGGAGGCCCAGGCAGGTGGATCACCTGAGGTCAGGAGTTCGAGACCAGCCTGGTTAACATGGTGAAACCCCGTTTCTACTAAAAATACAAAAAATTAGCCAGATGTCATGGCGGGTGCCTGTAATCCCAGCTACTCGGGAGGCTGAGGCAGGAGAATCGCTTGAACCTGGGAAGCGGAGGTTGCAGTGAGCCGAGATCGCGCCATTGCGCTCCAGCTTGGGCAACAAGAGCGAAACTCTTGTCTAAAAAAAAAAAAAAATTTTTTTCAAATATTTATAATGGTTGCCTGTGAACCAGATTATGAGTCTTATGCAAATTATTTATATTATTCTATATTTTCCAACTTGTATAAAATGAACATATTATTTTCATGAATAGGTTGCCTCCTGGGGACCCAGAAGACCAGCTTCCAATGTGTTCCCCAGCAGCCGTTCCCTCCACCAGGGAGGCTGAGTCACTGACACAGCAGGGAGTACAGCAATCCCCCTTATCAGTGGTTTCACTTTTTCATGGTTTCAGTTACCCACAGTCGACCATGGTTCAAAAATATCAGTACAATAAGTTCAGTAAGTTTGTTTTTTGTTTGTTTGTTTTTAGAAACAGGATCTCACTCTGTTGCCCAGGCTGGTGTGCAATGGCACAATCTTTGGCTCACTGCAGCCCCCACCTCCTAGGCTTAAGTGATCCTCCCTTCTCACACTCCTGAGTAGCTGGGACTACAGGCACACGCCACCATGGCCAGCTAATTTTACAGTAAGATATTTTGAGAGAGAAGAGAGACCATATTCACAAAACTTTTATTACATTATATTGTCATCATTGTCCTATTTTACTATTAGTTATTGTTGTTAATCTCTCACTGTGCCTAATTTATAAATTAGACTGTATCATAGATATAGATATATACATATACATATAGGAAAGAACACATTATATGTAGGATTCAGTACTCTCCGCGATTTCAGGCATCCACTGGGGGTCATGGAATTTGTCCGCTGTGGATAAGGGGACTTATGTGTAAAGGAATCTCCAACATAAAGGTGAGTTCACAATCAGAACTGCCAAGCATACGAGCTTCCTACTGCAGCTGGAACAGATCACCACAAATGTGGTGGCTTCAACAGCACAATTTACTCTCCCACAGTTCTGGGGTGCAGAAATCCAAAATAGGCCTCAGTGGGTTAGAATCAAGGAGTCGGCAGCGCTGGTTCCTCTGGAGGCCCTAGGAGAGAATTGGTTTCCTTGTCTTTTTCAGCTTCCAGAAGCCACCTGCATCCCTCGGCTCATGGCCCCCTCTCCACCTACAAAGCCAGCAGCAGAGCCTCTCTCCGGCCTGCTCCCACTGCGGCGTATCTCTCTGACCCTCTTGCTTCCGTTTTCATTTTTTCCTTTTTTAATGTATTCCCATCGTTAAGCACTTGCTTCCATATTATAAGGAGTCTGTGATGACATTAGGACCACCTAGATAATCCGAGATAATCTCCCATCTCCAGAGCCTCAACTTACTCATATCATCAGTGTCCCTTTTGGTCCCATATTCACAGGTGCCAGGGATCAGGACCAGGACATCTTTGGGGGCCGTTATTCAGCTACCACACCAAGCATGGAAGACAGCCAAGACAGAAAGGAAACGGCAGCGCAACCGAGGGAAGGAGTCACCCCACTCCCGCCCCTGGGAAACATAACTGAGAAAGCAATTAGGAGACTCCGGAATGTGTGTAGACATCTCGGCGAGAGCCAGGAGAATGCTGTGTGTGCAGAGAGGGATCAGCTGGAGAAAGAAAAGGAACAGTACAAACATGAATTCAAATAAAACGCCACCGTGAAGGGACTGAGTAGCAAAATGGATGAAGATGAAAACATTGACAGGATGAAGACTGAGCCCAGGAAGGCGACTCCGCAGATTGTGGACCTAGAAATAAATTGTCAAGGAAAAGCTGAGAAACACGGAGGTGAGATCCACAAGTCGTCGTCGTAGCCATCCAGCAGGCTTTCCAGAAGGAGGACAGAGAGGGAGGAGGGCAGAGAGGAGGCACCACCCACACACGGACACACAGGCGCACACAGATGCACACTCACACACCACACACACACCACACACATACACACCGCAGACACACAGATGCACACACACACCACAGACAATCGCACAGACACATACATACCACACACATACAGATGCACACAGATGCACACTCACACCCTACACATACACACATACCACAGACACCCTCCCCACATACCACAGACCCACAGATGCACACACACACCACAGATACACACATCACACACACATACCACACACACAGATGCGCACAGATGCCTACTCACACACCACCCATACACACACACACACCAGACACACACCCCCACAGACCCACAGATGCACACACACACATACCACACACACAGATGCACACACCACACAGATGCATACTCACACACCACCCATATACACACATACATACCACACAACCCCCCCCACATACACACCACACGTACACACAGATGAACACACAGACACATGCATCACACAGAAAGACACAGATACACAAGCACACACACAGAGAGACACATACCACACATACAGATGAACACACACATACAGATACACAAGCAAACACCACACATACAGATGAACAGAGATACACAAGCATACACACACACAGAGACACATACCACACAAACGGATGAACACACACAGATACACAAGCACACACACAGAGATACACACCACACGTACACACAGATGAACACACACACAGATACACAAGCACACACACAGACACATACCACACATACACAGAAAACCCAGACATACACAAATACCAGAGACCACCCACCTACACACGCACACCACACGTACACAGAAAACACACATACCACACATACCCACACAGAAAACACAGACACACCACATAGACACACACAGACACAGACACAGACACACACAGGAAAAATTTCCCCAAATTGAAGAGAAATGTAAGTTTTCAGGTGAAAAGGGGAAAACAAAATGTTGACCTGACACATGATAGTTAGTTTTGAAAACTTTAATGATAAAGACAAATCTTAAAACCTGAGAGGGGAATTGTGTCCCCACAAAAAATATGTTCAAGTCCCGCCCCCAGCAGCTGGGAGTGTGGCTTGACTTGGAAATAGTCTTTGCAGATGTGATGAGGTTAATACGAGGTCACCCTGGATTAGGATGGGTCCCATGACCAGTGACTGTTATCCTTAGACAGAGCGGGAGATTTGGACACAGAGACACCAGGAGGAGGCCACATGGTGGGAGAGGCGGACGTTGGAGCCATGCAGCAATGAGCCGGGGACCGCCGGGGACCGCTGGCAGGTGCCCAAGCGAGGAGACGGGCATGCGGCTGGCCCTGCCCTGGAGGCTTCAGAAGAGCACGTCCTGCCAGCACCCCGACTTCTGGACTTCCAGCCTCAGGAACTGTGAGAGAGTAAGTGTGTGTTGTCCTAAGCCGCCAGGTTCGTGTCAGGAAACTAATGCGGGAGGGAGGGAGGAGGAGGAGGGGGAGAGGAAGGCTATGAGGTAAAGAAGGAACACAAATCAGATTGACACGTACAACTGGAGTATAAAGACCAATGGGTGACAGCTTCAAATCTATCCGCAGTCATCATCTTTCAAGCATGAGAGGAATTCCAGGCATTTGCAAACCCACCCGGACTCAGGGAGTTTGCCCCCACAAGCCTGCTTAAGGGAAGGAATGACGGGACAACACTGTCCACGAGAAAACAAAAGGCCCTGGAATGAAGCCACACAGCAGGCAGAGGCCAGCAAAGCATGCACTGGAGTCCACAGGCGCTGATCGTAAACCAAAGAGCGCAGGGCAGCCACGATCCCTGTTATCTGTGTCTCCTTAGCCCTCTCTCCCTCCCAAACCCTCCTACAATAACAGGAAAGGAATTTTAAAAACTTCCCTCTAAAGGAGAAAAGCCCACAAGAAAAAGAAAAAAAGCTGGGGAGGAGACAACAGTAGATGAGAGATTTTTTTTTTTTTTTTTTGGTGGGAGATCGAGTCTCTCTCTGTTGCCCAGGCCGGGCAAACCTTTGCCTCCTGGGTTCAAGTGATTCTCCTGCCTAAGCCTCCTGAGTAGCTGGGATGACAGGTGTGTGCCACCATGCCCAGCTAATTTTTGTATTTTTAGTAGAGATGGGATTTCACCACGTTGCCCAGGCTGGCCTCGAACTCCTGACCTCAAGTGGTCCACCCACATCGGCCTCCCAAAGTGTTGGGATTACAGGTGTGAGCCACCGCACTTGGCAAGATGAGAGATTTTGATGTCCCCCACATTTTAGCCCAAAGCTGAGGAGGGTGACTGACTTAGCAGGTGTAGCTGTCAGCCTCGGTGGAGCTCTGCTGTGGTAACAAACAGCCCTGGAATCCCAGTGGCTCCGGCAGCCCAGGCTGCTTCCTCACGCAGGCACACGCCTATCCCAGATGCTCTGCTGCTGTCTCACACCCCATCCTCCTCCCACTTTACCCCAGAAGCCAGCAGCCCTCCCTGAGACAGAGCCGTCCTGTGCCGGAAAGGGGCACAGCTCCTCAAACGTCTGCTGGGAGGGATTGTCATCACCTGCCCATGCCGCACTGGCTGAGGCACATCAGGAGGCCCAGCCCCAGGCCCACCTGCAGGACACTGTCCTCCTCCCACAGGCGTGGATGACGAGCACTGTGACCACAGCATGGATGAATGGCGGGGCTGGGGCTGGGAGCCCAGGTTGCTATGGGGGACCCACACCCCTTCCCTGCCTCCCACAGCCAGGCCCGATGGCCCTTCCAAAGCTGACAAAACAAGGTCTTCTCTGGAGAAACTGGATCTAAGGGGTTACAGCTGAGGGACACGGGATGGCTAAGGTCTGGGGAGAAGGTGGAGGAGGGGCTGCCTCCTGACTTGTGGCCCCTGGAACCCTTCCTGCACTCGGCTCAGGCTGCCATTGGCTAGACAGGGACCCCCAACCCCAAGCAGGAGACCTCAGGGGCCTTCCTGGGAGATGCTGAACTGCCTGGGGAAAAGACCTCCTTTTGGGGTCCCCGAGAAAGAAGCAGGCCAGCCCCCAGGCTCTACCTGGACACCCCACAAGGAGTTGCTAGTCTTGCTCCTCCTATGGAAAGGCAGGCCTTCCCCCCAAAAAGGAAGGACCAAAGCACACAGAGGAGTACCTGGGGGAAACTGAGGCACAGCAAGGAGCAGTGAAAATGCCACCTACCAAAAAGGTCCCTAACATGACAATCCTCAGAGAGATAAGAGATGACACCTTGGACCCACAGCCAAGCCAATCTGGGGAAGAAAAAAAGGTAAATGCTTTCTCACATTCACAAAAATGGTTCTGAAAACCACTTCAAGCTGGGTGTGGTGGCTCATGCCTGTAGTCCCAGCTACTCGGGAGACTGAGGCAAGAGGATTGCTTGAGCCCAGGAGCTTGAGGCTGCAGCGACCTGTGATGGCACCAATGCACTTTAGCCACGGTGATAGAGCAAGACCCTGTCTCTAAAATAAATACAGAAACAAAATAAAAATAAAAACCACTTCAGTTCCCGGCTGGGCACAATGACTCACACCTGTAATCCCAGCACTTTGGGAGGCTGAGGTGGGTGAATCACCTGAGGTCTGGATTTTGAGACCAGCCTGGACAACATGGTGAAACCCCATCTCTACTAAAAATACAAAAATTAGCTGGGTATGGTGGTGCACACCTGTAATCCAGCTACTTGGAGGCTGAGGCAGGAGAATTGCTTGAACTTGGGAGGCAGAGATTGCAGTGAGCTGAGATCGCGCCACTGCACTCCAGCCTGGGTTGCAGAGATCCCGTCTCAAAAAAAATAAAGATAAAAACAAAAAAAACACTTCAGTTCCTGAGTCCTGATATACGTCCTTTCCAAATACCACATAAAAGTAAAATGAGGCCAACATGAAACACCAAAACAACAAAACACCGAGAAGGTCAGGACAGAGCCTGGGCGAGCAGTGCCTGGTCTCGGGGCGGGGAAGCCCCGTTCAGGCCGAGGCTGCGGAGGATGGGTACATTTGACTCTGACAAAATGCGCAATCTCTGCACAGGAAGAGAAAGAGTTTGCAGTGAAAGTCTGGTGAGAAATATCTGTAGCATTTATAACCAACAAAAAAAAAATTCCCAGAGAAATGGGCAAATTCTCTACCTAGAGATCCCAAGAGTCCAATGAGCAACAGGGGGATGAAACACGCTTGGCCTTACAGGTGGCCTGGGATGTGCACAGTACAGCCACCTGGTGTCACCATTCATCTGCCGGATCAGCAATACTTACAGATTTTGTAATATCGGCCGGGTGCGGTGGCTCACGCCTGTAATCCCAGCACTTTGGGAGGCCGAGGCGGGTGGATCACGACGTCAAGAGATGGAGACCATCCTGGCCAACACGGTGAAACCCCGTCTCTACTAAAAATACAAAAAATTAGCCGGGCGCAGTGGCGGGCGTCTGTAATCCCAGCTACTCGGGAGGCTGAGGCAGGAGAATGGCATGAACCCGGGAGGCGGAGCTTGCAGTGAGCCGAGATAGCACCACTGCAGCCCAGCCTGGGTGAAAGAGCGAGACTCCGTCTCAAAAAAAAAAAAAAAAAAAAAAGATTTTGTAATATCAAGGGGTTGGCAGGTTGCTGCCAGAGGGGGTAGGTTCCAGCCGGGGCAGCTCTATCCACAGTGGAAGAGGATGTGGCTGGCCTGGCTGAGCCTGGACATGAGGCTGCATCAGGACCCCCTGGCCTGGCTGAAGCCCACTCTTCCAGACCCTGCCAGGGAGGGAAGGGGGTCGGTGCATGGGGGGTGCTAAAAGCAGGAGACTGTGGCCCCTGCTTGGCCTGTGGTCACTTGCCCTTGCCTGGCTGCCAGGCTAGTGGACAAACTCTCCAGCCGTGCGGGTTCCCGGCTGTTTACTTAGCACTCATCTGAGTTTATACAAAACCCTTCTGGTCCAAGCTCTGATCCTTCATTAGTAAGAGGAATGAGCTTCTGGGAAAAGTGAATGGGGAGGGGCTGTTTGCTCAGGGAGCCATCTGGGCAAATGGGGCAACAGGCCCACAGGCCTTGGCACAGAAAGTGTATGGTGCCCCCTTGGTCAGGTACATCCCATCTGATCATCTGTCACCACAGATCCCGGCATGAGCAGCAGACCAGGGGCGCGTCCCCCCTTCCAGATGGGGAAGGGGGTCCAGGCAGCTTGTGGGAGGAGAGCCTCCAGCCCAGGGAGCTCCTGTCCCTCTGTCTCTGCACCACACACCTCTCCCGAGGGGGCAACCCGGGTCACCTGCCCTGACAGCAGCTCTCACGGGACCTCGTTCAGCCCGTGCAAACTGTAGGGGTTATTGTGCAGTGCTGCGCCTCCTGGGGTGCAAACAGTCCCTGGCTTTCTGCCCATGGTGGGATGGGGTGCTTGCAGAAGCACCCAAGGGACCCTCCCTGGAACTGGCCCACTGCAGACTCTGCCCATCACCTCGAAGCCTCTCCTTGGAGGGTTCTGATCTGGAAACCAGGGCAATGACCTCATCCAGGGGCCTGGGCCAAGCCGAGAGGGTTTGCAAATTGATGCCCACTTAACCACTTTATTAGCTTCTGCTGCTGGTCCTCTTAAAACATCTCCAGGGCTTGAGGATGCTATAAATTTTTGGTCAAGGATCCTCTGGCAGCCTCACTATGCCAGCATCGGTCACATGGCCCAGCCCTAGACCTCCCAGAGAGAGGCCGGGGCCTGGGGGTGCCTTTTCTGGAGGCGCAGATCATACATTCCCTTCCTTCTAGAAGCAGCGTGAGGCTGCTTTTCTGTGACTCGGAACCAGCGCACCCCATCGCTCACTGCAGGTAGGAAGCATTTCGTTGCTTCATGAAGAAGTAGACATTCTGGGCCACGAGACAGAAGGGGAAGGAAGGACTCCGAGGTTTAGAATAAGCTGGTCTCACTGCCGCAGATGACTTGGGGGGACCCACTAAGGGGGTGGGGGGCACAATAGCAGCAGCCCCTGCTGTTGGCTGAGTCCACTCAGGGCTCACCACAGCCCATCTGCCTCCCAGGCACAGGGAAACCCCCCACGGGAGGTGGGGAGACCTCAGGGGGGTCCCTCCGCCCAGGAGGAAGGCTTGCGCTGGCCAAGTGAAAACACAGGAATCTCATTTTAGTTCTAGTGGGAAGGTTCGACCGCAGCGAGGGTGGGCTGGGATGGTGGAGGTGTCTTGCCGCCCACTTCCTGCCCTGCCCACCCAGTATTCACCTCGGCCACTTGAACCTGGAGTGGGGGTGACCCGTGGGGTGGGGTGGGGGGCGTTCTCTGAGGAAACGCCGGGTGGCAGAGTTTGAAGATGGGGGAAGAATGTTCCAGGAAGAAGGAAAGTAATCTTCGAGGAGCGGGAGAGGAGGCTGCAGAGGCAGGAGGGGCTCTGGTCTCACTGAGGGTGCTGGGGCTGTCCGGAAGGAGGTGGCGCGGCTGGGACGGGGTGGCAATGGCGAAGCAGCCAGGCAGCTGCTACCTCAGGAGCATTTTGAAAGGAGAACGAGAGGTGTGGCCCACCCACAAGCGGCTCCCTCCATGCAGCCTGGGTCACCCCATGCACAGGAACTGGCCAATGAGAATGTCCTGGCCCCACCAGAGACACCAGGCTCTGATCCAACTCAGAATGCGGGACTCCCTCAGAGCGCTGCAGCCTGTCTCTTGCACCCGCAGCACGCCCTGCACTCCAGAGGCTTCCTGCGAGCCGCTTGTGTTCGGCCCCACCCAGTCCCTCTGGCCTCTCCACGCCGCGCCATGCCGGTCCACACCCTGTCCGGCCCACTCATACCATCCACGCCCCTGCACATACTGACAGCTCAGTACCCCTTAGGGGCTGGGCTCAGAACAGACCCTCTAAAGAATGAGGCCGGAGTGGTAGGGCCAGGCAGGACCCACCTATGCCTGAGGCTGCCGCCGCTGCTGAACCCTCCGTTCCCCGCCCCCGTCTCCTGTGTCTCCTTCGTGTCTTTTTCCCTGCAAGTATGTACTTTCCCCTGCAATGCCAGCGCGTTCAGAAACTCACATTCCACTTTTAAACGCTGACACCCATGACAAGCTCTTCCTCAACGGCAAGCAGCAAGCCCAGCTTATAAAGGACAAGCGGTTCGGTCACCTTCCAGCCCATCAGGGATCACCACTGGGAAGAAGCCATGGCTCCGTGGGCCTTTGTGGGCAGGTACTGCCCTCCTCAGAGGCAGCCTGCAGTGACCGGGAGGTGACGGAGGGGTGCCAGCCTGGGGCACGTGCAGACACACACTACCCAGCAGAAAGATTCCGGGCGGCTCGCCACACAACCCTCTGCCTGGTTTTGCAAAAAAAGGACCATCTGAAGGCCACCGGGTAGTGGGTGGAGAGGCCAGTCCAGAGTGAGGTGGCCGGCACAAAGTCCAAGGACTCTGCTGCCACCGACCCCCGTGGCCTGCAGGCTGAACGCCCGCCCAGTCCCACCCACCCCCGGCATGGCATCCCCAGTGTACCTGAGACTGGGTTATTTATTTATTTATTCTGAGATGGAGTTTCACCCTTGTAGCCCAGGCTGCAGTGCAGTGGCACGATCTCAGCTCACTGCAACCTCCGCCTCCTGGGTTCAAGCAATTCTCCTGCCTCAGCCTCCGGAGCAGCTGGGATTACAGGTGCCCGCTACCACACCCAGCTAATTTTTTGTATTTTTAGTAGAGACGGGGTTTCACCATGTTGGCCAGGGTGGTCTCCAACTCCTGACTTCAGGTGATCCACCCGCCTCAGCCTCCCAAAGTGCTGGGATTACAGGTGTGAGCCACCGCATCCAGCCGAGACTGGGTAATTTATAAAGAAAAGAGATTTAATTGGCTCACGGTTCCACAGGCTGTACAGGAAGCATGGCTGGGAGGCCTCAGGAAACTTACAATCATGGCGGAGGGCGAAGAGGAAAGAGACGTGTCTTACGAGGCGGAAGGAGGAAGAGAGTGAAGCGGAAGGTGCCACACGCTTTTAAAGAGGCAGATCTCGTGAGAACTCACTCACTATCACGAGCACTGCAAATCAGCCCCCATCATCCAATCATCTCCCACCAGGCCCCTCCCCCAACACTGGGGTTTACAATTTGACGGGAGATTTGAGCTGGGACACAGATCCAAGCTGTATCACCCACACAACTCACTTCAGGGTCTAGCGTTGCCAAGGGCAACGGGGTAGAGTGGCCTCTACCCCAAGGGGTACCCCTCAGTGAGGGAAGTCACTGGAGACAGGGAGGGGGGCTCTGGAAGCCTTCCAAGACCGGCAGACCTCCCTCCCCACTCCATGCTAGGGGTAGAGTCTCAGATCTGCCTCAGACCCACTGGGCAAAGGAAATGGATGACAGATCTACTCACAGCATCTGAGATTTGCAGCCGGCCAGGGCAGGTGGCTGCACAGAGGAAGGTGCCCTGCTTCTGGGGGGCACCACACATTTGTCACCGTGGGAGGGAGGGCTCAGCTCAGTCTCCAAGGCGGCACAAGGCCACAGCAGCCTTCCAGGAGGACAACCAGGATGCTCCCGTTCTGTGCCGTCAGGGGCTGGCTCTGTATGGCAGGGCCTGAGCCAAGGAGGAGAGAGGACCAGGGTGGGGGAGGCAAGCAGCCGTCACATGAGAGATGAGATAGAGAGGAGCCATGAGGAGGTGAATGGCTAGGCTGGGAGAATCCCAAGCCTGAGGGCTGGCTTGAATTTGCAATGTTGAATGTGGGCATCACTGGGTTATGGACCCCTCTGCGCCCCACTCTGTGACCACACAGCAGCCTTGAGTGAGCAGGCTCTTATGGAAATCCAGCATCCTCCAGGTCACATTCCACAGGAGCTGATGGGGGCCCACCCGCTTCCACACCATCCAGGGCCAGGTATGAGACCCAGGCCTGACTGCTTAACACCTTCCCCATGTCCAGCCACAGCTGGCTTGGAAATGGACAGAGTACAGAAGCTGCCCACCCCAAGGGATCTCCCAGAGCTACCTGGACAGCCCGACTTTTTTCCACTGGCAAAGCCTGAACTTGTGAGGTATATACAGGGAGCTGTGGGCTTTATCCTGCAATTACACCAGGACAGTCTGTCTGAGAGTGGAGCCATCACAGGGGAGCACAGATGGAAAGAGACTCCTGGATCCAGCTATGCCTGAAACCAACCGACCTCTCTCTGGTCACACAAATCAACAAACTGCCCTGTGCTTAAGCCAGTCTGGTGGGCTGGTATCAGCGCTCAGAAGCCCACTCACCAACCAGGGACCGAGTTCCATGCTAGGTCAACACTGGGGCAGAGAGAGGAGTCAGTTGCATGGCAAGAGTGGATGTAAGAGTTCTGCAGAGACAGAAAATCAGGGCCAAAGGTGACCGGAGAAATGTAGGCTCCCAAGAAGTCAAAGCACTCTTGGGAAATTGAGGGCTGGGACTGGGCCTCCTCCAGGTCTCAGTGGACAGGAAGACCTCAGCTAACTCCAGCATGACCCAAGTTTTTTAAGGTCTGAATAAGGGTTTGCGGTCTAGGTACTCCAGATTGCTTAATCTCCTCATCTGCTCTCTTTTTAAAATTTGTTTTAGAAACCCGTCTTTGCTAAGTTGCCCAGGCTGAGTGCAGTGGCTATTCACAGGCACTACAGCCCTGAACTCCTGGGCTCAAGCAATCCTCTTGCTTCAGTCTCCCAAGGAGCTGGGACTACTAGTGCGGTGTCACCATGCTGGGCTTGATCTCTTCATAAACACTGAGGTCATTTTTTTTTTTTTTTGAGACAAAGTCTCGTTCTGTTGCCCAGGCTGGAGTGCAGTGGCATGAGCTCGGCTCACCGCAACCTCCGACTCCTGGGTTCAAGCAATTCTCCTGTCTCAGCCTCCCGAGTAGCTGGGATTACAGACATGCGCCACCACGCCTGGCTAATTTTTTGTATTTTTAGTAGAAACGGAGTCTCACCTTGTTGGTCAAGCTGGTCTCGAACTCCTAACCTCAGGTGATCCACATGCCTCAGCCTCCCAAAGTGCTGGGATTACAGGCATGAGCCACCACGCCTGGCACACTTAGGTCATTTTCAGTTCCTTACTGCTAGCAATGTTCCATATTGAACATCCAGAGACACAGCTTTACCTGGTTTCTGCAGCTCCTGGGATGCAGAACATGTCTATCAATTATGCCCAGTGGCCCACTACCCCCATGTCAGAGCCCAGGAGACGGCTCCAACAGGAGACAGGAAGCAGGAAGTATGAGTTCATTCTGCACAGGAGGAAACTGAGCCTGTGAATGGGGCAGGAAGTTGCCTGAGGCTACACAGCGGGAAGGTTGCAGGTGTGAGCTTCCTGGTCTCCTGCCTGCAAGTACAGGCTCTTCCCCTGACAGAGGTACTTCAGGAACCATGGAGTTAGACCCCAAGGTTTACAGTCTGGCCATGCCCAGTCTTGCAGTGACTCCTTGGGCGAGATCTTTTCCCTCTCTGCATTTCTGTAATGCTATCTACAGGGAATCCCAAACCTGACTGCTCTTCAGAAATCTGAGGCGCACACTGTCCAAGGAGCTCTAGACTCTACATTAAAGAGTTCATTAAAATGCACCCTCAGATTTTACTGTACTACAGCTTTTCTGAAAAAGCAGCTAACAATGACTGAGCACTTACTACATGACATGGATTAAGAATTCAGTCCTCCCAGGCTGGGCGCTGTGGCTTACGCCTATAATCCCAGAACTTTGTGATGCCAAGGCAGGTAGATCACGAGGTCAAGAGATCGAGACCATCCTGGCCAACATGGTGAAACCCCCTCTCTACCAAAAATACAAACAATTAGCCGGGCGTGGTGTCAGGTGCCTGTAGTCCCAGCTACTCGGGAGGCTGAGGCAGGAGAATCGCTGGAGCCCAGGAGGCGGGGTTGCAGTGAGCCGAGTTTACGCCATTGCACTCCAGCCTGGCAACAGAGCGAGACTCCGTCTCAAAAAAAAAAAAAAAAAAAAAGAATTCAGTCCTCTCAACAATCCTAGGAGGTAGGTATTATTATTCTTCCTACTTCCCAGACAGGAAAGTCATAGCAGATAGAAGTTCCATAGCTTTCCTAGCTTCTGGTAATGTTCCTGACAGGTTTCGGTATTAAAATTACATTGACCTCATAAAATGAGTTGGGAAATACTCCCTCATTTTTAGTCTCTGTGCAGGTTTGTATGAGACTGGTGGTATTTTTTTAACTGTTGAGAAGAATTTCTCAATGAAACCATCTGAACCTAGAATTTTCTTTGTGGGAAGATTTTAAATTACAGATTCAATGCATTTAATTGGTGTAGGACTATCCAGATTTTCTATTTCTTTTAGTGTCAGTTTTGGTAAGTTGTGTATCATCTAAAATTTCAAATGCACTGTCAAAAAGTCCTCCATACTATCTTTTTATCCCTTTAATGCTTGTAGTATCTACAGTGATGTCCTCTTTTTCATTCTTGATAGTGAAATTTGTGTTATCTTTTTTCTTACTCAATCTTTCTGGGGATTTATCAGTTCTATTAATCTCTTCAAAGAACCAATTTTTGGCTTTGTTGATTTTCTCTATTTTTTGCTTTATTCCATTAATTTCTGCTCTTATTTTTATTATTTCCTTTCATCTTTAGTTTTATTGTTCTTTTCTAGCTTCTTGAGTGGAAGCTTAGAGCAGTAATTTTATTTTTCTTTTTCCTTTTTTTTTTTTTTTTTTGAGATGGAATCACACTCTGTTGTCCAGGCTGGAGTGCAGGTGGGATGATCTCTGCTCACTGCAACCTTCGCCTCCCAGGTTCAAGCAATTCTCCTGCCTCAGCCTCCTTAGTAGCTGGGATTACAGACACCTGCCACCACACCCAACTCATTTTTTGTATCTCTAGTAGAGACGGGGTTTTCACCATTTTGACCCGGCTGGTCTCAAACTCCTGAGCTCAGGTGATCTGCCCACCTAGGCCTCCCAAAATGCTGGGATTACAGGTCTGAGTCATTTCACCTGGCCTAATTTTCAATCCTTCTTCTAAAGCTATCAAATTTCCTCTAAGCAGTGTTTTAGTTGCACTGTACAGCATTTGATATGTCTTATTTTTCACTGTTCTTGTCAACATATTTTAATCTTCCACTGTGATTATTGACCCATTGATTATTTAGAAGTGTGACATGTAATTTCCAAGCATTTGCAGATTTTCCAGTAATTTTTCTGTTATTGACTTTTAATTCAGAGAGGACACACTGTAAGATTTCAATCCGTTGAGATTTGCTGAGACTTGTATAAGGTCCATGATATGGTCTATTTCGATAAACATCCTATGTGCACATGGGAAGAATAAGTATTTTATAGTGTTGTACACACGTGAATTAGGCCAAGTTGGTTAATCCTATTGTTCAAACTGTGTGAGGTTGATTCAAGGATAAAGAAATAAACCAGTGGGATAGAGTTCCGAGACACACACACACACACACACACACTCTTCAGCTGATTTATGTTGAGATGTTGGGGACTCCTCCAATTCGGTGGAAAAAAAATGATGCTTTTCAATAAATGATGCCAGGTCAATTGGATATCTACACGAAAAAAAATGAGCTCTAGCCCCGTACCACACCATTCACAATAATTAATATGTAATCAATCATAGATCTAAATATGAGCCCTAAAACAAGCTTCTAAAAGGAAATACAGGAGGATATCCCAATAAAAAGGTACTAACCATAAAGAAAATATTGATAAATTGGACATCACTAAGAGTAACTCCTGTTCATCCAAAGCAAAAGTAAACCACAAAATAGAGGAAGATATTTGCAATAACTTCAATAAATGCGAATCCAATAATCCATCTACAATACAAAGGGCATGCGTCCGGACCAAGAACACGTCTCCAGACTCTGGAAAGAACCTCTACGAACGAAGAAGACAACCCAATTTTCAAATGGACCCCGGGGAACACCCAGGCGGCTGGGGCTGGCTCTAGGTCCCCACTGCTCTGCCTTGCGGGGGCCGCTCCGGCCTGGTCGCCTTCTCCGGGCGCATCCAGGGAACTCGCTCGGTCCTCCTTAAGCGGGGAAGCTCGGAAAGCGTCTCCCCGACTCCGCCCCCAGGGTTGCCTTTCCCTTAGAAGGCCAAGCCCCAAGCCCAGCCTCTCGCCAGCTGGGAGTCGCGCGCTGCCCACCTCGCTGCCCAGGCCCCCGACGCCGCGGCAGGAGCCCCCCAAGAGCGCGGGAAGCCCCGTGGACCTGGCGCTCCCGGCTCGGGCGTGGACGGGGCGGGCGCCGGGGCGGGGCGCGCGTCCTCGCGGGTCTGAATGGAAGGGTCGAGGTCGTCGTCGGCGGCGAGCAGATCCTGAAGCCAGAACTCCACCCCGGCGCCCGCGCCATGCGGCGGGAGAGGTGAGCGCGGCGGGCGTGGCGTCCGTGCCGGGGTGCCCGGGGTGCCACGGGAACGGCGAGGCCGGGGACACGCGCGCAGGACGCCAGCGGCGGAGGTGGGCGGCCCCGGGCCGGGGCGGGGAGGGCCGGGTCCTGGCAGTCGCCGTGGGGGACGCGCTGGGCTGTGCCCTCCGCCCCCGCCGCCCACGCACTCGTCTTCGAGGGCGGGCCCGGCGGCCCCGGAGCAAACCGCCGTCTCCCCGCGGCCCCACCGGTCCCTGGCAGCCTCGGGGAATGTCTGTAGCTGAATTCGGGCTCTGAAAGAAGGTGGCGCTGGGTTTTTAAAGATTTGGGGCACAAAAAACGAGAGCGGACCCGGCGCCGGCTACGGCCCTTCCCGAGGGCCACGCCCAGCCCGGCGCCCCGCGCGCCCCGTTCCCCGCGCCGCCTCCCTCCACCCGGCTGAGCGCTTGTGCCCGCAGGTGCGGCGCCCCCCACCCGCGTCGCCGCCATGGAGGTGCTGCGGCGCTCCTCGGTCTTCGCCGCCGAGATCATGGACGCCTTTGACCGCTCGCCCACAGACAAGGAGCTGGTGGCCCAGGCCAAGGCGCTGGGCCGGGAGTACGTGCACGCGCGGCTGCTGCGCGCCGGCCTCTCCTGGAGCGCGCCCGAGCGTGCCGCGCCGGTCCCGGGACGCCTGGCTGAGGTGTGCGCGGTGCTGCTGCGCCTGGGTGAGTGCGCCCTGGTGGGATCCCCAGCTGCGCCTCCTCCCCTGCTGGGCCGCAGCCTCCCTCCGAGGCCGAGATGGGGGTCCGGCCCAGGGGCGCCCACCCCCTGCCTGGGACGGCCAGGCGCTCGGGACAGGGCCACCCAGGCGGGTGCTCCCGGATCTGCCCTCTCAGGCCTCCCACGCCACAGGCCCCCCCATCAGCTGCCTGCTCAGCCCAGATTTCAGTCATGCTGGCCATAAACAATAGAAAGCTCCAGAAAGAATAATCTATTAGTGGGTGGCTAAGCTTCCACAGTGACCCTTGTTCTCAGCTGGGCACAGAAACCCTTTGTAGGAGCACGTGTCCCGATGTTTATTTTGGAAAACAGATTCTTGCTGTTACTGGCCGAGATCCCGCCCGCTGCCCTCTGGATTCCGAGGCCTCCGAGGCCCCCCCATTGGAAACTGCGCCCACCGGGCTGGGTAGCCAAAACCTCAGTATTCGTTGGTGCTGTGAGGACATCTGGGGGTGCTCGGTTCTGGGGTCACACACGGTCCACTGGCTGCCCCCACCGTCTCCAAGGTCTGGACCCAAGAGGGAGGGACCAGCCCCACTGTGACTGTCCAGTCCCCTCACCACAGCTGGGCTGTGGCCGTCACCTGGGAATGTTTATGTGATGCCCGAAGAGGGCACATGGGGCGCCTGTGGCTGAGCCCGGGAAGGGGAGGTGACAGCATAGGTGAAACTGAATCGGTGGCTCTCCAGGCAGGGGGTTGGAGTCGGAGGGCACGACCCCGTGAGGGGACACGCTGCCTCCTCTCAGGCTGGCGCTGGCATGGGCTCTAGGTGGCCCCTGCCCTTACGTGGTGGGCTGGGCCCAGAGAGCAAAGCTGTGTAGACCTGGCCTGCCCAGGAGTGTGTGTGGGGTGCAGACAGAATCCATGGGGACCAGCACAGAGCCTCCAGGAGGAGGTGGAGTCCCATCTGAGAAGTTCAGAAGGAGGGAGAGGTCTCTGGGTGGGAGCTAGGGGGTTGGTGGGGCTCCATGAGATCCGCCGCCTGCTGCTGCCTCTAGTCGGGCTCTGAGAATGACCCTAGGGGATCCTTTTAGTGGCCTTCTGAAAAGATGATGCCAGACCCCTGGAATGGCTGGGAAGAAGTCCCAGATGTCTAGGGGGACCCCAGAGGGACACAGCTCAGACCTGCATCTGCCCTCACGGCTGCTCAGGGTCAGTCCCTTGAGGCCAGCGCTGTCTCCCTGCCCTTGGGCAGTGCAGACAGGAAGAAGCCCGGGTTGTGTCCCCACCTTCAGTCTGGGGCCAGCCTGCAGCAGCCCCGGAGATCTGTGTTTGGGAGCTGCCGGGTCAGTCCTGGGAATTTCCATGTCGTCCCCCGCCCCCAGCCAGCCTCTCATGGGCTCTGCTCTGCTTCCAGATCTTAATTAATGAGATACAGAGCAGCCTTTATCAGCTGGGATGGTCCGGTCAGCAGCATTACCCTGTTTGCTTTGGCTGGAGAACTGGCCGGGCTGCGGACTCCCAATCCCAGGGCCCTGTGGCATTCTCGGCACCATCTGCCCCGTGCCTGTGCGCTGCTGCTGCCAAGGGTGCCACAGGCAGCACTGGGGCGGTGGGCCTGTAGGGGCCATCCTCGGCTGCCAGGGGCAGGGCTGATGCAGTGCCACCTCCAAGCACATCCCCTTGGCAGCAAGAGCCCAGGTGGGAGCGTGGCAGTGAGGGTGGCCCAGGACAGCGGCCCAGCCAGCCCAGGTGGGAGCGTGGCAGTGCGGGTGGCCCAGGACAGGGGCCCAGCCAGCCCAGGTGGGAGCGTGGCAGTGCGGGTGGCCCAGGACAGCGGCCCAGCCAGCCCAGGTGGGAGCGTGGCAGTGCGGGTGGCCCAGGACAGGGGCCCAGCCAGCCCAGGTGGGAGCGTGGCAGTGCGGGTGGCCCAGGACAGCGGCCCAGCCAGCCCAGGTGGGAGCGTGGCAGTGCGGGTGGCCCAGGACAGGGGCCCAGCCAGCCCAGGTGGGAGCGTGGCAGTGCGGGTGGCCCAGGACAGCGGCCCAGCCAGCCCAGGTGGGAGCGTGGCAGTGCGGGTGGCCCAGGACAGCGGCTCAGCCTCTGCATCTGAGTGGTCCCTGAGCCATGCTAGGGCCTGAGCCGGGCTCTCGGGCTGTCCCCTGCTCTCACCCCAATGCTTTCTCTGCCCAGCCCCTCCCCACGTCGGGCTCCCCTGCTCTCACCCCAGTGCTTTCTCTGCCCAGCCCCTCCCCACGTCGGGGTCTGGCCGTCTGCCTGGTCCCTCCTGCTCTGGGCAGCTCGGCTGCCTGTCGGCTGTGAGTCACCAGCAGGCACGGCCCACGCTCTCGCAGGATTCCCGCCCCACCGGCTTGGCCGGCTAGGCTTAGGGGCTGGCTCGTCAGAGGGGCGGGACTGGGGGCGCCTTCAGTACTTCCTTGGTCTTCTGGTCCCTAGGGGCCAAGGTTGGGGGATGGCCCAAGGGAGGTCAGATGGGGTCAAGTGGAGGTGGGAATCAGACAAGTGAGGAACAGGCTGGAATTCAAGCATGGTCAGGTGGGGGTCAGGTGCAGGGTGTGCCCCAAGCCAGTCGTGTCCCAGGAAGCTGGGACGTGGGCTGCCTCTCACCTGCTCTTGTGACCACACAGGCGATGAGCTGGAGATGATCCGGCCCAGCGTCTACCGCAACGTGGCGCGTCAGCTGCACATCTCCCTGCAGTCTGAGCCTGTGGTGACCGATGCGTTCCTGGCCGTGGCTGGCCACATCTTCTCTGCAGGTATGCCCAGCCTGCCCGTCCCATGGGACCTCAGGGAGGGATCCAGGGTCTGTGGCTCAGGCTCACAGGGACCCCACGAGCTGGCCCCCACCCATCCTGGCGCTGCCCAGTGCCCACCGGTGCCATCTCACTGCTGCAGGTGTCAGGAGCTGCCCAGCCACCAGCGTGGGCTCAAACCACAGCATTCAGGGTCTCTTGTGGTTCTGCAGGCTGGTGGGCATGCTGAGCAGCTGGCACAGGCTTCTTGATTGGTTGTAGTTGTGGTCCAGCATCCGTGGGGCCGCGTGACCTGCAGTCCTGTGGGGTGGCACGTCCTAGGGCTGCCTGGTTTCCTGCAGGGGCCCCCGAGCGGGGCTTGGGCTTCTCACAGCATGGTGCTGTGTCCCAAGGAGGAGTGGCAAGGAGCAGGTTTCCCAGACAGCTCCCGAGTAGATGCTGCCAGGCTGTTAGGATATACCCTCAGAAGTCACGGGTAACTCTGCTGGATTCTGATGGTCAGAAGCGAGCCTCAGGGCTCCAGCGTCCAGGAGAGGGGAGAGCATGGGGGTCCAAGCAGACTGGCTCCCGGAGGGCATCCGGAGAACAGCAGCGCATCTCACCTGGCTGTGCCTGCCTCACCTGTGACCCTCCTGTGCGCTCCCATCTCTGCCCTGGAGAGGCATCTCCTGGCCCTGCCTCCCTGCTCCTGCTGCTCCCGGCTGTCCACATGCTTCTAGGCCCACGGGAGGCTTAGGGCTTGTCTCCCCTACTCGGTGCCCGCTGTCCACTTGTCCAGCTGCCTTGGCCTGGATTTGCCCAGTGTGGCTTCTGTCCGCTTGCCCCATGTCATCAGGTCTGGCCCTGCAGACCTCAGCCCCCTGCCTTTGACCTCTGTGACCTTGGGTCCTGTCCTGGCACCCCGTGCTATGAGCTGCCCCTGGGTGTGGCAGGCGCTGGGTGCTGCTGTTGGGGTGAGTGGTGCGCCGGCCCTGATGTGGCACCTCCCTGATTGGCACATTCCTCAGCTGTTTTCCAAGTGCTGTCCAGGTGCTGGGCACAGCTCTGGGCCAGTGAACCCCGGGGTGCGCAGGATTCCCTGAAGCTTGGAGGAGGGGCATGCTGTTCCCCTGGGGCAGTTTTTTGGAAGACCCCTGACAGCAGGGAGGCCTTGCACACCCTTGTCTGGGAGCTGGTGTGGGTCCGTGGCCAGTCAGCTGTGTGACTGTGGCCTGCTGTCATCTCTGTGGCCTCAGCTGCCTTGTCTCCAGGCAGTCCTGACAGCAGCAGGAGCCAGGCATCAGGCGCCAGAGGAAGCCACACCCTCGCTGTGGGAGATGCATCCCACGCCACGGGGTGACCCTCAGAGCCAGGGGTCTTCAGATGGCCTCGGGACCTCCACCCACCGGAGGGCAAGGGGAAGAGGCCAGGAGTGTGAGGACCACTGCCTCTCGCTCAGGCAGACCCCACCTTTGTGGGGTGTCCTCCAGCTCCTCTCCCAGACGTCTCCTCCGACCCCTGGTGGGCCAGCCAGATGGGGACAGAGCGGGGCTGACACCCTCGGCTGGAGGCCAAGGCGGCGGGGGCTGCGAGCATTTTCTGACAGAATCCGGCCTCTCCAGTGCCACGCTTGCTCACTGCTGACCTCCCTGGACAGAAGTTACTGTGGCTGGGATGCAGCGGCGACCTGGCAGGCTGCTGGAGCGGGAAGGCTGAGTCCAGGGATGGGAGTCCAGGCGGGGTCTGGTCCTGCCTCCGGGCTTGTCTTGTTGCCACAGCATGTGCTGGAGTGCCTCAGACCACACCTGGGGAGGGGCAGTGACCTCAGGCTGTGGTGTGGGGTCAGGAGGCGGAACCAAGCTGGGTGCGGGCGAGACTCCCTGTCTGGCGCTCCTGGGGTGGCCTCAGAGCCTGGACTCTGTCACTGCTCCTGTGTTCCTTTGGGAGATCGTAAATGAATCCTCATTGGCAGTTTGGCTCCAAGGCCCCCACGTGGCAGCTGAGGGTGGGGGGCCGGGCCCAGGCCAGGCTGAGGCGTGTCATGGGGCAGACCTGAGTCGGCTGGGGGTGCATATGGGTAGGGGCTGGGGAGTGGGCAGGTGGTGTGGCTCAGGGGCCGGGTGGGCAGGGGGCAGGGTTCACGGCACAGTGGGCAGCGGAAGCATGGTGGCAGGAGCTGGCAAGCTGGTGCCCGCCCCTCCTGCCGCCAGGGTGACCCAGGCAGGCACGGGGCAGGCAGTGGGTGGGGCCCCGGAAGGAAGCCAGGGGTGGAAGGCATCCTGGGCTGACGACCACTCTCAGCCCTCCCTTGGCCGACGCCGGCGCGTGGGTGGCCACCCGGGTGTCTGTCTCGGGGCCGCTGGGTTTACGAGCTGCAGGCTGGCTTTAAAAGGAACAGTCATTTCTGAGAATGCAGCAGCCTGCCCAGAGGTGGGGCGCCTCCCCCTTCGGCAGGGAGAGAGGATGGGGCCAGGATGCCCCTACCCGCCCGGCCTTGCTTGAGCAGGGCCTGGCCTGAGGTGGGGGCGGTGCCTAGGAAGGCTCTGGTTGGTTCTGGGAGGGCACCTGGGGGCCAGGGAGGGCTGAGGGGAAGGGGATGGCTGGACGAGCGGGCACACAGCTGACGGGGAATGTGGGCGGCACCGGCCAGGTGGCCCGGGCTATGTGTAGAGTTCAGTTTAAGTCTTGTTTTCACTGGAAAACCGGAGCCCACTCCCCTGTGGTCAGCATCCCCCACCCCACCCAGCGCCCCAGGCTTGTCCCACGCAGGCCCGGCTCTGGCCATGTGGCAGCCCCCACACCCCCACCTGCTGCTACTCTGAGGCGGCCCTGCCCGAGGGGAGCCACGCAGGTTGAAGCCCAAGAGCCTCGTGACCTGCAACGGGTTTCTGAACCTCCCTGAACCAGAGCCACCTGACTAGGGAGCTAGGGCAGGGCCGCCCCTTCTGCCCCTCAGGCCCACTGGCAGTTGCACCCCCAGCCCCCTTCACCTTTGTCCATCCCAGTCCTCTTGGGCCCTTTTGTCTACAGGGCGAGCCTCCAGCCTCCAAGTGCTTTACACATCCTTGCCTCCCTGCCTGAGGCCCCTCCCACGCCAGCCATCCCTGCACGCTCTGACCCCCGGTCTTCCTCCCTCTCCTCCTCTTAGCAGGCGCCCTTGAGGGTGTGCGCCCTGCCCAGCCCCTCCACTGCAGGCAAGCTGCACAGCCCGCACCTCAGGGCTGGGGCCTTGGCTAGTGTTGTGAGCCGTGTGAGGGCTGCAGGGCAGGGCTCCGTGGGGGTCTCCAAGTCTCCAGCCCCAGGAGACTCCCACGAAGGCAGAGGCCAACAAATGTTGTTTCTGGCTGTTTTCATTTAGGGCTTCAAAGTTCCTGCTCAGGACTTTGGAAAAACTCATCTCCAAAGTGGTAGAACTCAATTTTCCTCCCCATTTAAAAGTTGGCAATAGTGTTTATTTTTTTCTTTGAATTTGAATTGTATTTTCTATAAATACATATGTAATTTTATATAATTCTTCTAATTATAGTTTTATTATAAGAAAAATAAAAATGGCTGGGTGCAGTGACTCACGCCTGTAATCCCAGCACTTTGGGAGGCCGAGGTGGGTGGATCACCTGAGGTCGGGAGTTTGAGACCAGCCTGACCAAAAAGAAGAAACCCTGTCTCTAATAAAAATACAAAATTGGCCAGGTTTGGTGGCACATGCCTGTAATCTCAGCTACTCGGGAGGCTGAGACAGGAGAATCGCTTGAACCCGGGAGGCGCAGGTTGCGGTGAGCCGAGATTGTGCCACTGCTCTCCAGCCTGGGTGACAGAGGCAGACCCTATTCTTTCTTTTTTTTCTTTTTTCTTTTTTTTTTTTGAGATGGAGTTTCACTCTTGTTGCCCAGGCTGGAGGTGCAATGGTGCGATCTCGGCTCACTGCAACCTCCATTTCCTGGGTTCAAGCAGTTCTCCTGCCTCAGCCTCTCGAGTAGCTGGGATTACAGGTATGTGCCACCACGCCTAGCTAATTTTTGTATTGTTAGTATTATTTATATTATTAGCAGACAGAGTTTCACCATGTCAACCAGGCTGGTCTCGAACTCCTGACCTCAGGTGATCCACCCACTTCGGCCTCCCACAGTGCTGGGAAAAAACACAAATCAGACCATGTCACTTCCCTGCATAAAGTTCTCGTGTTGCTGTGACTTCCCGTGTCTTTCAAAGTAAACCTAAGTTTGAATTCCCAGCTGAGCTGGCCCCTGGCAGACTCCAGCCCTTTTCCTGCCACCTCAACCTGTGAAATACGCCAGACACAAAATGAACAAGCCGTGTGATTACACTTATGTGAAATTTTCAGGGTAGGTAAATCTACAGAGACAGAAAGTAAGATGAGTGGCTGCCAGGGGCTGTCGGTGAAATAGGGAGTGACTGCTAGTGGGCATGGGGTTTCTCGTGGGATGATGAAAATGTTCTAGAATTAGATAGAGGTGATGGTTGCACAGCTTTGTGAATATGCTCAAAGATATCCCACTTTTAAAAGATTAATTTTATGGTAATGGAATTATATCAGTTAAAAAGACACAGAAGAGCTGGAAGGACACAGTGGACGCCGAGGCTGGTGCCTCCGGACTCCTGTCTTCCTGTCTTTCTTTCCCATCCACCCCTCTGGAGTGGAAATGTTGCCATCACTCGGAACATAGTATGTTCTTTTTTTTTTTTTTAATTTTTGCTCTTTTGCCGAGGCTGGAATGAAGAGTTGTGATCTTGCAACCTCCGCCACCCGGGTTCAAGCGATTCTCCTGCTTCACCCTCCTGAGTAGCTGGGATTACAGGCACCCGCCACCATGCTTGGCTAATGTTTGTATTTTTAGTAGAGATGGGGTTTCACCATGTTGGCCAGGCTGATCTTGAACTCCTGACCTCAGGTGATCCGTCTGCCTCAGCCTCCCCAAGTGCTAGGATTATAGGCATGAGCCACCGCACCCAGCGTGGAATGCACTGTTCTGATGGAACCGGACACCTCAGAACAGGTTGTCCCGCAAGCCACACGCAGTGCTGACATCAGGCTCCGCTCCCCGCATGGCCGTGCCCTTGAAGGAGGAACAGCCCCACGTGCTGGGGAAGTGCAGCGGGTAGAGCAGGGGCTGTGCCGGGTGTGCGCATCCCACCAATGACAAGGGCACCTTCGAGGTTGGGGTGGCAGGAAAAGGGCTGGAGTCTGCCAGGGGCCAGCTCAGCTGGGAATTCAAACTTGGGTTTACTTTGAAGGACACGGGAAGTCACAGCAACACGAGAGCTTTATGCAGGGGAGTGACATGGTCTGAGTTGTGTTTTTCCCCATTTCTTTTAATTGACGTTAAACTCACATGACATAATTATCCACTTAAAAGTGTGCAATTCAGCAGCATCTGCCACATTCCCAGTGTGGAGCAGCCACCAGCTACTAGTCTCAGGAGGTCTTTATCACCCCAGAATGCCTGTGCCCGTGGCCGCCACCGCCATTCCCCACCCCTCGCCCACTGCCAGCCGTGAGCCTGCGTCCCAGCTCTGTCCCTGACTGTTGTGGACATTTTGCATCCACGGACTCACACTGTATGTGGCTTTTTATGCCTGGCAGCTTCCACCCAAGCATGTGTTTTTGAGGCCCATCCATGCCCAGCCTGCCTCAGAGCCCCATGCCTTCTTTTATTTATTTATTATTTATTTATTTTTTCACTCTATTGCCCAGGCTAGAGTGCAATGGCGTGATCTCGGCTCACTGCAAGCTCCGCCTCCTGGGTTCACACCATTCTCCTGCCTCAGCCTCCCGAGTAGCTGGGACTACAGGCACCAGCCGCCATGCCCGGCTAATTTTTTGTGTTTTTAGTAGAGATGGGGTTTCACCGTTTTAGCCAGGATGGTTTCGATCTCCTGACCTCGTGATCCACCTGCCTCGGCCTCCCAAAATGCTGGGATTACAGGCGTGAGCCACCGCGCCCAGCCATTTATTTATTTTTTTGAGATAGAATCTTGCTCTGTCTCCCAGGCTGGAGTACAGTGGTGCGATCTGGGCTCACTGAAACCTCCACCTCCTGGGTTCAAGTGATTGCCCTGCCTCAGCCTCCCGAGTAGCTGGGATTACAGGCGCCCACCACCATATCCGGCTAATTTTTGTATTTTTAGTAGAGATGGGGTTTCACCATGTTGGCCGGGCTGGTCTTGAACTCCTGACCTCAGGTGATCTGCCCACCTCGGCCTTCCAAGGTGCTGGGATTATAGGCGTGAGCCACTGTGCCCAGCCTGCCTTCTGTGGCTGAGTAACATCCACCACATTTGTATCCATTTATCTGTTGAAGGATACTTGGGTTCTTTCCACCTTTTGGCAATTGTGAATTGGCTGCTGTGAATGTCTGTGACTGAGTGTTTGTTTGAGCTGATTTATGTTTTCATAACAAATCCAGGTTGGCCGCTGTATGAGGGTGGATTGGAGAGCAGTGCTTCATCTTTGCATGTACAGTGTCCTCAGGCTAACTCCCTCCAGGGACCACTGCTGACTCCCTCCGGGGACCGCTGCTAACTCCCTGCGGGGATCACTGCTGGGCTGCATGTTTTGTGGCCATTCAGATACTGCCAGTGCCCTCAAGCTGGGCTTCCCACCAAGGTTTACAAGGCTGTGCAGTGGCCTGAATCCTCACACTGCCATTTAAAAGCATGTATTTATTTATTTATTTAGAGACGGGGTCTCGCTCTGTCGCCCAGGCTGGAGTGTACTGGCGCGATCTCAGCTCACTGCAACCTCCGCCTCCCCGGGTTCAAGTGATTCTCCTGCTTCAGCCTCCCGAGTAGCTGGGATTATAGGCGCGTGCCACCACGCCTGGCTAATTTTTTGTGTATTTTTAGTAGAGACGGTTTCACCATGTTGGTCAGGCTGCTCTTGAACTCCCAACCTTGTGATCTGCCCGCCTCGGCCTCCCAAAGTGCTGGGATTCCAGGCGTGAGCCACCGCGCCTGGCGTAAAAGCTTTTAATGCAACAGATTACATTTTGTTTTAATTTGCCTTTCTTTGGTTATTAATGAAGGTAAACATTTTTCGTGTCTCTTATTATAATTTTCTTTTGTGAATCAGCTGTTCCAGTTCTGTGCTCATAGTTCTTTTTTGAAAGCCTCTCTTTTCTCGCTCACGTATAAGACGTCTTTCCGTGTTGAGGCGTCGTGTCCTGCCTTTTATTCTTTCCCCCGCTGTCACCATCTTTCGTCCTCTCTTTCAAGGCTGCTCCCATCTCAGTTCAGCCTCAGCAGGTTAGGGGTCTGGGGAAGGCAGTTTCTCTGCGGGCCTCAGCTTCTTTATGTGTAAAATGTGGACGCCAGGCCTGTTGTGGGAACAGGCAGCCCAGGGGTGCCACCCGTGAGGTCACTGGCTGCTCACTCCATCTGCTGCTGCCCTCAGTTCCCTCGCCTCACCCCACGTTGTCCCTGCGGCCTCCTGCACAGACGTGGGCTGGGCAGGTGTGCAGTGGAGGCCGAGAAACCTGCCTGCCCAAGAACTACCTGACAGGCATCCTGTCAGGGAGCGGTCCCCCCTTGGGACGGTCCCTGGTCATTAGCTGGACGGCAAGCAGGACAGCGGCTCAGAGAGGCCCAGCCCCTTCCTTAAGTGCTCCCGTGGGCGGGATTCAAGTCCTGATCTTGACCATCTCTCTCCCTGCAGGCATCACGTGGGGCAAGGTGGTGTCCCTGTATGCGGTGGCCGCGGGGCTGGCCGTGGACTGTGTGAGGCAGGCCCAGCCTGCCATGGTCCACGCCCTCGTGGACTGCCTGGGGGAGTTCGTGCGCAAGACCCTGGCAACCTGGCTGCGGAGACGCGGCGGATGGGTGAGCGCCTGAGTGCCCGTGTGGGTGGGAGAGCTGGGGTGCGAGGGTGCAGAGGTACAGGAGGGAGTGGTGGATGGGTGAGCCTCTGAGCGCCTGGGGGGTGGGAGAGCTGGGGTGCGAGGGTACAGACGTACGGGAGGGAGTGGCGGATGGGTGAGTGTCTGAGCGCCTGGGGGGTGGGAGAGCTGGGGTGCGAGGGTGCAGAGGTACGGGAGGGAGTGGCGGATGGGTGAGCCTCTGAGCGCCTGGGGGGTGGGAGAGCTGGGGTGCGAGGGTACAGACGTACGGGAGGGAGTGGCGGATGGGTGAGTGTCTGAGCGCCTGTGGGGGTGGGAGAGCTGGGGTGCGAGGGTGCAGAGGTACAGGAGGGAGTGGTGGATGGGTGAGCCTCTGAGCGCCTGGGGGGTGGGAGAGCTGGGGTGCGAGGGTACAGACGTACGGGAGGGAGTGGCGGATGGGTGAGTGTCTGAGCGCCTGTGGGGGTGGGAGAGCTGGGGTGCGAGGGTGCAGAGGTACAGGAGGGAGTGGTGGATGGGTGAGCCTCTGAGCGCCTGGGGGGTGGGAGAGCTGGGGTGCGAGGGTACAGACGTACGGGAGGGAGTGGCGGATGGGTGAGTGTCTGAGCGCCTGTGGGGGTGGGAGAGCTGGGGTGCGAGGGTGCAGAGGTACAGGAGGGAGTGGCGGATGGGTGAGTGTCTGAGCGCCTGTGGGGGTGGGAGAGCTGGGGTGCGAGGGTGCAGAGGTACGGGAGGGAGTGGCGGATGGGTGGTCACCTGAGCACTCCTGGGGGAGATGGGTGAGGCAGGGGGTGGGGCAAGGGCCGAGACCTACAGGCAGGCCCTGGACTCTCCTCTGCCCAGATCCAGCACTGACTTACCCCCGATCCTACCCCTGTGCTAAGGACCCGCTGCCCCAGCCCCCGCCCTCCCGAGTGGGAAAAGCAAGGCCCCGAGGGGTGGGTGTCAGAGCCAAACCCTTCCTCTGTCTCCACGCCCCCAACTTCCTGCCCTGCTCCGGCCAGACCGCAGTTGCCGCTGGGCCCTGGGTGTGGAGGGTGGCTCCCCTGCCGAGAGTCTAGCCTTCTTTCCTGTACAGCGGGTGTTGGCCTGGTGTGTAAATCAGCGGCCAGGGGTGACAGCGCTCAGACCCCTCTGCTGGGGCCTTAGCTTTAGCATCTCGAGAGATTGAGGTCACGTGGTCTGCGGGGGCTGTGGTCTCCTCTGAAGGCTGAATTGGGGGTGCAGAGGGCAATGTCCCAAGATGTCGCACATGGCTACAGGTGTCCCTCAGCACAGAAACCCCAAGACTTCCGTCCCCTCCTGTCTTCCTCCTGTGGAGTCTGGCATGGGGCTGGGCACTGTGTGCCCAGTGGGCGACGACACTTTGAGCAACGCCAAGGCCACAGGTCCAGGCTGCAGGGAAAAGCCTTCATGTATTAGCAGGAAGTGAAGGGAATAAGAGAATTGGACGTTCATTCACTTCCCCAGAAGGAACTTCAGAGTCCAGGGAGTCCGTGGGCTTCCGGAAACGCAGTCCCTGCTGTTGTTCCAGGCAGAGTCTGAATGAAGCTGGGTTTGCCCCTTCCTGGTAGCCCAGGCTCCAAGGCCCCACAGGAGGATGACGGCGGCATACCTGTAGCCCCTGGGGGGCAGCAGGCAGGTGGCCGAGGGGAGCTGGCACCCTGGTCTGGATGTCTGGAGCCCCAGCGAGGGCCATGAAGGCCTCTCTCCTGCTCGGCAGGGGCCCTCCGGCCGGCCTGCCTGGCTGCCATCTGTCCCCACCTCCCGTGCCTCCTGGCCCTTCACACTGTCTGAATGTGCACGGCATCGGGTCTGGTCTTGTGTTGGAGCCTTCAGTCCAGGCCACAGACCTCCTTCCCGAACAGTCTCCTGCATTCCCTTCATGCAATTTTGCTGATATTCTGGTGCACGGTGCTGGGGGGCCTGGCGGTGCTGGGGGCCTGGCGGTGCTGGCTCTGCTTTCTAACGGTCTCCCTCTTCCCTCCCAGACTGATGTCCTCAAGTGTGTGGTCAGCACAGACCCTGGCCTCCGCTCCCACTGGCTGGTGGCTGCACTCTGCAGCTTCGGCCGCTTCCTGAAGGCTGCCTTCTTCGTGCTGCTGCCAGAGAGATGAGCTGCCCACCTGGCAGTGGCCGCAGCCTGGCCCTCTGGGCCCAACGCAGGAGGCCCTCAGCACCCGAACACATCTTCCTCCTCCCCACCCGAGCCTGGAGCACTCTAACCCTCGGAGACCCCCTAAGCCCCGTTCCTCCGCAGACCCAGGCCCTCCGGAAGGGGTGAGTGGGGAGGGGCTTTCCTGAGCCTGGAGCTGGGCTTTGGGGCAGCCTGCGACCCTCCCCGCTTGTGTCCCTTCTCCTGTGATCTCTGTGTTTTCCCTTTTCTTTCTGGGGCCAGGAAGTCAGGGTCAACTCCCAGGCCTCAGATGCAGGGGCCCAGAACACCTGCTCTCACCTGAGCCCCAGGTGAAGGGGCCCGGGAACACCTGCTCTCACCTGAGCCCCAGGTGAAGGGGCCCGGGAACACCTGCTCTCACCTGAACCCCAGGTGAAGGGGCCCGGAACACCTGCTCTCACCTGAGCCCCAGGTGAAGGGGCCCGGAACACCTGCTCTCACCTGAGCCCCAGGTGAAGGGGCCCGGGAACACCTGCTCTCACCTGAGCCCCAGGTGAAGGGGCCCGGGAACACCTGCTCTCACCTGAACCCCAGGTGAAGGGGCCCAGAACACCTGCTCTCACCTGAGCCCCAGGTGAAGGGGCCCGGAACACCTGCTCTCACCTGAGCCCCAGGTGAAGGGGCCCGGGAACACCTGCTCTCACCTGAGCCCCTGGTGAAGGGGCCCGGAACACTTGCTCTCACCTGAGCCCCAGGTGAAGGGGCCCGGAACACCTGCTCTCACCTGAGCCCCCGGTGAAGGGGCCCGGAACACTTGCTCTCACCTGAGCCCCAGGTGAAGGGGCCCGGAACACCTCCTCTCACCTGAGCCCCAGGTGAAGGGGCCCGGAACACCTCCTGTCACCTGAGCCCCAGGTGAAGGGGCCCGGGAACACCTCTCACCTGAACCCGGGGGTCCCATCCCAGGAAGAAGGGCCATCTCAGGACATGAGTCCTCAGGGGCCCTGCACATTCAATCTGAAGGTGACCCTGGCCTGGCTGAAGCTGGAAGAGCTGTGGGGACTCAGCCTGTAAACAGAGCGTAAGGTTCACATGCTGGTTGCTTAATCCGTTTCTGGAGGAAGAGTATGACACCCACTTGTGATGGGGTCCTTGTGCGGTGGGGACCGGGGCCGGCGGGCTCCAGGCCAGCACACCTAACCCATGGATGTGGAACCTACGGCCGAGAAGGAATGTTGCATGAGTCGGATCCCAGTCCATTGTCAGTGGAGGGTGAGGGTGACCCCATCTGCTATTTTTGTGCTCATCCTCATACAACCATTTGGGGATGTGCCTATTAGGGCTCCGTAAGAACTCAGATGCCTGGGAAGCCCAGCCCCTCAGGTGCCCCCACACACAGCCTTCCCTTGACGCCTACATTTCTAGGCACATGTGAGGCATCTTTCCTGGAGCCCCGAGCCAGCCCTGTCCCTCCCCAGTGCAGCATGGCACTCAGGAGATACAGGCTGGACATGGGGCAGTCGTTCTGGGGAGGCCTGGCCTAGCAGCCACCCACCTGAGCCCTCCCGGCCAGGCTTCGTGCTGGGGTGGGCCATGTGCCAGGACAGGAGGGTCCCGGCGGAAAGCCAGCCCCGGACTCATCGTGACATTGAGATCCCACTGGAGGGTAGGGGTGGTAATAAACTTCTCCAAACGATCGTTGTCATTTTAGACAGAATGTCACTGTGTGTGTGTTAAATAGCTTCTACCTATACACAACATGGTAAGAGGTGCGGAGGGTTTGCTTGAAAATAATTGAGGGTGGGGAGTGGCGAGAGGGTGGGGATGGGAGGGTTCCTGGAATTGGGTCTTTATCCTGATTAGATGTAAAGGCACTAATGCTGATTTCCAGTAGTAAAAAGAACACCGATAGTCCATAGTGTGATGTGGCAATAGAGGTATGCATAGTATCACCACTGGGTGCTCCTAATTAAATACTTGCAGAAGGCAGGGTTCTCGGTGGCTTTTGAACACTTTCATCAAACTAGAGTATAATGGGCCAGGACCAGTAGCTCACACCTGTCATCCCAGCACTTTGGGAGGCAGGAGGATGGCTTGAGGCCAGGAGTTCAAGACCAGCCTAGGCAACATAACAAGATCCCATCTCTAAAAAATAAAATTAGTCAAGCACGGTGGCCTGCACCTGTGGTTCCAGCTACTCTGGAGGCTGAGGTGGGAGGATTGGTTGAATCTGAGAGGTTGACGCTGCAGTTAGCTGTGATTGTACCACTGTACTCCGGCCTGGGTAACACAGTGAGACCCTGTCTCAAAAAAAAAAAGCCGTGTGTGGTGGCTCACGCCTATAATCCCAGCACTTTGGGAGGCCTGAGGCGGGCAGATCACCTGAGGTCAGGAGTTCAAGACCACCTTGGCCAACATGGCAAAACCCCAACTCTTCTAAAAATACAGAAATTAGCCAAGTGTGGTGGCAGGCACCTGTAATCCCAGCTACTCGGGAGGCTGAGGCAGGAGAATTACTTGCACCTGGGAGGCAGAGGTTGCAGTGAGCTGGGATTGCCCCACTGCATTCCAGCCTGGGCTACAGAGTGAGACTCCATCTCAGAAAAAGTATCATGGGAGTGAGCTCAGGATTCAGATTCCCAGCTGAAGTGTCACATGAATAATCTGAAAGTTATGACTGTCCCAAGAGAGACTCTTACCTCCTTTAGCTGCGGGTCTGAGACTACTGAAAATCAAACCCAGAATCTCGCCCTTCCAGTGGCTGGATTATAGCACATGTGGAACTCCCAGCCTCACGGTGTCTGCTGTGCAAATGAAGGCATTGGTTAGGAAGGAATGGGATCCTGTCAGTTGGGATGAGGATGTGTGGGGTGACCCTGATGAACAGTGAAGACAACCCCTAAATCCTGATGAGTCTTCAGTGGAAGAGGCCTTCCTAACCCTAGTGGTAGCCTCCCCAACTCCATCTGAGTGGGTTAACCCTGTACTGCCTGAGGAAATGGGACTGCCCTGAGGCTGCTGACTAGCAGGACCAAGCTGCTGCTTCCCAGGATCTGCCCCCACCCCTCTTTGCTTCTAGACATGGAACTAGACTGATGTTGGGCAGCCCCTAGAGATACAGGGCGTGACCATGAGGAGATGCACTTACCAAAGAGAACGTGAGTTTTCCAGTTTACATAGAAATCCCAGGACCGTGGGAATGCATATTGAGGGCCTGGGAGAATGGTAGGAGGAACACAGAGTTAGATCAGGCCAAGTTTATTGATACGGGCTCACTAAGCAGAGATTCCGCATTTAGAAAGGGCTCTAATTGGTTGGTTGGCTGCTTGGCTGAAACATGGGCCAAAACATGGCCCACCATGGGATAACTGGACATGCCTGGCCGCCCATGGTTAGTGTAGAAGAAGGGATTCAAAGGCTTAGGGAGATTGGAATGCTAGAGTGGATTTGTCTGCCCCATGCTGCTTTCGTTCCCCTGCTAGAGTGGATTTGTCCTCCCTATTCTCCTCTTCCTCCTCCTCTGCAGCCCTCCACTACCCTCCTCCTACATCCCTCCTCCTCCTCCAGTCCTCCTCCCTCTCCCCTTCCCCTGCAACTCTCCACCACTCTCCTTCTCCCACTGCAGTTCTCTTTTCTTTGTAGCCCTCCTCCTCCTCCCCTGCCAGCTCTCCTCCCCCTCCCCTGCAATACTCCTCCTCCCCTTGCAGCCTTCCTCCCTCTCCTCCTCCCGCTGCAGCCCTCCACCCTCCTTCCCTGCAGCTCTACTCTTTTCTTTGTAGCCCTCCTCCTTATCCAGCCCTCCACCCCTCCCCTGGCAGCCCTACTCCCTCCCCTTCCTCCTCCTGTCTGCAGCCTTCAACTCCCTCCTCCTCCTATACTTCTCTCCCTCATCTTCCCTCAGGACCCAGCCCTAATGCCAGCACCCCAAGCCTTCGCTGACCCTTAGCAGGGAAGCTCCCGACTGGGTGCACGCGGCCGTGCCCAGGAACTCTGGTTCGGGCCTGCTGCAGGGCTCGTTTGCCTCTCCAGCGGTGGCTCTCAGGTGCTGCGGTGCCGTGGCCAAGGAGCCACACAAGAAGGCCCACGACCTGTGTCCCTCAGCTTTGTGCATCTGCTTCTCCGGGACGGGGCCCCCTTGAGGGCAGGCCTGGTGGACCACCCTGTTTCCCATGAGGCCTTGCACAGGCCTTCCTGTGGACACTGGACACGGGTGACTGAACCTGAAGTGTGAGATGTTTCTAAGATCTCATGAAGTGTGAGATGTTTCTAAAATCTCTACATGGGCCGACCACAACCTGCTATCTTCTGCTACTGTGTGCCATGCTAGAGCTCCCCTACCCTGGGAACAAACGCCAGGGTGCCCTGCGGCCCGGCTCTCCTCGGTTCCCCTGATCCATCCAGGGAACAAACGCCAGGGTGCCCTGCGGCCCGGCTCTCCTCGGTTCCCCTGATCCGCCCAGAGAACAAACGCCAGGGTGCCCTGCGGCCCGGCTCTCCTCAGTTCCCCTGATCCATCCAGGGAACAAATGCCAGGTGCCCTGAGGCCTGGCTCTCCTCAGTCCTCCGATCGGGTCCAGTCCATTTTCATTCATTTCACTTTGGTCTCCTGTCTGTCTGTGCCTCTGGGCCAAACTCATTGCAGGGCCATGGCCCCGGGCAGGCCCCACCTTCCTGCTTTCTGATGCAGCGATATTCTTCCCTTTTTAGGACCTCACTCTGTCGCCCAGGCTGGAGTGCAGTGGCGCAGTCTTGGCTCATTGCAACCTCTGCCTCCCGGGTTCAAGTGATTCTTGTGCCTCAGCCTCCTGAGTAGCTGGAATTACAGGCGCCTGCCACCACGCCTGGCTAATTTTTCTATTTTTCATAGAGATGGGGTTTTGCCATGTTGGCCAGGCTGGTCTCGAACTCCTGACCTCAAGGGATCCACCCACCTCGGCCTCCCAAAGTGCTAGAATTACAGGTGTGAGCCACCGCACCCAGCTGACATTCTCCTCTTAAAGCCTGTCTGATGCCAGCTCAGGCCACAGGGCACATTAGGCTTCTGACAAAGCTGGAGGACAAGGCCCCCTCGCATGCCCCATCCTCTCCTCGCCCCCCCCTCCCCCGAGTGCCTCCTTCGAAGCCCTGCCTCCCTCTATCATGCCCTCCCCCCACGCAGCCTCAAGAAACATGAAGAGGGGACCTCTGGGGTGGTCTGGCAACGCCTGCCTGGTGGACAGCAGATGGGAGAGAAGGAAAGCAGCCGGTAGGAGAAGAGACAGAGGAAAGGGGAGGAGGAAGCCCATGCTCAAGGTGCCCCTCCTGCCCAGGCTTCCTGCCAGATGCTTCTTGGATCAAATACTTTGTTATATTTCCAGCACAAGAAAGTGATGTTACAAACACTAAGAGAATTCAGAGAAACAGCAGGATTTAAAGTAGCACACAGAGATCTTTGTGCATACTTTCAGTTCAAAGACAGAGTGGAAGAGATGACCCATTTTTAACAGCAACAAAAAGATAAAAATCCCCATGCGTAAAAGAAATGTGAAACCCTAAATGGGAAAAACTTTAAATAGACCATAAAGACACCAAAGTCGATTTTAACACCACCATGGTTTGAATGAATTCCCCAAAAGTTCATGTGTTGGAAACCTGGACTCCAATGCAGCAGTGCTGGGATGGGATTCTGGGGAGGTGATTGGCTCATGAGGACTAATCCATTCATGGACTAATGGGTTCTCAGGGAGTGGAGCAGTTATCACCAGGGGGCTGGTTATAAAAGCCAGCTTTGCCGTCTCTCATGAGACCCTCACATAATGCCCGGCACCACTTGAGACTGCAGAGTCTTGACCAGCAAGAAGGTCCTCACCAGATGCAACTCCTATACCTTGGACTCCCTGCCTCCAGAACTGTAAGAAATAAAATTCTTTTCTTTATAACTTACCCACTCTGTGGTATTCAGTCATAGCAACAGAAAATGAATTAAGACAGAAAGAAAGACCATGTTCCTGGATAAGAAAACTCTCCTAAGCAAGACAATTCTACAAAAGTAAATTTATAAATGTAATGTAATCCTTATAAAAACGCCGCATGCTTTTCCCCAGATCTAGAAAACTAATTATAAAGTTCATGTGAGAGAGGAAGTGCACAGGAGTGTAAAAATAGCCAGGAAAACTCTGCAAAAGAAATGGAGAGGTCCTCTGCCCCCGAACCATCTCCTGGCCTCCGTAATGGAACCACATGACACCAGGACCCATGTAGGCAAGCAGGCCCAGGGACATGAAAACCCGGGGACAGACCCCAGTGCCTAGAACATTCAGTCTATAAGGTAGCATATGATACCGGTGAGGAAAGGATGGACTTGTTAATACAAGTGGTTAAACGTTAACCACTTGGAGAAAGACGAAAATGAATCTGCACTTCATACCATACACTAAGACAAATTCCAAATGGGTCAAAAGTACTAGGAAAAAGTGAATTCCTTCATCACCGGGGAGTGGGCAAAATCTTCTTAAATATGACTTAAAACCCAGGAGTGATAAAAGACAAAATGTATACTGGGAAAAAAGTTTTATAACATAGCACATTTTCAAAGTGTCGGTGACTTGAGTGGGAAGCAGGGCAGTGACTGTCGGGGACTGAGGGTGGGGGGATGGTGTTGAACGGGCGCGGGGTCTCCTTCTGGCGTGATGAAGGCTTTGGAAGCACACAGAAGTGATGGTTGTACGTTATGAATGTATTAAATGCTGCTAAATTGTAGACTTTAAGAGATGGTTAAAATGGTGAATTTTTTTAACCATCTATAGGACTCTGATAAAAATGTTGTTTTATGTATATTTTACCTCAATAAAAATTATAACTTAAAATGAGAAATATTAGGATTAATATTCCTTATTCAAACGAGCTCATGAGTTTGGAAAATCAAGAAAATGATTAAAAAAAAAAAAGAGAGAGAGAAATGCAAACCAAAACCACCCCAAGACTCCATTTCTCACCTACAAGATTGACCCAAATCCAAATTTGACACCAGATTCGGCTGCTGAGGGGGGCAGGGACTTCCTACAATGCTGTGGGGATGCAGAACGCCTGGCCCCTTGGGGACAGGGACAACACCCAGACAAGCCAGATGAGCCTCTCCCCGCCGACTGGCAATCCCACTTCCAGAAATGTATCCTTAAGATACGATGGCCAGAATCCACAAGGATGTGGAAATGCCCTTCTAACCAGACTTAGAAGACAAGCACTCTGCAGTCCCAACGGAGGTGCTGGGTCCAACTCTGACATTTGATTGGCCAAAGACTGGAAACAACCCAAGGCCCAGCATGAGGGGATCTGCTGGCTAACTCACGGTGAGCTAATCCACGGCGAGCTAACCCACGGCGAGCTAACCCACGGCGAGCTAACCCACCGCCAGCTAACCCACGGCGAGCTAACCCACGGCGAGCTAACCCACGGCCAGCTAACCCACGGCGAGCTAACCCACGGCCAGCTAACCCACGGCCAGCTAACCCACGGCCAGCTTACCCACGGCCAGCTAACCCACGGCCAGCTAACCCACGGCGAGCTAACCCACGGCCAGCTTACCCACGGCGAGCTAACCCACGGCGAGCTAACCCACGGCGAGCTAACCCACGGCGAGCTTACCCACGGCGAGCTAACCCACGGCGAGCTAACCCACGGCGAGCTAACCCACGGCGAGCTTACCCACGGCGAGCTAACCCACGGCGAGCTAACCCACGGCGAGCTAATCCACGGCGAGCTAACCCACGGTGAGCTAATCCACGGCGAGCTAACCCACGGCGAGCTTACCGGAGCACTCGGTAGCTGTGCTAGAGGCCTGTGTGGAGCAAATGTGCCTGGTTTTACAGTTCTGACAAGAAAGCCAGTCAAATGATTTGTATTCGCAAAACAAATTATAACAATTTCTAGAATTTAAACAAATGGACTTGTGTATCAAGTTGGTGACAGAAGCGCAGAGTAGTTAATCCAATTACATCATATTTTAACTTTGTATCTTCAAAGGGAAAGGTCTAAAAAAGCTAGCAGAAAAAAACTTTGACCAGTAGTCATTGTTAACAATACCTTTTTTGGTAGAGGTGGGGTCTTACTATGTTGCCCAGGCTTATTTTGAAATGATTATATGCATTTATATGTAGAATAAAGCAAATAATGTTAATGTTGTAATGAACCAAGATTTTCAGCTTAAGAGGTAAAATCAAAGAATATTTAAAAACCCTTATAATCTTAACATTTGAATGGAAAACAGTATGAATTCATATTTTTCAAAAATACATGTGTATATCCCATGCTAAAGTAGTTAAGGGTGAAGGGTCCTGATCTCTAATACAACCTCACGATTCAGAGAAAATAAACCAGAAATTTTTTTTTTTTTTTTTTTTTGAGAGAGAGTGTCTTGCTCTGTCGCCCAGGCTGGAGTGCAATGGTGTGATCTCGGCTCACTGCAACCTCTGCCTCGCAGGTTTAAGCAATTCTCCTGCCTCAGCCCCCCGAGTAGCTGGGATTACAGGTGCCCGCCACCATGCCTGACTAATTTTTTGTATTTTTAGTAGAGATGGGGTTTTGTCATGTTGGCCAGGTTCGAACTCCTTACCTCAGGTGATCCATCCACCTCGGCCTCCCAAAGTGCTGGGATTACAGGCATGAGCCACCGCGCCTAGCTGAGAAAATAAATTTTAGAACAATTTTCTGGTTTTGTCCATGGAAAGGCTGGGAGGTAGAGCAGCCCAGCCATCATAAGCAGTCAGTGCTCAGTCTGTGGCCTCCAATTCCCACTCCCTCCAATTCCCACTCCCCACTAACGAGAACCAGGGCTCTGGAGAAATGGGTAGTTCCAGGTTCTGGGCAGGAAAAGTCAGAGGCAGCTGTGGCCCCAGAGCAAGGAGGCATCAAAGCCCACTGGATGGAGGGGCTCCTCTGTCCAATTACGAGATAATCTGAGCATCTCCTGTTTGCCAAAGATATACGCAGCACTTGATTAAAATGATATCAAATACAGTTGGCCCTCCATTTCTGTGGATTCAACTGTGTATAAAAAATATTCCTGGCCGGGCATGGTGGCTCACACCTGTAATCCTAGCACTTTGGGAGGCTGAGGTGGGTGGATCACGAGGTCAGGAGATCGAGACCAGCCTGGCTAACATGGTGAAATCCCGTCTCTACTAAAAATACAAAAAATTAGCCAGGTGTGGTGGCGGGCGCCTGTAGTCCCAGCTACTCGGGAGGCTGAGGCAGTAGAATGGCATGAACCCGGGAGGCAGAGCTTGCAGTGAGCCGAGATCGCACCACTGCACTTCAGCCTGGGCAACAGAGCGAGACTCCATCTCAAAAAATAAATAAATAAATAAATAAATAAAAATAAAAATATTCCCCAAAAGCCCACAATAAAAAACCCCAAAAATATACAGTATAACAACTGCGTACAGAGCATTTACACTGTATCAGGTATTATAAGCAATCTAGAGATGACTTAAGGTATATGTGAGAATGTGCATAAGTTGCATGCAAATCCCATGCCATTTTATACAAGAGACTCGAGCATCTGATTTTGGTACCCGTGTGGGTCCTGTAACGCACCCCTGTGGATACTGAGGACAGACTGTATACATGAAAGCATTAAGCTCGTAACATGAGTAGGGAAGCGGGAAGGGTAAGTGCAGTGGTGTGAGGAACTCCCAGTCCTTTGGCACCACTGGAGGGTGCCAGGACATTCTTACTCCAAAAATTGATCATTAAAGGGAAATAATTAAGTGCTTATGCTGCCTTTCTAGTATGAACGCACTTCAGGGTAACCTGACTTACCCTAATGGATAAAGGGAAGGTCTGAGAGAATTCCAGCCACTAAATGTCCTTCTGATGAGACAGAAGACGAGAATTCTGCAGTCCCAGTGAAGGTTCTGGTTCTAGCAATGGTCACCCACAGGTGGCAAAACTGTCAGGGGAACAGTTGAGGGGAAACTGACGATAAAGGGGTCAGGCTGTCGCCATCCAAGCTTATTAATGCTTCAACAAAGTGACACAATTGGACATGAGGCTGTGACACGAGGAACTGAGCACCGTCCGGGTGTGATTCCAGCCACAACTTTAGATCCAACTTCCAGACGACAGGATATAGAGGGGACAGAGGAACAAGTTAAACACTACAAGGAGGATGCTAAGTCCAGACTGGGGACACCTTCGAGGACAAGTGACCAGCTTCACCAACAAGTCAAGGGCACAGGGGAGGGAAGAGGGGGACTTTTAGGATCAAAAGGATCCTAAAAGACTTTGTAGCCAAACACAAACGTGAATAAAGCTTTGATAATCCAATCGTGTGAGGATATTTCTTAGGCAGTAAGGGAAATACGAATAGGACTGTTAGAGAACATTACAGAATTCTTATGCATTTTGTGAAAACAGCACTGTGCCGTCAGTTATTGACTTCTTGTCTCTTGGCTTGTCTGTGCTCTGCCCTGAGTGCTGCCCTTCCACACACCCTTCCAGCTGGGTGTGCTGGAGCCCTGGATGCAGGAGTTGGGGCTGGGACCTCCCTGGTGTTCCCAGGTTATTTCAGCATCACTTTGGGAGCAGAGACAGCTCTGAGCCCAGCCACCAGGTCCCTTGGTGCCCCCTTGGCTCCTGGAGTACAGTCCTAGGCCCTCCTGCCCCTCTTGCGAGAACCAAGCACATCCTGTAAGCTCTGAGGTCCCTGAAACCCCACCCTGGTAATACTTTTTGTCCCCAAGCCCTGGAGGTGGTACCTGCGGTTGCTACCCTGGATGTTAACCCTGCGCAGCCTGTGTGCTACCTATTCTGACTCTGCTTCCCAACACCCGTGTAGCCTCGTCTCCATGTGCCTGGTGAGACTTCTGATATGGCAACGAGTTAAGAGAAAGAAAATGGCTTTGTGTTGTTTTGTGATGCCTACCAAAGGATTTAGGGGCAAGTGACAATATGTCTGGAATTTGCTTACGTGTATTCCCGCAGAAGTGGGGGAGGAAAAGATGGAAGTGCTTTGGGCAAAATGCTGGCAGGTGCTGAAGCTGGGTGACAGGTACAAGGGTTTAGTGTATGTTTGGAAACTTTCATAGTGAAAAAAACCCCACAAAAACGAAAGCTGTATTAGAGTTACAAACTAAAACTTACATGATGATGTTAAGATCACAGCTAGCCTCTTGGGAATGCTCCATCTGTAGGAAAATATAGACTCGGCTCTTTAAAAGTAATGAGAAAATGACTGCCATCTTTTTTTTTTGGAGACAGGGTCTTGCTCTGTCACCCAAGTTGGAGTGCAGTGGTGTGATCTTGGTTCACTGCAACCTCCACCACCCGGGCTCCAGGGATCCTCCCACCTCAGCCTTCTGAGTAGGTGGGACCACAGGCATGGACCACCATACTCGGCTAATATTTCTATTTTTTTTTGTAGGGATGGGGTTTTGCCACGTTGCCCAGGCTGGTCCCAAACTCCTGGCTTCAAGCCATTTCCTCGCCTTGGCCTCCCAAAGTGCTGGGATTATAGGCGTGAGCCACTGCGCCCGGCCAACTCTATAGAAGATTTACAAATATTTTAGATCTTGTCAAAACTGTAAGAAGAAAGAAAAGGAAAGAGATTCATCCCTTCTTAATTTTTTTTTTTTTTTTTTTCCAGACAGAGTCTTGCTCTTGTCTCCCAGGCTGGAGTGCAGTGGTGCGATCTTGGCTCACTGCAACCTCCAACTCCTGGGTTCAAGCGATTCTCCTGCCTTAGCCTCCCAAGTAGCCAGGATTATAGGCATGCGCCACCACACCTGGCTAATTTTTTGTATTTTAAGTAGAGACGGGGTTTCTCCATGTTGGTCAGGCTGGTCTCGAACTCCTGACCTTAGGTGATCCGCCAGCCTTGGTCTCCCATAGTACTGGGATTACAGGCGTGAGCCACCACACCCAGCCCCCTTCTTAATTTCTTAGGGAACGCTTTGGAAAACAAACATCAGCAGATAAAAAAAAAATGTACAGCCTACGCAAGTGATAATATTCAAAATCCTCAGCCATAAAAATAAAGGCCTTTTATTTGGTTTTTCTATGCCAGTACAGAAACATCTGGACAACACTCTTGAGCCTGCAGAGGCTCACGGCCACACCCACTTCTGCCGCAGGGACTGTCTGTTGAGGAGCCGAACCGTTGAGGCACAGTAGCCAGGCCCTCCCGAGGGCTCCAGAAGCTCTAGGTTTACGGGGTCACCTTCTTGTAGGTGACGTGAAGATGCTGAGTCATTGGCTGTGTCGTGGTTGCCATGGAGACCGTCTGCTCAAGTTTGCCTTCAGAATTCAGCCTGAACTTCCGGGTGATCTGAGCAGGAGAATGGAACAAAGATAGCTTAGTTTTATCTTCAAAAGATTCAATCAATGCCTGTGCGCCCACTGCATGCCACACACTCATCACGGGCTGTGAGCCAGGCAGTGGCCCTGCCAGAGGAGGGTAGACACACAGCCCAGGGCCCCTGGGCATGTCACAATCCAGGTGCCCTTCAGCTGCCTCCAGAAGACCACCAGGGGAACACAGGGATTGTTTATTTAGAAGTCACCTTTTTTGTCGACGGCCATACCACCCTGAACGCACCTGATCTCGTCTGACCTCGGAAGCTAAGGAGGGTCGGGCCTGGTTAGTACTTGGATGGGAGAAGTCACCTTTTTTTGGTCTCTACAAATCATATACCTGATCAGACAAGCGCTGAGCTTCCAGTGCTTCCCTTCTCCACTGCCTCCCACTTTCACTGTAACTAGAACTGATGTCCAGTGTGTTCTTGGAAAGCTCAGAAATACCATCTTTGGAACAGTAATTCATCAGAATAAATTATAGCAGCTGTTTCCAACAAGAATCCAAGCCTATGGCAGCTAAGTCCCGAATGAGTCAGCCCTATATGCCCAGAATGTTTGCCGGCAAATTGTGAGAGTGACCACTGTCAAAAGACAATTCTCTGATGGGCACTATCTCTCTAGTGCCCCAGATGTGTGGGGGGTCATGTGGGGTGGGGGGCACCAGAAGTGGATGAAACGGAGTTCTGCTTATGGCCATGGCTGACTACTCTGTAACTGACCAACCCTCCTGCAGATAACAACCCAGGTTTTAAGAAGTTTCTTTAAAGGTGTCAGAGAACCACCAAGTCAGCGAGGACCAGCACCCCAAAGAGAAGGAAGTGTGGAGGTGAGACCCAATTTGGAGCAACTGGCCCCGATGCTTTTGCTGCCCGGAAGTCAAGGGGTTCAAGGGGTGGAGGCTGAGAGGGATGTGGTAGCTAAGAGGCTGAGAAGCTAAGTGGGGCCTTCTCAGACTCATGGAGCTGGAGGGACAAACACTGGAATTCAGTGTCCATCTAGGAGGAGAGGCGCAGCCGGGCATGGTGGTATGCACATGTAGTCCCAGCTACTCGGGAAGTTGAGGCAGCAGAATTGCTTGAACCCAAGAGGTGGAGGTTGCAGTGAGCCGAGATCATGCCACTGCACTTCAGCCTGGGTGACAGAGCAAGACTCCTTCTCAAAAAAAAAAAAAAAAAGAAAAAAAAAAGAAAAAGAAAAAGAAAGAAAAAAAGCACCCTGAGGTTGGGCACGGTGGTTCACGCCTGTAATCCCAGCACTTTGGGAGGCCGAGGCGGGCGGATCACGAGGTAAGGAGATCGAGACCATCCTGGCTAACAGGGTGAAACCCCGTCTCTACTAAAAATACAAAAAAAATTAGCCGGGTGTGGTGGCGGGTGCCTGTAGTCCCAGCTACTCAGGAGGCTGAGGCAGGAGAATGGCGTGAACCCAGGAGGCGGAGCTTGCAGTGAGCCAAGATCGCGCCACTGCACTCCAGCCTGAGCAACAGAGCGAGACTCCATCTGAAGAGGAAAAAAAAAAAAAAAAAAAAAAGCACCCCAGCTTTGGGTGGGGTCCCTGAAGGGTCCCATCCCAGGAGTAAGAGTTAACCAGAAACAGGCTGGGAAGTCCGGTTTCAAACCAGCTCAGCCTCTACTGAACACGAGCTGTCCATCCTTGACCAACAGGCAGAAGCACAGAACTGCTCTTTGGTGAGGATAACATCAAAGGAAGCCTCAAGTCATCTCTACAATTTTTCACACATATTGTCTAGAATCCAAGAAAAAAAGAAAAACTCCTTAGGTTACTAGGAGATAAGATCAAAAGAAAAAACAGGAAATAGACACCTCCCCCACCCTCACCCAGGGGATACCAATACTGGAGTTATTAGAAGACAATATGGAGAATTTCTGCAGGTAATCAGAATTTATCAAAAAGATTAAAATATAAATTCTACAACTGAAAAACATAATAACTCAAATTAAGGCCCCAATAATGAAATAGACAAATTAGACACAGATGAAGAAAGGATTAGTAAAATGGAAAATGATCAGTAGGAAATATCCACATTGAAGCTTAGAGAATAATGGAAAATATGGATGAAAGCATAAGGGACACATTGAAAATTGCAAAAGACTGAACACATGTGTAACCAGAGACCCAGAAGAAGATAGGAAAGACAACAGAACACAAGCAATATTTGAAAAGATCATGGCCAATTTTCTGAGCCTAACAAAATATATCAAGCCACAAATTCTAATTATATCACAGCAAAACTTTGGCTGATAATCAAAGGCAAGAAAATAGAAACTTGAAAGCAGCCAGAGGTGGGTGTGGGTGTCATGGTTAATTTTAGGTGTCAAAGGTCAAAGGTGACCGATTAAGGAACACCTAGAAACCCGGTAAAGGATTATTTTGAGTATGTCTGAGAAGATGTTTCCAGAGGTGACTGACCAGGTGAGGAAGATCTACCCTCCATGAGGGTGGGCACCATCTAATAGGCTGGGGGCCCAGATAAAATAAAAACAAAGATAAGGCGAATATGTCCATCTGTTTGCTGGAGCTGGGATACACTCTTCCTCCCCCGTCCTTGGACACCTCCAGGCCCCCCGACCTTTGGACTCCCAGATGTCACCAGCACCTCCTCTCTCCTCAGGGCTCTGAGACCTTTGGCCCAGGACCAAGAGTGACACCACTGACTTCCCTGGTTCTGAAGCCTTTGGACTTGGACTGAGCCATGACACTGGCATCCCAGGGTTTCCAGCTTGTGGAGGGGACTTTTATAACTATTGAATGCTACATTCGTTAAGTGTACATGAAATATTCATGAAGTTAGGCCATATACTGGGGCGTAAAATAAGTCTCCAACATTTTTTAACAGACTAAAATATTAGAGGGTATGTTGTCTGGGCCTTATAGAATTGAATGAAAAATCCTGAGCAATAGAATCTATTTAAAAAATTCTCAATTATTTGGAAAATAAGTAACATATCTCTAAATAACCCTGTTCAAAGAAAAAAAAAATCACTACAAAATTAGCCGGGTGTGGTGGCACATGCCTTTAATCCCAGCTACTCGGGAGGCTGAGACAGGAGAATCACTTGAACTGGCGAGGTGGGGGTTGCAGTGAGCCAAGATTGCGCCACTGCACTCCAGCCTGGGCAACAAGAGAGAAACTCCATCTCAAAAAAAAAGAAAAAAATCACTAGAGAATAGCCACTCTACTCCAGCCTGGGCAACACAGAATACCTTGTTTTTATTGAAAGAAAAAAGTAAAAAGGAGAGAAAAGAAGGAAGGAAGGAAGGGAGGGAGGGAGGGAGGGAAGGAAAAGAAGAAAAATAAAGAAACAAACTACAGAAATGAATGAATTTAACAAAGTCACATGATACGAGATCAATATACAACAGCTAATTGTACTTCTATATACTTGCAACAAATAAGTGGAAAATTAAAAAATCATTTATAATAGCATCCCAAACCACAAAATATGTAGGAATAAATTTAACAAAATGTGTGCAAAACCAATACGTTGAAAACTACAAGAAAATATAGGATGAGACTGATCTAAATAAATGGAGCACCTTACCATGGCACTGGATTGGAGGACTCAGTTTGCCTAAGATGGCACTTCTTCCCAAATTAATTTAGAAATTCAAGTAGTTCCAATGAAAATGTTTCTAGAAACTGACAAGCTGATTCTGAAATTCATAAGGAAATGCAAAGGGTCCTAGGATAGCCAAAACAATTTTGGAAAAAAGAAAAAGAAGAAAAGTTGGGTAACTTCTATCACCTGATTCAATATAAAGCTACAATGATCAAGACAGCATGGTAACAGTATAAAGACCGAAACAGAGAAGAGTGGGACAGAAGAGAGAGTCCTGGGGAAGAACCACACACACAAAGTGAGTTGATTTTCGACAAAAGCACTGCATACTTTAATAAATTAAGGGTTCTCTTTTCAACAAATGGTGCTGGAAACGAGGTATCTGTATGAGGAAAAATGGAAAAAACGTGACTACTACCTCATACCATCTAGAAATAGCAATTCCAAATAGCATATATCTTAAAACTATAAAACTTCTTGAAGAAAATGCAGGTGAAAATCTTTGCTGCCTGGGCTAGGTGAAAAATTTTAAGACAGGACACAAAAAGCACTGACTAGAGAAAAAAAATGGTAACAGAATTAAAACATTTGGTTCTAGACTGCGCATGGTGGCTCACGCCTGTCATCTCAGCGCTTTGGGAGACCAACGAGGGTGGATCACCTGACGTCAGGTCGAGACCGGCCTGGCCAACATGGTGAAACCCCGTCTTTACTAAAAATACAAAAAATTAGCCGGCCATGGTGGTGGGAGCCTGTAATCCGAGCTACTTGGGAGGCTGAGAGAGGATAATCGCTTGAATCTGGGAGGTAGAGGTTGCAGTGAGCTGAGATCAGGCCATTGCATTCCAGCCTGGGCAACGAGAGCAAACAATGTCTCAAAAAAAAAAAAGAAAAAGAAAAGAAACCCCCCACCCCCACCAAAAAAAACAACATTTGGTTCTTCAAATGGTACTGTCTAGGAAACAGAAAGGCAAGGCACAGGATAGGAATATCGTGTTGGCAAGTACACCTGATAAAGGACTTATACCCAGAACAAACAACAGGCTCTTACAACTCAGGAATAACACAAACACTTAAACAAATGGGCAAAAAATCTGAATGTTCATTTCACAAAACAAGAAATACAAGTGGCAAATAAGTACAACAAAAAGATGAGCAGCATCGTTACTCAGCAGGGAAGTGCAAATTAACATCACAATAAAATACCACCCTGTAGTGGCCAGGATAAAACTCAAAGGCCAACCCTTGGCGAGGCTGTGGGACAACCTTGCTGGGGTGTCAAGGGGGACAGCCACTCTGGAAGAGATTGGTGCTTACCACAGAACCCAGCAGTTCCAATCCCAGGTATGCACCCAAGAGGAAAAAAAACATGTGTCCACACAAAGTTAGGTCTACACATGCTTACAGCTTTATTCCTAATAGCCCGGAACTGGAAACAAATAAAATAAACATCCATCAACAGAAAGGATAAACAAAACTGACAAGCTCACTGGTGGACCACCACACAGCAACAAGCAGACGTGGCACATGCAGCAGAACTGCTGAATCTTGAGAGCGTTTCAGTGAGGAAAGGAGACCGGAAACAAATGAGTTGTGTGCTGTGACTCCACTGATGATAATGATGGGCACTAGGACACTCAGAGCTGCTCGGCTGACGATGATGGGCACTAGGACACTCAGAGCTGCTCGGCTGACGATGACGGGCACTAGGACACGCAGAGCTGCTCGGCTGACGATGATGGGCACTAGGACACGCAGAGCTGCTCGGCTGACGATGATGGGCACTAGGACACTCAGAGCTGCTCGGCTGATGATAATGGGCACTAGGACACTCAGCTGCCCGGCTGATGATAATGGGCACTAGGACACACAGAGCTGCTCGGCTGATGATAATGGGCACTAGGACACTCAGAGCTGCTCGGCTGATGATAATGGGCACTAGGACACTCAGAGCTGCCCGGCTGATGATGAGGGGCACTAGGACACTCAGAGCTGCCCGGCTGATGATGATGGGCACTAGGACACTCAGAACTGCCCGGCTGATGATGAGGGGCACTAGGACACTCAGAGCTGCTCGGCTGATGATAATGGGCACTAGGACACGCAGAGCTGCTCGGCTGATGATAATGGGCACTAGGACACTCAGAGCTGCTCGGCTGATGATAATGGGCACTAGGACACACAGAGCTGCTCGGCTGATGATGGGCACTAGGACACTCAGAACTGCCCGGCTGATGATGAGGGGCACTAGGACACTCAGAGCTGCTCGGCTGATGATGATGGGCACTAGGACACGCAGAGCTGCCCGGCTGACGATGATGGGCACTAGGACACTCAGAGCTGCTCGGCTGATGATGATGGGCACTAGGACACACAGAACTGCTTGGCTGATGATCATGGGCACTAGGACACTCAGAACTGCCCGGCTGATGATGAGGGGCACTAGGACACTCAGAGCTGCTCGGCTGATGATAATGGGCACTAGGACACGCAGAGCTGCCCGGCTGACGATAATGGGCACTAGGACACACAGAACTGCCCGGCTGACGATGATGGGCACTAGGACACACAGAACTGCCCGGCTGACGATGATGGGCACTAGGACACACAGAGCTGCTCGGCTGACGATGATGGGCACTAGGACACTCAGAGCTGCTCGGCTGACAATAATGGGCACTAGGACACACAGAACTGCCCGGCTGACGATGATGGGCACTAGGACACTCAGAGCTGCTCGGCTGATGATGATGGGCACTAGGACAGACAGAACTGCCAGGCTGACGATGATGGGCACTAGGACACTCAGAACTGCCCGGCTGACGATGATGGGCACTAGGACACTCAGAGCTGCTCGGCTGATGATGATGGGCACTAGGACACTCAGAACTGCTCGGCTGATGATCATGGGCACTAGGACACTCAGAGCTGCTCGGTCTACAGTGGCAGAAACCAGGCCGGGGGCTTGAGAGGGCAGCGGGGGTTGCCTGTGGAGCACGGGGACTTTCTAGGGTGCTGGGACTGTTCTCAGTCTTGACTGGCGCAGCGTTACAAGATTATATATGCTTGTCCAAATGTATCAAACTGCACACTTGAAGTGTATGCATTTATTCCATATAAAGTATACCTCAATAGAGGTGATTTTTAAAAAGTAGAAGCCATGATAATGAAGACAGTGTGGTATTGGCACAGGGACTGACAAACAGACCACCTGGAACCAGAGAGAGGGTGAGAAGCAGACCCCTGATGAAGGATACTGAGGGGCTCAGGGGGCAGTTGCATGGGTGAACAGGGGGGCCGGGCTCTTCATGCAGGGTGCAGGGTAGCTGGCCCTCATCTGAGAACAAGGAGAGGGGACAGCACTTCACACTATACACACAACTCAGCCCCAGGTGGATTAATGACCTAAAGGAAAGATTTTAGGTTGAACTGTGAAGCTTCCAGAAAAATTCAGAATACATATTTTGACCTGTTAGTGAGGAAAGACTGCTTAACTAAGACATTAAAAACAGAATCCATAAAGGAAGAGATTGGCAAACTGAACCACATAAAATCCAGAACCTCTGTTCTTCAAAAACAATTTGTAAAACTCAAAAGATAATCACAGACCGAAAAAGCTATTTGCAACACATTTAGCTAACAGAGCTTTATTCAAATCATATAAAGAACTCTGACATGTCAGCCAGAAAAGGCACAGTGGAAATGGTCACCAGACCTGAACAGGCACCTCGCTGGAGGATGACCCAGCAACGACGTGAAAAGATGCTCAAGCTCGCAGGTCACCGGTGGCAGCCCAGGCTGCAAAGCTAGGTCCAGAGCCACCCACATAAGGCAGGAAGCGGGGAGGCTCTGCCAGGCTGGGGGCCTCTCTGAGCCTCACTGTAAAATGGGGCCTGGCCTGGACCTGCCTCGTCTCAGGGCTGCTGCAAGGCACGTGCTACACAGACTGCATGGGGCCCTGAAGTTACAAAGCACAGACACACACAGCACAGGGAATGTGCAGGTCAGCGGGAGCCTGGGGACCCCTCAGGCCCTCCCAAAAAGAGTCACACGAGCCTCTTCCAACACACTCAGTTCTCCCCTGGGGTGTGCCACCACTGCTCAGTCACCGGACATGAGTGACAAGCTGTCCCTGGGGCAAGCTGGCCAGGGACCCTCGGCAGCTCACAGGCTCCACCAGGCTCAGTACACAGCTCATTGAGGCATTGCTACCCTCTGTGGGGCCTGCAGTCTGGGCCATGCCCACCAACACCCACACAAACAGTAAAGACACTCACACGTCCCATCCCAGCCTGATCCCCCAGATGCCACGGAGCAGCTAAAGGAAAGCCTCACTTCCCCAACATAAGCCTCGGTCTCTTCGAGAGGTTCCAGCCCGCTCCTCCAGAGCGAGGGGGAAAAACCGGGTGCTTCTGCATCCACATGCAGACACCGTGTCTGACGCTATGGCCGGCAGCATCAATCCTGACAGCCAAGGAGGGAAATGCCCCAAACAGCAGTCAGCGGGGCCACAGTGCCTAACAAGGGCCACGGGACGTCTGTACGGGGAAAAAGGGAAAATGGGACTGCTACCTCACACTACAGAGAAACAATAATCCCAAATACCATGCATCTTAAAAGGAAAAGCTGGCCAGGCACGGTGGCTCACACCTATAACCACAGCACTTTGGGAAGCTGAGGCGGGTTGATCACTTGAGGCCATGAGTTTGAGACCAGCCTGAGCAACAAAGTGAGTCCCCCATCTCTATTAAAAATACAAAAAATTAGCGGGGAGTGGTGGTAAACGCCTGTAGTCTCAGCTACTTGGGAGGAAGATGTGGGAGAATCGCTTGAGCCCACGAGGTGCAGGCTGCAGTGAGCCGAGATCGCACTGCTGCACTCCAGCCTGGGCGACAGTGCAAGGCTCTGTCTAAAAAAAAGTAATAATAAAATAAAAAGTAAAAAATTAAAAAAAACGGTAAAATGTAGATGAAAATCTTGCTCACCCAGCAAGCCGGCACAGAGCTCTGAGGTGAGGCCTCCCGGGTGAGGACAGCACTGTGTCTCCTGCAACAGCCCCCGACTGGAATGGCAGTGAAGGAATGCTGTCCACAGCATGAATCCGCAGGAGAAAGATGGGAGGCGGCACACAGCCACAGAACGTGAGGGGCTGGAAATGAGACGCACACGGGGACCCGACACAGCCGACCCAGGAAGGCCGAGGCTGAATGCAGCACTGGGGACAGGCGAACAGCCTGCCTTAACACCCCACAAAAGCTCCGTGGCGTGGCCTGAGTGTCTCTACCAGTGGCCGTGGATGAAGGCTGAAAACAGCAGGTTTGCTTGAAAATGTGTTTCAGAGGCAATTCAGTATTATTTCATGTATTTATTTTGAGACAGGGTCTCACTCTGTCACCCAGGCTGGAGTGCAGTGGCACAATCACTGCTCACTGCAACCTCCGGCTCCCAGGCTCAAGCGATTCTCCCACCTCACCCTCTCAAGTAGCTGGAACTACAGGCATGCCTCCCCAAGCCCGGCTACTTTTTGTATTTTTTGTGAAACCAGGTTTTGCTATGTTGTCCAGGCTGGTCTTGAACTCCTGGGCTCAAGTGATCTCCTGCCTCAGCCCCACAAAGTGTTGGGATTACACGTGTGAGCCACCACGCGAGGCACAGTATTCTTCTTAACAGCCAAGATTCAGTAACGAACAACTTGCCCATCAATGAGGAATGGATAAACAAAATACAGCACATCACCAATGGAATAATTCAGTCATGAAAAGGAGTGAGGCCTGAGGCATGCTCCAAGTTGGATACACTCTGGAAACCTTACACTAAGTGACAGTCTATGGCCCCAATTCTATGAAATGCTCAGGACAGGCAATCTACAGAGAAGGAAGATTAGTGGTAGCCAGGGGTTGGGGGAGATGGAAGTTGGGGCTGACAGCTAAAGGGTACCAGGTGTCTTTTTGGGGTATAAAAAATGTTCTGGCCAGGGGTTGTGGCTTATGCCTGTAATTCCAGCACTTTGGGAGGCCAAGGCAGGAGGATTGCTTAAGCCCAGGAGTTCGAGACCAGCCTGGGCAACATGGCAAAAGCTTGTCTCTACAAAAACTACAAATAAAGTAGCCGTGCTCATTAGGTGGCTCATGCCTGTAATCCCAGCATCTTGGGAGGCCCAGGTGGGTATACTGCTTGAGTTCAGGAGTTCAAGACCTGCCTGGGCAATGTGGCAAGACCCCATCTCTACTAAAAATACAAAAAACAAAACAAAACAAAACAACAACAACAACAACAAAAACCGGGCATGCTGGTGCATACCTGTGGCCCCAGCTACTTGGGAGGGCGAGGTGGGAGGATCGCTCAAGCCTGGGAGCCAGAAGTTGCAGCGAGCCAAGATCTTGCTACTGTATTCCAGCCTAGGTGATGGAATGAGACCCTCTCTTAAAGAAAAACCCCAAATCAAAAACAAACAAAAAAATGAGCCAGGTGTGGTGGTGCGCATTCGCAGTCCCAGCTACTGAGGAGGCTGAGGTGGGAGGATCACCTGAGTCCAGGGGGGTTGAGGCTGCAGTGAGTTATGATTGTGCCACAGAAGATAAATGTTCTGAAATTAACTGTAGTGATGGGTACACAGTGCTGTGAACATACTAAAAACCACAGAATTGCACACTGTGAGCGATCTGAATAGTATGTGAAGATCTTTTTTTTTCTTTTCTGATAACAGAGTCTCGCTCGGTCGCCAGGCTGGAGTGCAGTGGCGCCATCTCAGCTCATTGCAACCTCTGCCTCCCAGGTTCAAGCGATTCTCCTGCCTCAGCCTCCTCAGTAGCTGGGATTACAGGTGCCTGTCACCACGCCTGGCTAATTTTTTTGTATTCTTAGTAGAGATGGGGTTTCACCATGTTGTCCAGGCTGGTCTCGAATTCCTGACCTCAGGCGATATGCCCACCTTGGCCTCCTACAGAGCTGGGATTACAGGCGTGAGCCACCGCACTCAGCCCTGCATTATATCTTTAAAGAGCTGTTAAAAATACATGAGACAGCCGGGTGCAGTGGCTCACATCTGTAATCCTGGCACATTGGGAGGCTGAGCTGGGCGGATCACCTAAGGTCAGGAGTTCAAGACCAGCCTGACCACCATGGAGAAACCCCATCTTTAATAAAAATATTAAATTAGCCCAGCATGATGGCACGTGCCTGTAATCCCAGCTACTCGGGAGGCTGAGGCAGGAGAATCGCTTGAACCCAGGAGGCAGAGGTTGCGATGAGCTGAGATGGCGCCACTGCACTCCAGCCTGGGCAACAAGAGCGAAACTCTGTCTCAAAAAAAAAAAAGAAGAAGAAATACATGAGACATGCTGAGTGACAGGTATATGGCAAACAAACATGGACACAAACAAGGCAGCAGCAGTCACTCCCCAGCTTCCACCACCAGCTCCCCGTACCGAGGCAACTGTGCCTCCCTCTACCAGCAGAGGGTGACATGAGAATCTGGGCCTCAGCTGTGCCCAGACACTGGGAGCAAGAACCAGGCAGAGGCTGCTGTAAGACCAGCCCCGGAACGACCCTGGGCACTGAGGTTCTGAAGGGCTTCCCTAGTTGGGACATTTCACTCCTGTCGCTACAATGCGATGCTGGGCAATGGAGCGCGTCCCGTGGGCTGCACGTGGAAAGGATGCTGGAAGCTCACACCTGTTTCCTCCAGACTCTGCCCCGTGCCCTGCCCTGTGCTGACCGTGCTCCATGTCCTTCCGCTGTAATAAGTCAGCTCCTGCCACGTCCTATGAGGCCTCCCAGTGAACCTGGCTGGGGGTGGTCCAAGGGACCCCAGACATCTAAAGGTGGCCTATAAGATCCAATCCAGAACCAAAACAAACAAACAAACAAACATAAAATTAAAAGCAACTTGGGGCGGGGCATAGTGGCTCACGCCTGTAATCCCAGCATTCTGGGAGGCTGAGGAGGGTGGATCACCTGACATCAGGAGTTTGAGAACAGCCTGGCCAACATGGTGAAACCCCGTCTCTACTAAAAATATAAAATTTAGGTAGGCATGGTGGCATAAGCCTGTAATCCCAGCTACTTAGGAGGCTGAGGAAGGAGAACCACTTGAACCTGGGAGGCAGAGGTTGCAGTGAGCCGAGATCATGCCACTGCATGCCAGCCTGGGCGACAAGAGTGAGACTCTGTCTCCAAAAAAAAAAAAAAAAGGCCGGGCGCAGTGGCTCACGCCTGTAATCCCAGCACTTCGGGAGGCAGAGGTGCGCAGATCACGAGGTCAGGAGATGGAGACCATCCTGGCTAACACGGTGAAACCCCAACTCTACTAAAAATATAAGAAATTAGCCTGGCGTGGTGGCGCGCACCTGTAGTCCCAGCTACTCAGGAGGCTGAGGCAGGAGAATGGAGTGAACCCAGGAGACAGAGCTTGCAGTGAGCCGAGACTGCACCACTGCACTCCAGCCTGGGCCACAAAGCGAGACTCCGTCTCAAAAACAACAACAACAACAAAAAGTCCACCTGTCTGGGGCAGGCACCATGAGTGGAGCTGGCGGGACTGGCAGTTGCTCTGGGTGAGTCAGTGAGTGAGTGATGGGTGAATGTGAAGGTCTAGGACATGACTGTACACTACCATAGACTTTATAAATACAGTACAGTTAGGCTGCATTAAATTTATAAACATATTTTTATTTTTAAAAAGTAATTGTGCTACATTAGATGGCTTCTTTCACTCATGAAGTGAGAAATTTTTCAGCTCCATTACAATCTTATGGCCTGACCATCATAAGTGGGGTCTGTCAGTCCGTCACTGAAGGAAACTTCTTTTTTCCCCAAGATGGAATTTCGCTCTTGTCGCCCAGGCTGGAGTGCAGTGGCGCGATCTCGGCTCACTGCAACCTCCGCTGCCTACCAGTTTCAAGCGATTCTCCTGCTTCAGGCTCCCAAGTAGCTGGGATTACAAGCGCCCGCCATCACGCCTGGCTAATTTTTGTATTTTTAGTAAAGACAGGGTTTCACCATGTTGGCCAGACTGATCTCGAACTCCTGACCTCAGGTAATCCACCTGCCTCAGCCTCCCAAAGTGCTGGGATTAGAGGTGTGAGCCACTGCGCCCAGCTGGAAAACTTCTTTATGCAGCACATAAAGCTACAGAACTCTGAACCTAACAAGGAAGACACATTTCCCCCAATACATATTGGAAAGATGATAAACACTGACTTTGTATTTGGCTACAAACAAAGTCCCAGGAAATTCCCCCAACACTGTAATAACAGGGACAGCTCCTTTCACCCCCGCACAAGCCTAGTAGGACTGGCCCTCCAAGACCCAGCTCTTCTTGCCTCCTGCTCTCCTTCTAGCCTCAAGGTCCCTGCCTTCTGTGTGTGCTTCCTGGCTTCCTCAGTCCTGCTGATGTCAACCCAATGGGGAGGCCCAGCCCCTCAGGTTGTGCTTCCAGCTTCTGTCCATTAAGTCGCTCGGTAGAGGTCCCCAAAGCCCCCAGGGTGCAGGGGCTGCATGGCACAGAGCCTTCCCCTAAGCGCCATGCCCAGGCTTCGCAACTCCATCGTCTCTGTCTCCTCCCTCTATTTGCAGAAAAAGAGCCACTTTTTGTTAAATTAATAAAACCCAAATCTAGTTATTTAGCAAAAATAAACATGCAAACAAAAAAAAAAAAACAAAAAACCCTGATAAAATAGATAACCTCTGACAAGTATGATCAAGAAAAAGAGAAAACACACACAAAACATCAGTAAAAGAGAAGTGACATAGAACAGCACATCAAGAGAAAACAGTATCTATTACTTCTTCCAAAAATTCTGAAAATCTCATGAAACGGACACTTTTGCAGGAGAACATGAATTTGCAGATGGAGCCAAGTAAGAACGTGGAGAGACAAGCAGTCACGGAACAAAGTAAAAGCACAGCTTAGGTCTGGTTACCAGATACCTTCCCAGAGAGGCCGACCAACTCCCACGGGGCCACCCTTTGCCAGAGAACATTTGCAAAAGCTAAGAAGCTCCCAGCTAGCCTGTGAATAACTCCAATACCAAAATGGACAATGATGTCTAAAAACAACATATCATGACAACTCAGGGTTATCCCCCAAAAACAACCATGATCCAACACTGATGAGCTATTAATATAATTTATTACAGCAGTCCCCAAACTTTTTGGCCCCAGGAACTGGTTTCATGGAAGACAATTTTTCCACAGCTGTGGGGGTGGGGGTGGTTTTGGGATGAAACTGTTCCATCTTAGATCATTAGGCATTAGATTCTCATTAGAAGCAAAACCTAGATCCCTCATATGCACAATTCACAGCAGGGTTCGTGCTCCTATGAGAATCTAATGCTGCCACCTGATGGACAGGAGGTGGAGCTCAGGAGGTCATGCCCACTCACCTGCTGGCCACTCACCTCCTGCAGTGAGGACTGCATTAACAGCTTCAAGAGGAAGACAAGGGGGAAAAACAGATTCATCCCCAACAGGTTATAAAAGCATTTGATGAAATTCAAAATTCATTTCTGAATACAATTCTTGGCATACTAGAAACTGAATCTTCTTAACCTGAAAAAGACTGCCTTTACCAAGATACGCACCTGCACTGGAAAAAAAAAAAAGTAGAAAAATTTTACAACTAAAAAAAAGGCTATCCGGCTGGGCGCAGTGGCTCATGCCCAATCCCAACACTTTAGGAAGCTGAGCCGGGTGGGTCACTTGAGATCAGGAATTCAAGACCAGCCTGGCCAACATGGTGAAACCCCATCTGTACTAAAAATACAAAAATTAGCTGGGTGTGGTGGTGCATGCCTGTAACCCCAGCTACTTGGGAGGCTGAGGCATGAGAATCGCTTGAACTCAGGAGGCGGAGGTTGCAGTGAGCTGAGATCGTGCCACTGCATTCCAGCCTGGGCAACAGATTGAGACTCTGTCTCAAAAAAAAAAAAAAGCTACCTTCTTATCTACCAGTAAGTAATCTACAGTGAGCATCTTACAGGTGGTGACACACAGAACTATTTCCACTAGAGTCAGGGACAAGCATGCAACAAACATTCACGCCTGTTGTTCTATCCATGCTGTGCCTAAGATCCTGGCTGTCTGAAAGTTACACCAGTGGCCCAGTTCAACACAGAGAAATCAGAAGTGTCCACACAATTATCAATAATCAATCTGAAGATTAAATGGGAAAAAATCTATTTACAAGCAACAAAAATGATAAAACACTTGAGTTTACCCTAACATGAAATGTACAAGACCTGTATAATTAAAACTATAAAGAAATAAAGCTTTTCTATATACTAAAATACACAAAACATGACCTAAAGTCACCGTAATACACTGTCACGCTGCATATTGCTACCCATGAAAATATGTCAATTCTACCCAAATTCATTCATGTATTCAATGCAGTCTTGATGTACATTTTATAAGCCTTGAGATGTTTATTCAAAAGTTCATCTAGAAGAGGAAATGCTTAAGAATGAGTAAGAAAATTTGGAGAAAAAATGTGGGAAACGTTCCCTTAGACATTAACATGTAATATACAGCTGTGAGAGCTAAAAATGTGTTACTGGTAAGGAAGTGGACAAGCAGACGAAGAAAGACAAACGAGGCTGGGCACAGTGGCTCATGCCTGTAATCCCAGCACTTGGGAGGCTGAGGCAGGCGGATCACTTGAGGTCAGGAGTTTGTGACCAGCCTGGTCAACATGGCTACTAAAAATACAAAAATTAGCTGGGCATGGTGGCACATGCCTGTAATCCCAGCTACTCGGGAGGCTGAGGCAGGAGAATCACCTGAACCCGAGAGGTGGAGGCTACAGTGAGCTGAGATTGTGCCACTGCACTCCAGCCTGGGCAACAGAGCAAGACTCCTTCTCAAAAAAAGGAAAAAAGAAAAAAAGAAACAGACCCCTATATTTATGTGGATGTGCTTTAATGTATGTATGACATTCCAAATCTGTGGAGTCAGGATGGAATTCGATGAATGGTGTTGGGACTACTGGGTCACTCATCTGGAAGAGTTAGAATTATACGCTGCGTCACTCAAAAAACAAATGTGAGAGAGATTAAAGGTCTAGGTGGTAATGTAAAAAGGAAAGCTGTAAGAATACAAGAAATGAAAGAACAGGCTGGGCGCGGTGGCTCACGCCTGTAATCCTAGCACTTTGGGAGGCCGAGGCAGGTGGATCACAAGGTCAGGAGATCGAGACCATCCTGGCTAACACAGCGAAACCCCGTCTCTACTAAAAACACAAAAAAATGATCTGGGTGTGGTGGCGGGCACCTGTAGTCCCAGCTACTCGGGAGGCTGAGGCAGGAGAATGGCGTGAACCCAGGAGGCAGAACATGCAGTGAGCCGAGATTGCTCCACTGCACTCCAGCCTGGGTGACAGAGTGAGACTCCGTCTCAAAAAAAAAAAAAAAAAGAAAGAAAATGAGAGAATATTTTTATCATTTTGGAGTGGACAACAACTTCCTTAGCAAGAACCCAAATCCAGACATTGTAAAGGAAACAGCCCAGAGGCAACAACAGGAAAGCTGAGCACCTGTGGGGCACAGCCCATCATGGACCAGGCCACAGACTAGGGAAGTATGTGTCACAAATAAAGCAGACAACAGATTAACCCATGGCATACAGAAAGCTCCTACAAATCTTTAAAAAAAAAAAAGGACAATCTGGCCGGGCACGGTTGTTCATACCTGTAATCCCAGCACTTTGGGAGGCTGAGGCGGGTGGATCACCTGAAGTCAGGAATTCAAGACCAGCCTGACCAACATGGAGAAACCCTGTCTCTACTAATAATACAAAATTAGCCAGGCGTGGTGGCGCATGCCTGTAATCCCAGCTACCCAGGAGGCCGAGGCAGGAGAATCGCTTGAACCTGAGAGGCGGTGGTTGCGATGAGCCGAGATCCCACCTTTGCATTCCAGCCTGGGCAACAGAGCGAAACTCCGCCTCAAAAAAGAACAATCCACAGAAAAACAGGCAAAGACTTTAAATATCAAGTGCACAGAATAAGAAGCGTAAACAGCCAGTGAGCATGGGGAATGAGCCCTCCTGCTTCTAAGTTAGATTCAAAACATGAGTGAGATTTCATCTTTTATTTCTCAGATTTGAAAGGACCGAAATTCTGAAAATACACCATGTTGTTAAGGAGTAGGGAACCAGCTGCCCTCATGCAAGAGATAGTGGGAGGATAATCATGAAGAAATACAATCTAACAGTGTGTATCAAATTTAAAATGTACCTGTCCTTTGATCCAGCAATTTAACTGGGAAAAATTTATCAATAGATATGGATATATCTGTAAACGTGGACAACCCAAATGCAAAAGGATGTTTGTGACAAACAACAAACCTCAAAAAAACCACACCACTGACCAGCCGAGGAGGGGGCAATGAATTTAGGGAACATCCACCCTGGATGGTCCGAGAAGGGAAAAGAAGGAGACAGTGAAGACAGGCCTGTGAGACACAGTGGCAAGACACGCACTACCTCACGGAAGAGGAAGAGGCTGACTCCACAGACCGCTGCAAACAGAAGACAGGAGCGTGCTGGGAGCAGGGCTGGGCTCACCTGCTCTACGTGGGGCTCCTTGGCGAAGGAGATCCTGGCGATGGAGTGGGATGCGATGCACAGCTCCTGCCCGTTCACCTCGCCCTCCTCCACTTCCACCACGCCTGCAAGGGAAGGGCAGTCAGCTCACCCAGCAGCTGCTCGGCTTGCAGAGAGGCAGCCTTGACTCTCCTTGCCTGCAAGCCGGGACTCCACAGGAGGCCCCAACTCTGCAGCTGTGGAAGCAACGATATTTCTCCTCCTCCCCACTTCACCCTGTGGATACGGAGGGAAAGCCACAACTCTCCTCACAGAACAGGCAGGTGCTCTATGGAAGGCCACCCTCTCCAGACTGGGCCCCAGCCCTCCCACCTCCACCCACCAATCAGCCTGGCAGAACCACCCCTAGCACATACAGTGGCAGAAGTCGCAGGTGGGAATGGACGTCCAGGAAGAAACACTGATCTAGAGTCACGCAGGCTGGTTTTTTTTTTTTTCTTTTTTTTTTGAGACAGAATCTCGCTCTGTTGCCCAGGCTGGAGTGCAGTGGCGCATTCTTGGCTCACCGCAACCTCTGCCTCCCAGGTTCAAGTGATTCTCCTGCCTCAGCCTCCCAAGTGGCTTGGGATTACAGGCATGCACCACCACACCCAGCTAATTTTTGTATTTTTAGTAGAGACGGGATTTCAGTATGTTGGCCAGGCTGGTCTTGAACTCCTGACCTCAAGTGATCTGCCCACCTAGGCCTCCCAAAGTGCTGGGATTACAGGCGTGAGCCACTGTGCCCAACCTGTTTTCCAGCAATTCCTAATGAATGCACACAGCTGATGGCCATTTCTGCAGACGTGGCACTGGGTAAACGGGCCCTCATGGTCAGGGGGCTGCACGCACACAACCTGTGTGCCGGAGGCCCCTACAGCTACACAGTCGGCCCCGCAGGCTCCCAGGACCACTCTCAACACTCAGGGCCATCCCCACGGTCCCCACCAGCACATGCCTCAGCAGGGTTGCACATGGGCATCCCTGCACCCCTGCTTCGAATGCAGGCAGCAGCCTCCCATGGCCAGCCCTCCCGCCCCGCAAGCTGGGCCTCACCTGTGTTCTGGGCGCTGACAAAGGCCACCTTGTTGGTGTCGGGCTTGAGGCGAATGAAGCCACACTCTCTGTGCATCGGCTTGCGCGTGTCCGGGTGGAAGGAGTTGAACCTGGACGGGAAGTTGGAGTTGAGAAGCCCAGGCACTGGCCTCCAAGATGGCGTGGGCTGCGTGGATGCCAGAACTGTCCAGGGTGCCCTCCAGGTGGCTGCTCCAGCCACACCCGCACACCTGTCTGCCCCTACCACCACCTTGCTCATTTTGGCTGTGTCTGTCTTACCTGCTGACCCTCCACTCCTGAAGACGGGCTGTTCCAGCCACGCCCACACACCTGCCCGCCCCCTCCACCACCTTGCTCATTTTGGCTGTGTCTGTCTTGCCTGCTGACCCTCAGCTCCTGAAGACGGGCTGTTCCAGCCACACCCGCACACCTGCCCGCCCCCTCCAGCGCCTTGCTCATTTTGGCTGTGTCTGTCTTACCTGCTGACCCTCAGCTCCTGAAGACGGGCTGTTCCAGCCACACCCGCACACCTGCCCGCCCCCTCCACCACCTTGCTCATTTTGGCTGTGTCTGTCTTGCCTGCTGACCCTCAGCTCCTGAAGACAGCACTGTTCTTAATCACCTCAGGGCATATCCTTGCCCTGGGCCCGTTAGCCCAGGCCTCACACAGTGTCAGCCCTCAGCACTCCCTTGCAGTAAACCTCACCCTAACACAATCTTTCTCTTTTGAGCTATGCTCTTGTGTAAGAATCTAATCAATTCCTACGGTAAAAAACAGAACAGGTGCTGAGTTATGGTATGGTTTCTTATCACCCTTCATCATTAGTGCAAATTCTCAACAGTAAAAGACAGGCACCTGCATCTTGAACTGAGGGCACAAAACCACGGCTTAAAAACTAACTCGCTGGCATGGTGACTCAAGGCCGTAATCCCAGCACTTCAGGGGCCCAGTCGGGTAGATCTCTTGAGCCTAGGAATTTGAGACAGGGCTGGGCAACACAGACCCTGTTTCTACAAAAATAAAAACAAAAAAACCAAACCAAAAAAAAAAAAGCCTCATTTATCATTTCACCAACCTTATGAGTTTCTATAGGGAATCCATCTCTATGATTCTTAGAGATAAACTTTATTTATTTATTTTTTTGCTCTGTCACCCAGGCTCGTCGCGGTCTCAGCTCAGTGAAACCTCCGCTTCCTGGGTTGAAATGATTCTCCTGTCTCAGCCTCCTGAGTAGCTGGGATTACAGGCGCCCACCACACCCGGCTAATTTATTTATTTATTTATTTATTTATTTTTTGAGACAGAGTTTCTCTCTTGTTGCCCAGGCTGGAGTGCAATGGCGCTATCTTGGCTCACTGCAACCTCCGCCTCCTGAGTTCAAGCGATTCTCCTGCCTCAGCCTTACCGAGTAGCTGGGATTACAGGCATGCGCCACCATGCCCGGCTAATTTTGTAATTTTAGTAGAGACCAGGTTTCTCCATGTTGGTCAGGCTGATCTTGAACTCCCAACCTCAGGTGATCTGCCCACCTCAGCCTCTCAAAGTGCTGGGATTACAGGTGTGAGCCACTGTGCCCAGCCACACACCCGGCTAATTTTTGTATTTTTGTATTTTTTTTTAGTAGAGACACAATTTCACCACATTGGCCAGGCTGGTCTCGAACTCTTGACTTCTAGTGATCCACCTGCCTTGACCTCCCAAAGTGCTGGGATTACAGGCGTCAGCCACCGCACCTGGCCAAGATAAACTTATTTATTTATTAAAACAAATTTTTTTAGGGTCTCACTGTGTTGCCCAGGCTGGTCTTGGACTCCTGGACTCAAGTGATCCACCCGCCTTGGCCTCCCAAAGTGCTGGGATTACAGGCACGAGCCACCGCGCTGGGCCAAGATAAATTTCTGTTGGGCTAGTGATGGTGCTACACCTTCTAGAATGGTACATGCTCACTAACATAACCCCGACAAAGAAATACATTTATACCATATTCTAGGACACACACACAAACACACATACCATCACATTTACTGAAATATATTTTCCACTCTGGTTCATTTTTCTTCGAATGCTAGTCACAAAATTGACTTTCTGACCTTTTCGTGGGTTATAATCTATAGTTTAAAAAAGACTGCTTGGGTTCTGGGTTATTTTGTATTACCCAGAATTCTCACCTTTTGGTTTATGTGCAGATGTATTACTTTGACCTCATGCATTCAATCAATAATAATATAAAAAGGTAGGAGATATTTTTAAAAACAATGAGATCTTCTAAAAGGGGATGGAGGGTCTCAGAGCTGGGGGTCTGAGAGCCAGGTGCCCAGCCCCGTTCTGAAACTGCTAGGCATTATACAAATAGTACCAAGTTGGTTTAATAAGATTCTTAACATATAGTTGTGTAATGGAGACTAAGGGAGGGTTTGCTTTTTATATTTTGTTTAAACTTTAAAAAAACTGTGTATTACTTCTATAATTAAAAAATAAAGATACTTCAACCACTCCCCATCCCTGGTGGCTCTCCTCTACTTCAGAGGCCTACACTGCTATCTCCCTAAAAGCAGGCAATTTCTCCACCTGTGGGGAGCAGGTGGTGGGAAGGGATACTGAGGGACCTCAAGGGGCTTTTGCTTTCTTGTACGGTAAGAATATGAGAACCACATACTAACAGCTTCCTTGTGACCCCAAATAGCTCAGGGGTACGTGTAAAATACAAACATGCACTATTATTTTCAGTAATATTGGGTGACTAATTTTTTTCTTTTTTTTTTTGAGACAGGTTCTCACTCTGTCACCCAGGCTGGAGTACAGTGTTATGATCACAGCTCACTGTAGCCTTGGCCCTCCCTGGGTTCAAGCAATCCTCCCACCTCAGTTTCTCGAGTAGCTGGGACTACAGGCATGTGTCACCACACCTGGCTAAATACTTTTCAGTAGAGACAAGGTCTCACTATGTTGCCCAGGCTGGTCTTCAATTCCTAAGCTCAAGCAATCCTCCTGACTCAGCCTCTAAAGTGCTGGGATTACAGGTATGAGCTACCGCACTGGCCAGGGTGATTAATTTTGATACATAAATTAAGTACATGCATTTGTTTTTATGTTTGGATTAACAAGCCTGTAATTTGGTGGTCAGCTTAATATCTCCAAAAATATAACAGAACCAGAAAGTATCATTTTTACCACTCTGTGTCTCAGTTGCACATTCAGGCAAGAGGACACCTTTCTGAAATAGATGGACAAGTTCCTTTTACACCTTCCTGCTTGGCCTTTGTCTTTGATCAGTCTGGAATTATTTTCAGAGACCTAGGCGGCCCATGAGTCAAGCAGGGTGGGGTGGAGGGAGACAACTTACGAGAAGTTCAGCATGGGCTGGCCCACGTGGGAGATGTGAACCTCCTCCAGGTACTGGAAGGGCTGCAGTGTGGGGTAGGTCCCGGCTCCAGGTGGGTCCGACAGCCAGGTGCCCAGCATCCAGGACAGTGGCTCCACCACTGGGTTCATCTTGGGGGGCTCTGAGGACAAAAGAATGAGACTATCAGTGGCCTCCCTCCAACCATGCCTTGCTGAGCTTTAAGCAGAATGCACGTTCCATATCGACGCTTGCTTCTGGTGGCCACAGCTAATCCTGGGGGACCTGTCAAGAGCGGGAGAAAATGGTCAAGCAACTGTAAATGTCATAGTGAAAGATCCAGCTTCAGAAGCCTCTGCAGTTCCTGCAGAGAAAAGAGATCCAACAGGGGCCAGGCAGGGCGCAAGCAAAGAGGCCTACACTGCTATCTCCCTAAAAGCAGGCAATTTCTCCACCTGTGGGGTGCAGGTGGTGGGAAGGGATACTGAGGGACCTCAAGGGGCTTTTGCTTTCTTGTACAGTTAAGAATATGAGAACCACATACTAACAGCTTCCTTGTGACCCCAAATAGCTCAGGGGTCCTCCATGTCCTACAGCAAGGCTGAAAGCAGCTCACACGGGAGGCACGGTGCCCTGGCGTGAAGAGTGTGTGAAGGAGACAAAGAGCATCAGGGAGAAAATGAAAGGGGATGCAGGGTCTCGGAGCAGCCAGAGTGTGAGGGCCCAGGGGCAGGCGGGGTTTAAAAGGGAAGTAAGACCCCGCTTCCCTGAGGAGGGGCTGGGGCTTCACAGCAGCCTGTGTAGTGGCCAGGAGACCCCTTTAGAAGGTCTCCTGTGGGGTTCAGTCTCTCATCCCACTAAGTGTGAAGGATGACACCACAGGCCTGGAACTCAGAGGTGGGGGTGCAGTGACAGGACAGCAGGGAGGGGCCGCTGGGTTGGCTGTTCTGCTGGGCGAACTCAAAGGGACCCCTGCTTCCTGCCTCGCTCAGCAAGGACTGGGTGCTCCCGAGCGGCTTTTCAGGATTCACTCACATGACCCTCACCCTGGCTGGATGCACGGGCCCTGCTCTTACTCATTTTCTAAGGGAGACCTGTGCGGGGACCACAGGAAAGCCCCACTGCATGCTACCCATCAGGGGCGCTGGAAGAGAAGGACTGATCCCCAGAGGCAATCCCAAAGACCTGCTTCCCAGGCCTGCTTAACCCTCAAGTCTCAGTGCTTCAATTGACAGAACGGACACTGACACCCAGGAGCAGCAGCAGGGACAGAAGCAGCTCTGTGGCCGCACAAGCCTCATCTACGGAGCCCAAAGATGCCCAAGCACAGAGACCGGCCTGCACATCAGGACTGACCCCCGGCGTCTCCTCCAGGCCCGCGCAAGCAGAAGACGGACTGACGGGGACAGGATCAGGACTGACCCCCAGTGTCTCCTCCAGGCCCGCGCAAGCAGAAGACGGACTGACGGGGACAGGATCGGACTGATGCCCAGTGTCTCCTCCAGGCCCGCGCAAGCAGAAGACGGACTGATGGGGACAGGATTGGACTGACCCCCAGTGTCTCCTCCAGGCCCGCGCAAGCAGAAGACAGCTGACGGGGACAGGATCAGGACTGACCCCCGGCGTCTCCTCCAGGCCCGCAAAAGCAGAAGACAGACTGATGGGGACGGGATCAGGACTGACCCCCAGTGTCTCCTCCAGGCCCGCGCAAGCAGAAGACGGACTGACGGGGACAGGAGTTCTTGGAACCATCGCAGCTTCTGAAATTACACAACCTTTGGATTATAAATTCCAGGAAGTCTGGGAAAAGAAGATCGGGGGAAAGGAAAGCAAAGGCTCTGGGGGTGGAGGAGACCACGTCCAAGAACAGCTTGGAACCAAGGAGGGCCGCACATGTGGCCTGGCCCAGTGGCCGAGCCCTGGGGCCCAGAGTGAGAACCGAGGGTGGAGAGCAGGTAATGAGCACTCTGCCTGCTGGCTGCACAGGGCAAACATAGGTGACCTGAAGCAGGAGAGTGGGAGAGTCCGCTCCTTTTCCAGACTGGCCTGTGGTCTTTCAGTATTTCCTTTTTTGTTTTTCTTAAATGATGATTTAAAAATTTTTTATATCAGTATTTCCTCCTCAGACTCCCGGTGAAAAGTGGGAAGGTGAGGATGGGAATATTTGGACTTCAATAAAACTTTCCTAATTAGACAATAAGAGAATTTTTAAATCAAGATTTTCGTTGCAATCTTTCACGGAGATAAGGAATAGAAGCTTCTGAATCCAATGTGTGGCCTCTGGAACGAGGCTTGTGATCTATCATAGCTGATCAATTCTTTCATCATTCAACGTGCTGGACACTCTTCCAGGGAGAAGCTGACGGAACAGTCATACATCCCTACGGAGCATACATCCTAGCGAGGGCAGACAATACACAAGAAATGAGTGAATGATGCAGAACTGAATGTACATTAGGAGATGAGGCAGAAAGGGAGACAGGGCTGTTGGGGCACTGTGAAAACCTACCCAAAAGGGACAAGGACACCCTCCCTGAGAAGTGTGCACAGACCAGGCAGGGGATCAGGGTCCCTGCAGCTACCCTGGAGAAGAGCAGACCAGGTGGAAGTGCCAGAGACGGAGGTCCTGGGTACGTAGGCCTGGTCTTGCTGGAGAGGAACAGGAGGCCAGTGTGGCCAGGGGAAGGAGATCCTCACCCCTCGGAAGGGCCGTGACCTTGACTCTGAGCAGACAGAAGCCCTCGAGAAGGCTGAGTGGGAGGGACGAGGTCTCTGACTGCAACCACAGGAAGCCAGGGAGGGCAATGGCAAAAACCCTTGTGGCAGAGGAGGGTGGCCTGGGCCAGGTGGCCGTGGTGGAGGCAGTGGAAAGGACCTAGCTTCTGGATCTATCTTGAAGGCAGAGCCACCCGGATGTGCTGATGGTTTGGATGTGAAACACGTAAGAAAAGATGGTAACGGAGGTTTCTGGCCTGAGCAATTGAGAAGACAAGTTACCATTAATGGAGAAAAGGAAGAATGAGAAGAACCTTGGGAGGTGTGAAACAGCAAAACTCAGTCACCTGGGATAGCCCAAGTCCTAAGATGGGCTAAACAAACACCATAATTTCTCAGACAGCCAGCTATAGCCTTGGAGACCTTTCAGTTTGGTAGACTTTATCCAGCTCAGCACTGAAAAGAAAGAGGCTTTGGGCCGGGCGCAATGGCTCACTGAACCTGTAATCCCAGCACTTTGGGATGCCGAGACGGGCAGATCACCTCAGGTCAGGAGTTTGAGACCAGCGTGGCCAACGTGGTGAAACGCTGTCTCTATTAAAAATACAAAAATTAGCCGGGCGTGGTGGCACACGCCTGTAATCCCAGTTACTCGGGAGGCTGAGGTACAAGAATTGCTTGAACCCGGGAGGCGGAGGTTGCAGTGAGCCGAGGTCGTGTCACTGCTCTCCAGCCTGGGCGACAGAGACGTTTTCTCAAAAAAAAAAAAAGAAAGAAAGAGGCTTTGCAAACCTCAGGTTTTTGGGCCGGCTCTCTGGCCTGTGCGGAGCACACCCCACAGCGACTGCCACGGGGCTCTGGCTCTCCTGGGACCGGGTGGACCCACTTCCACTGGTGAGCGCAGCCTGCATGGGAGCTGAACCCTGTGGGAAGCGGCACCCCGGGCGCTGGGGAGCAGCGATCCAGAGTCCAGGTTCTGAGCTGCTGCACCGGGGCCGCGATCTCCACCCCTCACGCCCGAGTCCCCGGCACGGCCACCACCGGCCCCTGGGTCCCGAGGGCCCCGAGGAAGAGGCCAAGGGGCCTGGCGGCGCCCCCCAGGGTCCCAGTGGAACAGGGGCACCAGGGCCGCGGCGCCGGGCATGGCCTTCACACTCCCCACGAGGCAGGACAGCCCCGGGCTAGGGTGAGGGGCACGCGCCGCAAGTCCTGCCTCTGCTCCCGGGCGGCCCCCTCCAGCCTCCGCCGGCCCCGCCCCGGAAGCGCAGCCCCGCCTCAGGCGCCGCATCTCCGCCCTCTCTTGCGCCTGCGGGACCGGGAGGGCCGCGCTCGCCCCCCAGCGCCAGGGTCACGCCACCGCGCCCTGTTTGGGGAGCGGCAGAGGAGTCAGGGCGGAGGCTGGGCGGCGCTGGGCGGTGGGGCGCGCTCACTGGCTGCCACCTCACCTAGCAGGCGTCACAGGGCTCACTCAAGAGCTCCAGCAAGAGCAGAGGCGGGAGCCTCGCCAGCCCCTCCACAGACCACAGCGACCGCGCCCCTCGGCCCGGAGGCCCCGCCCTCCCCACTCCTGCTTCCCCAGCCACGGGGTCTTCTCCCGGCCCCTCATCTACTTGGCAGACGCCTCTCACCGGCAGCCTCTGCCTCCCCCTGGTCTTTCCCTCCCACCACCCACCGTGGAGTCCTCTCCGGGAGGCCCTGTCCTCCATCCAGCGCTCCTCAGAGGGGACCGGAGAGGAGGCGCTCCTTAAATGGGGAAGAAAGACGGACAGAGCCAGGGACAGCGAGAGACGGGACGGGGACAGAGACACAGAGACAGAGAGACAGGGCCAGAGAGACACGGGGATGGGGCCAGAGACGGGGCCAGAGACAGAGACACAGAAAGGGATCTTACTCTTTCTTCCCTTAAAACCAGCTTCTGGGGGTCTCCGAGGGGGACTCTCAGGTAAGTAACAATATTATCACCTTCCCTCCCAAGAATTAAAAAAAACAAAAATAACGAAAAAACCTTTTCCCTGAACTTGATTTTGAGGGAAAATAGGTCACAGATACAACCCACAGCCACCAAAACACACATACGGATGCTGTGAGAAGTGGTGGGTCAGTGCCTCGCTGGAGGACAGGAGGGGCCTCTGGGAGCTGGGGGGGTGGCCCCTGAGAAGCCTCAGGGTCTGGCCTGGCTCAGAGGCCTGGGGCGGAGTGGGGAGCCCTGGACTTGGGAAGCCTGGAGGCTCTTCTGGCCCCCGCTCTGCCACAGGGAGCTCCTGCAAACAGCAGGCCCAGGGCACCCCACGCGTCTGCCCAGGACACCCCAGGTGTTCGCCCAGGTGCTGAAGGCCCAGGCTGGCCTCCATGCAGGGTTACCCACCACCCGCCATAGAGAAGTAATGCGCCACTCCGAAAGAAAGGGGTGCTGCCGGCTGGACGCAGTGGCTCACGCCTATAATCCCAGCACTTTGGGAGGCCAAGGCGGGTGGATCATCTGAGGTCAGGAGTTCGAGACCAGCCTGGCCAACATGGTGAAATCCCATCTCTACTAAAAATATAAAAAACTAGCCGGGCGTGGTGGCGGGTGCCTGTAGTACCAGCTACTAGGGAGGCTGAGGCAGGAGAATGGCATGAACCCCGGAGGCACAGGTTGCAGTGAGCCGAGATTGTGCCACTGCACTCCAGCCTGGGTGACAGGGTGAGACTCTGTCTCCAAAAAAAAAAAAAAAAAAATTAAGAAAGAAAGGCATGCTGCTCCTGAAGACCTTCTGCTTCTCCAGCAATGGACTAATGGACTCTAAGACACTGCCTGAGTTCAGAGATGGACAAAAGGTGACAAGACACCAAGTGTGAACAAGAGCAGCAAAACATACAAACTGCAAAATGTTGATGGGGCAAAGGTGAAACTAAGAGAAAGGGTCTTGCTCAGTCACCCAGGCTGGAGTGCAGTGGCATGAATACGGTTCACTGCGGCCTAGACCACTGGGGCTCAAGTGATTCTCCCGCCTCAGCCTCCCGAGTAGTTGAATGAAGCTGCTCCATGAAGAAAGACCACTAACTAAACATGTAAGAACTCAGGAGAGAAACGGCAAGGAAAGAGGAGAAGGTGAAACATGACCTGGCAGAAGTCGAGAAAGTAAAAGAAAAAAAATCAAGCCACCACCCAAATGAAGTGGAGATTGGAAGCAGCACAGGGAGAAACAAACACCGGGAAACACAGCGGAACACAGAGGACAGAAATGAGTTAAAAAAAAAGACAAAAGATAGAGAAATGGAAACAAAGTTAGAAGGACGGGAACGCCTGGCACACTGCTGATGGGGACGTGAACTGGCACAGCCTAGTGAAGACCATCTGGCATGTGCCTGAGAGGTTAAGTGTGGAGCAGTGGCCCAGGACTGCCACTCCTGGAGACATGCACTCCCAGCAGAAATGACACACCTGTCCCCACAGGACGCTGCCCATGAATGTTTACAGCAGCACCATTCCCAACAGCCCCAAAGTGGAAACAACACAGATGTCCGTCAACCAATGAGTAAACAAACTGCAGTATATCCAGACAATGGAATGTTATTTGGCCATAAAAATGAAGCACTAATATAAGCTGCAATTCAAATGGCCCTTGACAACACACCATATGAAAGCAATCAGGCTCAAAAGAGCACATATTCTGCAATTCCATTTCTGTGAAAGGTGCAGAACACACACATCTACAGAGACAGAACGTGGGTCAGTGTTTCTCCACAGCTGCGTTCTGTGGCAGAAGACGCTAGAGTCACACGTAGAAGGCGCATGAGGAGGGAAGGTGAGTGGCAAGGATGCTACGGCTGGCCACAGCGATCCTTCCAGATTGCAGGCGCGTGAGCTGGCTCACTGACACGTGCAGTGAGTGCGAGCTACAAACTAGATTCCGAAAACTCAGTCCAAAAAGTCTTCAAATAATTCAATAATCTTATAGTATGGGTGGTTGCCTGTTGAAATAATTTTTAGATAATATCGGGTTAAATAAAATATATTATTAAAATCGATTTCACTTGTTTCTTTTTACCTTTTTAATGTAGCTATTAGAAAATATTAAACTACATAAGAGACTCACTCTCTAGACCTTTTCGACAGTGCAGGAATGGAGTTTTCAACCCTTGGCACCCAAGGAGCTTTGTTTCTATGTCTTCTCCCTGAGGACATTACCAGCAGCTGGATGTCATCAGGAGACAATAGGGAAATGATGCGGAAAGAAACCTCCGTAAACACTGAATGTACTAAGCCAAAAAAAAAAAAAAAGCGGTTATAGAAACAACAAAAAAAAACTGGTTATAGGTGGTAGATGCCTGGTCGTACAGGCATGACACTCAACTCATAGGACCCTTGAAGGGGCAGAACTCCCCACTGGTCTTGTCCCTGAGAGCTGACACCACAGAGGCTTACAAATGAAGTAGCAGTGGAAGATTTCATTTTAAAAACTGGGCCGGTTGCAGTGGCTCATATCTGTAATCCCAGCCCTTTGGGAGGCCGAGGAGGGTGGATTGCCTGAGCTCAGGAGTTTGAGACCAGCCCAGGCAACATAGCAAAACACTGTCTCTACCAGAACTACAAAAAATTGGCTGGGCGTGGTGGCACGTGCCTGTCGTCCCAGCTACTCAGGAGGCTGAGGTGGGAGGATCGCTTGGGCCTGGGAGGCAGAGATCGCAATGAGCCGAGAGCACATCACTACACTCCAACCTGGGTGACAGAGCGAGACCCTGTCTCAGAAACAAAACAAAAACAAAACAAAAAAAAGTAAAACACAACAAGCATAATATAAAATAAGATGACAGAACCAAGACTAAAAATGCTTGAACTTACATATGAAAAAGCTTTTCAAGGCCGGGCATGATGGCTCATACCTATAATCCCATAACTTTGAGAGACCGAGGTGGGTGGATTGCTTGAGTCCAGAAATTCGAGACCAGCCTGGGCAACATAGTGAAACCCCATCTCTACCAGAAATACAAAAAAATTAGCCAGGCATGGTGGTGCGTGTCTGTAGCCCCCGCTACTTGGGAGGGTAGGTGGGGAGAATCACTTGCGCCCAGGAGGTTGAGGCTGCAGTGAGCCAAGATCGCGCCACTGCACTCCAGTCTGGGCAACTGGAGAGACACCCTGCCTTGAGAAAAAAAAAAAAAAAGGCTTTTCAGATTGGACCACAAAGCAAGACCCTCACCTCTTTTGCTGTAAATGAGAGATGCACCTAAAATAAAGCAATTCAGAGAGAGAGTCCAGAAAGCTGGGCAATAAGCAATAAGGAAGCAGGCTTCCCAATCTTAGCATCACGTAAAATGCATGGAACTAGACAAAGAATGGCTCTCCCGAATGAAGGGCAGAATGCACAATGAAGACGTAACCGTGAGGGATACTCATGCACCAAGCACAGCAACATCTATAAAGCAGAAATTACTGATGACACACGAAGATGTCGAGAGAAAGAAACTAAATGAAATTGCAATTCACCTCTAAGTCTGAATGAATACAAATAAAACAAAATTCCCAAATAATATAATTAATAAGGTAGTTCTGACTGATACATATTGAACTCTGTAGCTTAAAACTAGGGAATACCGCCGGGCGCAGTGGCTCACGACTGTAATCCCAGCACTTTGGGAGGCTGAAGTGGGTGGATCACCTGAGGTCAGGAGTTCGAGACCAGCCTGACCAACATGATGAAACCCCGTCTCTACTAAAAACACACAAAAAATTAGCCGGGTGTGGTGGTGCATGCCTGTAATCTCAGCTACTCGGGAGGCTGAGGCAGGAGAATCGCTTGAAACTGGGAGGCAGAGGTTGCGGTGAGCCGAGATTGCACCATTGCACTCCAGCCTGGGTGACAAGAGCGAAACTCCATCTCAAAACAAAAACAAAAACAAAAACAAAAACAAAACTAAGGAATGCCTTCTTCAAGTTCCTCTGGAACAGTCATGCAAACTGGCCTTCTAAATGGTCAAAGAAAGCCTGTAAGTTCCAGAAAGCAGAAAGAAGTCTACTGTCTGATCACAATGCAGTGAGACTAGAAATGAAAATCAATCAGGTGTCCCTTGAAAACACTGCGCGAAAAGAAAGAAGCCAGACAAAAACGTATATATTCTATGATTCCAATTAGATGAAATTCGAGACCAGGCAGAAAGGATGGAGGGTGGGGAATCTGAACGGTGACGGGGAGGGGCTTGGAGGGGAGTGCAAAGGAGAACCTGGACCGCTGGACGTGGGTGTGGCTGCACAAGCGCCTGCACCTGCCAAAACTCACCACGGGAACACCTAGGAGCTTGTGTTTCACTTATGCGAATTACACCTCAATAAAAATGTTATAAAGAAAAACCTCCCCAAACAAATTAATATTTCAAAAAGCAGAAAACTTAAAAAAACTAAAAGCATTTTATCCCAAGAGTGTTTACTATGTTACTGCAGCACAGGGTTCTGGGTGGCCTCAGAGCAGGGGATGTGGTGGGGAGTGAGGTCGGCCTCACAGCTCAGGGCCTTGGCTCCTGGCCCCAGGGTCTGCTGCCATCCAAGCTGCAGCACCTACTGCAGATCTAATATTTCGAGAAAAGCCAGAAGCTGATTTTAGGCTAAAATATCCCAATTTCTAAACATCTGTTCAAATTAAAACAAATGACACCACTGTGGTGTGAGTCGCATACCTTGGGGCAGGTGCAGAGGGCCAGAGAGGGCTGGAGCCACACACAGCGCCCTGCCCGGTGCCTCTCACCTCCCACCTCTCCTCTTCACTCCTCTCTTCTCCCAGGTGGGAGTGAGGACGCCACTGGCAGCCACCCAGCACATCCCCGTGCCCCAAGCCCACGGTTCCCGACACATCAGGAGAGCTCTTCGCCGCCCTCAGCCGTGTTTCTGAGTAGGTTTCGCGTTCCTCAGGATGCTGGGGAGCTGGTTCTAGACACAGGCCCAGCCCGGCTGGCCTGGAAGCAAGGAGGGCGCCCATGGGGACACACTCTGCCCCAGTCCTGCAGCTGGAGCAGCCCAGAGCCCCTGCCACAAGACGCCTGGGAGAACTCAGTCAGGGGGCTGGCAAGGACAGGTGAGCACAGCTGGCTCCTCAGAAGAACTGGGCTTATCTGAAGTCTGGTCAAGTTGAACTGGACCATCTATTCCCCCAAGTGGGCCTGGATGGGCCAGAACCTTTTACGTAGGAGGGACGTGGCCCGGGCTTTCTGCCTCGACGACTAGCCCAAGGGAGATGGAAATGAGAGTGAGATAAGAGGGATGGGTGGGCTGGAGATGGCCAGCAGCTGGCATTGCTGGCAGCTTGGAAGGCGACCCGTGACATCAGTGAGAAGGGCGGGTGCAGGCGCACGAGAGCTGAGGGCGAGCCCTGGCATCAGGACCAGAGAGGCCCACCACAGAGCGGGTAAGCAGTGGCACCTGAGCAGGGGGATGGTGTCCTGGTAAGAACAGGTAGGGAGAGGCTGCCTCAAAAATTCTGGCTAAAAGTGAGCTTTTGAGTGGACTTTGCTATGTGCATGCCAGGTCAGGGAAGCAAGTCCCGCGGGCCCTGGAGAGAAGCTACCCTGCAGGCGGCTGCTGCTTCAGGGGCACAGGGCCCACACCACACTTGGGGACAGGACAGGACGCAGCACTTATGTGGCAATTTCTTTTTAAAAAACTAGAGAATTCTAAGATAGCTCTGAAATTCAGAAGAAACGCTTTTGAGCAGAAAAAATAACATCAGACTGGAAAGGAAGGAGCACGCGGCTAAGCAACTAGATGGAGGCTTACGGCTGTGAGCAACTAATGGCTGTGAGAAATACTTCCCTTCCTGTCGCCCTCCTGGCTTGCTGTTATTTGCTCTGAATCTTAATGGAGTTTAATTTGGACAGGGACAACAGGTCAGGCAGTAAACAAGCAGCGGCGGCGCCTCCTTCTGTCTACACTGCACCTCACCAGGTTAACCTGCTCCTGGGGCCGCTCCCCCTGCACCCTCCACCACTTCGGGCCGCGTGGAACGTGGCAGCAGCCTAGCCACTGTCCCTCCTTGTTGTCACTGAAGCATGGGTGGGGGTGAGGACGACCAGTAAGAGAATTTTAGAATCCAAACATCAGGTTACTTGAGCCTAGATATATGTTAAGATCCATCAAACTGTGACCTCAATATCTGTGTATTTTACTCTCTGTAAATTATACTTCATTAGAAAAAAATAAATTTAAACATGAAACAAAAAATACTATAAAGGACCTAGTCTATTTGTCACTTTCCACCTCTTTAAATAAACCAGACAGGCTTTTCTAGGCATTTCTTTTCTGATTTCATTTTTCTTTTATTGAAATCTCAACCAAAACACAAAAACAAAAATTTAAATTTCCTGCAAGAAATTTAAATTTTCATGTTTTGGCCCAAGACACTGAAAGCAGGCTTACCCATCCCTAAGTTTTCTAAACTCCGGACACTCGTCAAGGTTCCTCAAGGTTGTTTTCTGCCAATTGACGGGAAATGTTTGCACCTGGCTCTTAATGGCTCTGCAGGAAGTGAATGCTAACTTTAAATGGTGCATTCTGGGAATTGTAGTTCCACTATGAAAGATCACGTCTCAGAAGAAAGTAAAAGACAATGACAGCCCAGATCACAGAATTTCAGAGCTGGAAGGAGCTTTGGAGGTTAGGTGAATTTTATGAAAGAGGGACTGGCCAGAGGTCTGGGCGGAGTGACGAGTGCGGCTTCTACCCTCAGCCTCCTCCACCAGCTACAGCAGAGGAAGGCAACACCACAGAGACAGGCACATCCTAAATGCTTTCTCTCTCCAGAGCAGTCCCTCTGGCCACCCCTGGCATGTCCTTTTCTGTCTCCTAGAGGGTGGCTGGAGACTCATCTTCACCTGGACATGGAGGCTCCAGAGACTGTCCTGTCTCCTGGCAAGCGGCCCGGGAACCCAGGACAGGAAGTGAGCAAATGCACCCACTGGGACCTGGGGACGGCTCCTTCCTGGAGCTCCCACCCTCACATCTCTTTGTGTTAGTGACACGTTGTTTCCTGCCAAGGCACACACAGAAAGGGACACTTACTGCTTAGTACAACAGGGTGCATGGAAGCTGAGGGTGCGCGGCCCGCACCAGCTGTCCCAAGGTGGGGAGGAGCTGTCCAGGAACACCGTGATATGTTTGGGTCCACTGACAAGGCATACCAGCAGGGAACTGTTGTTTTAAAGTGACATCAAGGCCCTCAACTTATCAACCATGAAACGGAAGGAGTTGCATGCCCAGGGGAAAAACAGAAATCATGATGGAGAGAAAATACAGCAAGTATTTCTATAAAATATAAAAAGGCCATAAAGTGGATACAAATAATTTGCAAATGTTATGTTTGATTTCCTCGTTAATCTGAGTCTCAATTGAAGAACTATTAGAATCTACAAGTGAATTTGATAAGATGGCCAATTACTAAAATGGGTAGCTTTCCCACACGCTAGCAATAACCGAAAAATAATGGGTGGGGAGTAAGCTTCCGGTTTCCACTCTCACATGTAAAGAGCTTAGGAGTCATATACCACAGCCTTAAAACAACAGCAAAAAACACTGAAAGAAGTGAAAATCAACAACTTTTCTTGGATCCATAAGGAAGTGAGGTCACAGATGTCTCTCCTGCCACAGAGAATAGCAGTGAGATCAGCTCACGTGGAGCAGAATCTACAGTCTACAGGGGAAGGAACTGGTGGGAACTTGATTTGGACAAAATGCTGGAGGCTGAACATGGCAGGTGTGAGAATCTCCTGGGGTCCTACATTTTCATAGGTTTCACCTCCAGGAACCCCATCAGGTTCTCCCCACGAAAAGCCAAGAAAAAAAAAAACACCTCATGTCTCTGGGATGAGGAGGGGGAGGTGACCACCTTGAAATGAGCCCAGAGCGTTCTCCAGGCAAAGGCCAGGCCTGCTCTGTAGCGAAGCTGACTTCACCAGGACCTCATCTCAGCTGGGAAGGGCATTTCACTGCTCCAGCCCCACCAGTCTTCCGTCTCACCCAAGCGGGGAGGAGAAAGGGAAAGACACGTGTGAAGGTCACGGCTCAGGGACACGGGCCACTGAAGGGCTTAAATCGAGTCACAGGCTGGAGCCTGCTTCCCCTCCCAGCCCTGCAGGCTCCAGCATAACATCCTGGGTGGGAGTGGAAAGGGCCCAGGCGCAGGCTGTGGAAGGCATGCTCGGAGAAACTCCACGACAACAGGGAGACAAAACAAGGACACTCGAGGAATTTTACAGCCACTGCAGGATTAAACACAGCCCGAGTGCCAGCCAGGTTAAGGGGATGGATGCCCTCCAAACAAGGCACACTTACTTCACCTTTCAGTCAAGCAGCACTTACTGATGGGGGATGCGTTGACAAACACGTCATGAGGCAAGTTCATCATTGTACAAACGTCACAGAGTGCACTTACCGCGTACCACGCACCTAGGCTGTATGGCACAGCCTGTGCTCCCAGGCTACACACCCCAGTGTGTTACTGAATACTGTAGGCAGTTGTAACACAGTGCCAAGGGTGTGTGTACCTAAAACACATCTAAACATAGAAAACCTACAGTAAAAATATGGCATAAGAGACAAAAAATGGTTCACCTGCATAAGGCACTTACCAGCACTGGAGTGTGCAGCATGGGCAGTTGCTCTGGGTGAGTTGGTGAGTAAGTTGGTAAGTGAGGGGTGAGGGGTGAGTGAGTCGGTGAGTGAAGGGTGAGTGAGTCGGTGAGGGGTGAGTGAGGGGTGAGTGAGTTGGTGAGTGAGGGGTGAGTGAGTCGGTGAGTGAGGGGTGCGTGAGTCGTGAGTGAGGGGTGAGTGAGTTGTGAGTCGTGAGTGAGGGGTGAGTGAGGGGTGAGTGAGGAGTCGGTGAGTGAGGGGTGAGTGAGGGGTGAGTCGTGAGTGAGGGGTGAATGAGGGGTGAGTGAGGGGTGAGGGGTGAGTGAGTCATTGAGTGAGGGGTGAGGGGTGAGTGAGTCGGTGAGTGAGGGGTGAGTGAGTCAGTGAGTGAGGGATGAGTGAGGGGTGAGTTGGTGAGTGAGGAGTGAGTGAGGGGTGAGTGAGGGGTGAGTGAGTCGTGAGTGAGGGGTGAGTGAGTCGGTGAGTGAGGGGTGAGGGGTAAGTGAGTCGGTGAGTGAGGGGTGAGGGGTGAGTGAGTCGGTGAGTGAGGGGTGAGTGAGTCGGTGAGTGAGGGGTGAGGAGTGAGTGAGGGGTGAGTGAGTCGGTGAGTGAGGGGTGAGGAGTGAGTGAGGAGTGAGTGAGGGGTGAGGGGTGAGTGAGTCGTGAGTGAGGGGTGAGTGAGTCGTGAGTGAGGGGTGAGTGAGTCGGTGAGTGAGTCAGTGAGTGAGGGGTGAGTGAGTCGGTGAGTGAGGGGTGAGGGGTGAGTGAGTCAGTGAGTGAGGGGAGAGTGAGTCGGTGAGTGAGGGGTGAGGGGTGAGTGAGTCAGTGAGTGAGGGATGAGTGAGGGGTGAGTGAGTTGGTGAGTGAGGAGTGAGTGAGGGGTGAGTGAGGAGTGAGTGAGGGGTGAGTGAGTCGGTGACTGAGGGGTGAGTGAGTCAGGAGTGAGTGAGTCGGTGAGTGAGGGGTGAAGGGTGAGTGAGTCAGTGAGTGAGGGATGAGTGAGGGGTGAGTGAGTCAGTGAGTGAGGGGTGAGTGAGTCGGTGACTGAGGCAGTGACTGCGGCGGTGAGTGAATGCAAAGGCCTGGGAGATGACTGTACACTATGGTAGACTTTCTCAATACTGCACAGAGGCTACACTAAATCGATTAAAAAAAATTGTACTACGATGTTACAATGGCTACAATGTCACTAGGTGACAGGACTCTCTCAGCTCCATTATAATCTTACGGGACTACCATGGTGTATGTGGTCTGTCATTGACCAAAACATCATCATGTAGCACACGGCTGGATCTGATATTTCATGTCTACTTTGCAACCAAAAATAACGAGACATGCTAAAAGGCAAAAAAAAAAATCTGAAGAGAGAGAGTGAGCATCAGAACCAGACTCAGGTACGGCAGAGATTTTAGAATTACCACACGGAGAAATTAAAATTACTGGTTAGTTTGGGGACAGTGGCTCACCTCTGTAATCCCAGCACTTTGGGAGGCCAAGGTGGGTGGATCACTTGAGGTCAGGAGTTCGAGACCAGCCTGGCCAACATGGTGAAACCCCATCTCTACTAAAAATACAAAAATTAGCTGGGCGTGGTGGCGGGTGCCTGTAATCCCATCTACTCGGGAGGCTGAGGTAGGAGAATTGCTTGAGCCCAGGAAGCAGAGGTTGCAGTGAGCCGAGACTGTGCCACTGCACTCCAGCCTGGGCAACAGAGCAAGACTCCATCTCAAAATAATAGTAATAATAATAAAATCAGTACAATTAATATGCTAAGGGCTCTAATGGAAAAAGTGGGTGATAGGCAAGAAAACATGGGCAATGTAAGAGGAGTGATGGACAAAAGAACAAAAAGGAAATTGCTGCAAACCAAAAATGCTAACTGAAATGAAGAATCTCTAAGGGCTCATCAATAGGATGGATATGGCTGAAGAAAGAATCACTGAGTTGAAGATATGTCAATAGAAACTTCCCAAACTGAAATGCAAAGAGAAAAAAACGGAAAAAAAAAATCAGAATATTGGAGAATTGTGGGGCAAAAGTGTTACATGAGCATAATGGGAATGCCAGAAAGAGATAAAAGGAGCAGAAGTATTTGAATTAACCATAGTTCAGAGTTTTCCAAAATTATCGATGACACCAAACCACAGATCCAGGAAGCTCGGAAAACATCAAGCAAGATAAATACCAAAGAATCTACACATAGGCATGTCATACTCAAACTGCAGAAAACCAAAGACTAAGAGAATCAAAAGGAAAAAAAATCCTTACATGTAGAGCAGAAAGAATAAGAATTACAGCAGACTTGTCAGAAACCACGCAAGCAAAAAAAAAAACCAAACCAAACCAAAAACGTGCAACTCTACATCCAGTGAAACTATTCTTCGGGTGCAAAGGAGAAGTAAAGAACTTACTTTTTTCCCATTTTTTTCTAAATCTCTGAAAAAGAAACTCAATATAAAGACTTATTTACGCGGGCGCGGTGGCTCACGCCTGTAATCCCAACACTTTGGGAGGCCAAGGCGGGTGGATCGCCTGAGGTCAGGAGTTCGAGACCAGTCTGGCCAACGTGGTGAATCCCTGTCTCTACTAAAAATACGACACTGGGGCTGGTGGCGGGCGCCTGTGATCCCAGCTACTTAGAAGGCTGAGGCAGGAGAATTGCTTGAGCATGGGAGGTGGAGGTTGCAATGAGCTGAGATGATCACGCCACTGCACCCCAGCCTGGCGACAGAGCAAGGCTCTGTCTCAAACAAAACAAAACAAAAAACAAACAAAAAAATTTCTTTAAATAAAAACAGAGAATTCACTGGCAGTACCTCTTCCCTTTGAGAAATATTAAAAGTTCTTCAGGGAGAAGGAATATGATATACGTCAGAAACTAAAATGTATGTAAAAAAAGGGAGAGCATCAGAGAGAAGTAAGTGAAGGTAAAATAAAATCTTTTCTTATTCTTAATTGACCTAACAGAAAACAAACAAAAAAAAAGTTTTCTTTTTTTGAGATAGGGTTTTGTTCTGTTTCCCAGGCTGGAGTGCAGTGGCATAATTACGGCTCACTGCAGCTTCAACCTCCGGGGCTCAAGCGATCCTCCTACCTCAGCCTCCTGTGAAGCTGGGACTACAGGTGTGCATCACCATGCCTAGCTAATTTTCTTATTTTTTTTTGTAGAGATGGGGTCTCACTATGTTGCCCAGGCTGGTCTCAAACTCCTGGGCTCAAGCAATCCTCACACCTCAGCCTCTCAAAGCTGAGATTACAGGTGTGAGCCACCTCACCTGGCCCTGAATATATGTTGACTATAAGAAACCCACTTTGAGGCCAGGCACGGTGGCTCACGGCTGTAATCCCAGCACTTTGGGAGGCCGAGGCGGGCGGATCACAATGTCAGGAGATCGAGACCACCCTGGCCAACATGGTGAAACCCCGTCTCTACTAAAAATACAAAAATTAGCTGGGTGTGGTAGTGCATGCCTGTAATCCCAGCTACTCAGGAGGCTAAGGCCTCCTGAATCACTTGAACCAGGGAGTCGGAGGCTGCAGTGAGCCAACGTTGCACCACAGCACTCCAGCCTGGTGACACAGTGAGACTCTGTCAAAAATAATAATAATAATAAAAATAAAACAACAACAAAAAAACCCCACTTTGAATATAAAAACATAGATTAAAAGTAAAGGGATAGGCCAGCATGGTGGCTCACGTCTGTAATCCCAGCACTTTGGGAGGCTGAGCCAGGCAGATAGCTTGAGCTCAGGAGTTCCAGACCAGCTTGGGCAACATGGCAAAACCCTGTCTCTACAAAACATACAAAAATTAGCAGGGCATGGTGGCACGCATCTGTAGTCCCACCTACTTAGGAGGCTAAGTGGGAGGATCACCTCAGCTCAGGAGGCGGAGGTTGCGGTGAGCCAAAATCATACCAGTGCCCTTCAGCCTGGGTGTCAGAGCAAGACCCTGTCTCAAGAAAGAAAAAAGGAAAAAAAAAAAGAGAGAAGGTACAAATTATTGATATCATTTAAAAAAAAAAGAAGGGAGGGGGTCAATCACTGTTAATCCCATGGCCATTAAAAGCTTAATAGAGCAGTATCATAAACACTTCCATGCCCACAAATTTAATCATATAGATGAGATGGACCAATTCTCTGAAAGATACCTCCACCAAAACTCACACAAGAAGAAATAGATAATCTGAACAGGCCTATATTGAATATATGGAAAAAAACAATCTCTTTCTCTATACGCACACTCAGGACACTTCTGTGGCCACATGCAGGTCTTTTCCCACACTGACCAATTCTCTGATACCATTTGGGTGTCCTGCACGTCAATTCAGTTCTGACACGAACTGGAGTTCGTGCACATCCCACAGGTTAAGGGCTCAGTCCCACAAGACTGCCCCCATCTGAGGACGATGGCAAGTAGTGGGTCCCAGGTTACTCACAGCCTCTGCCCCACCTGGCTACAAATCCAGGCTTCCCACAGCCCTTTCCCTGGGTTTGATAATCTGCTAGGAGGCTCTCAGAACCCAGAAAAAGAGTTTATTTACTAATACCAATTTATTACAAAGGATATTTTAAAAGACACAAATAGCCAGGCGTGGTGGCTCACGCCTATAATCCCAGCACTGTGGGAGGCTGAGGCGGGCAGATCACGAGGTCAGGAGATCGAGACCATCCTGGCTAACAAGGTGAAACACAGTCTCTACTAAAAATACAAAAAATTAGCTGGGTGTGGTGGCGCGTGCCTGTACTCCCAGCTACTCAGGAGGCTGAGGCAGGAGAATCGCTTGAACCCAGGGGGCAGAGGTTGCAATGAGCCGAGATCGCGCCACTGTACTCCAGCCTGGCAACACAGTGAGACTCTTTCTCAAAAAAAAAAAAAAGATACAAATAAACAGTCAGAGGAAGAGCTCAGGGAGAGGTCTGGAAGGGTCTCGGGCAAGGGGCGTCTGTCCCTGTGGAGTTGGGGTGCACCATCACCTCATCCAGCACACAGATGTGTTCACCAACCTGGAAGCTCTCCAAATTCTGTAGTTCTGAAGTTTTCATGGAGGCTTAATTACATAGGCATGATCAATTATTAACTCTACCCCATTCCTCTTCCTGCAGGATGGAGGGGGTGGGGCTCAAAGCCCCTAGCTTCTGTTTATGGCTTGGTCTTTCTGGTGAGCAGCCCTCATCTGGGAGCCCCCCAAGAATCACTTTATTAGAACATTCCAAGGGATTAGGAGCTCTGTATGACGAACAGAGCAAAGACCGACTATGAGAACGGAAGGTGGTCGGAGCGCCATTTTGCTCAGGAGACGACAAGGGTTTTAGGAGCTCTGGGCCATATTCTGGGGCAGAGACTAAATATATTTTTTTATTATGTCACAGCATCTATTAAAGAAATGGAATAATTAATAGCTTTCCAAAACAGAAAGCACCAAGCCCTGCTAGCTTCATTGGTGGATTTTACCAAGCATTCAAGGAAGAAATGAAACCAGAAAACAGTAGCAGAGGAAATGCTTCCTAACTCATTCTGTGTGTCCAGCAGGGCCCTAATACCAAAACACGCACACTACAAGAAAACTACAGGCCGGGTGTGGTGGCTCACACCTGTAGTCCCAACACTTTCAGAGGCCAAGCTGGGAGAATCACTTGGACCCAGGAGTTCGAGACCAGCCTGGGCAACAGGCTGGGACCCTGTCTGTACAAAAATATTAAAAAACTAGCCAGTGTGACGGCACGTGTCCATAGTCCCAGCTACTCGAAAGGCTGTGGCAGGTGGGTCACCTGAGCCGAGGAGGTTGAGGCAGCAGTGAGCCGAGGTCACACCTCTGTACTATGCACTCCAGCCTGGGTGACAGAGTGAGACACTGTCTCAAAAAAAAAAAAAAAAAAGGAAAAAGGAAAAAGAGTCCAGGTGTGTGGATCACGCCTGTAATCCCAGCATTTTGGGAGGGTGAGGCAGGCAGATCACGAGGTCAGGAGATCGAGACCATCCATGGCTAACACAGTGAAATCCCGTCTCTACTAAAAAATACAAAAAATTAGCCGGGCGTCATGGCGGGCGCCTGTGGTCCCAGCTACTAGGGAGGCTGAGGCAGGAGAATTGCTTGAACCCGGGAGGTGGTTTTTGCAGTGAGCTGAGATCGTGCCACTGCACTCCAGCCTGGGCAACAGAGCAAGACTCCGTCTCAAAAAAAAAAAAAAAAAAAAAAAAAAAGAAAAAAGAAAACTACAGACAAATATCTCTCATGAACACAGATGCAAAAATCTCTAAGAAAACATTTGCGATTGAATAAAAAAAATGTATAAAAAGAATTATTTGCCATGACCCAGTGAGATCTATTCCAGGTATGCAAGGCTGGCTCTGTGCTCTAAAATTGATTAACGTAACCCGTCACATCAACAGGCAAATCATCTGACCGTAAATCACAGGATCACATTAATAGGTGCAAAAAAATCATCTGACACATTCCAACATCCCATTCATGATAACAGCTCTCAGCAACAGGAATAAATGGGAATTCTGTCAACTTGATAAAGGACATATAAAAAAACTACAGCTTGGTGGCTCACGCCTGTAATCCCAGCACTTTGGGAGGCTGAGGCGGGCAGATCATGAGGTCAGGAGATCGAGACCAGCCTGGCCAACATGGTGAAATCCCATCTCTACTAAAAATACAAAAATTAGCTGGACATGGTGGCACATGCCTGTAATCCCAGCTACTTGGGAGGCTGAGGCAGGAGAATTGCTTTAACCAGGGAGTCGGAGGTTGCAGTGAGCCTAGATATCGCCATTGCACTCTAGCCTGGGCAACAAGAGCGAAACTACGTCTCAAAACAAAAACAAAAACAAAACAAAACAAAAAAACAAAAACCAAAAAACAACAACAAAGTACTACAGCTCACATCATAAGGAGGAAAAAAAACACTGTTATTATTTCTGCTATTTCTTAACAGTTTTTGTTTTTTTTTTTTAGACGGAGTCTCGCTCTGTCACCCAGGATGGAGTGCAGTGGCGTGATCTCGACTCACTGCAACCTCCACCTCCCGGGTTCAAGTGATCCTCCTGCCTCAGCCTCCTGAGAAGCTGGGATTACAGGCACGTGTCACCATGCCCAGCTAATTTTTGTATTTTTAGTAGAGACAGGGCTTCACCCTGTTGGCCAGGCTGGTCTCAAACTCTTGACCTTAAGTGATCTGCCTGCCTCGGCCTCCCAAAGTGTTGGGATTACAGGCATGAGTCACTGAGCCCAGCTAATCTGGATTTTTGAACAACTTTATATTGTGAAAAATCTTGAACATTACAAATTAAACAGATTAGTGTAATAAATCCACACACATGTCCCTAGTTTCACCATTTATCACTCTTCTGACATTCCTGTTTTGTCTGCACTTCTCCAAACTCTTCAGCTTCCATTTATTATTTATTAACAGATTGTTTTTAGGACAGAAAAATCCAGCAGGTAGTACAGAGAATTCCTTCACCCTCTCACCCCCTGCCCTGTTCCCCTATGATTAACATCTTGCATTAGTGTGGGTATGTGTGTCTCAAGTTACGAACCAATACTGATTCATTGCTACAAATAGGGTCCATAGTTTACATTAAGGTTCACTTGTTTTGTACTTGGATTTTGACAATCCAGATTTCAAGAATTATATGTAGATAATGAATCCATAAAGGAATAAAAAGAAAACAGATTTTGAAGCAAGTGTTAAATTGCTGAACTTAGGAAACAGGTGAATAATATTTAACAGGCGTTGGTATCCTTACTGTATCAAGAACGTTTATAACTCAGTGGGCAAGCAAGACCGCGAACACGTGGTTCATAGACGTGCTAACAATGTACCCTCAAGGAATCGCTGCTGGCGGAGAAGAACACTACGTCCACAGAACGCCACCGGGCACTGCCTCTGGAGCGTGGCTTCAACCCACCTCTGAAGCCCACTGGCCCGCATCCTTCAGTTTGGGGAACCTGCCCAAAAGCAGACACTGGCTAGCGAGCTGAATAGACAAGTGTGCGGCGCTTTCCACATAAATCCCTAAAGAATGACCCAAAGAGTCTGTCACTGAAGAACAAATCCACACGGACAGCAAGAACCACAGAGTGCAGACCCCAGGGCCTGCGACGCCGGCGTGACAGACTGCAACCCCAGGGAGAGGATGTCCTCTCCCCACCACACCCTCGCTCCTGCCACCCCTGTGCCCACACCGCATGCCCAGCCGTGGCCTGGCCTCACCTTTGGAGGGGCACAAGGCATGCAGGGTGGTGCCTGCACCTGTCCCTTGCTCTCCAGAGCCTGGCCCTTCACAGCCCTCCCCACTGACACACTCTCTTTGGAGCCACACTCCCTCTGGCTCCTGTCTACTTGCCTCACTCCACTTCACGGCCAAACCTGGCCCTGACCCCTCATCACTGGCCCCCTCTCCGCCCAGCTCCACCAGCCTCTCCAGTGAGATTCCAGTAACCAGCGACCCTGGGAGCACATCCAACCCCCTTCTCTCCACTATCCTGGGGCACATCCAGCCCCCTTCTCTCCATTCTGGTCAGAGTAGCACCCAGCACAGCAAGTCACCCTTCTTTCCTGAACAACCCCTCAGCCTTCCCCTGGACCCGCCTCGGCTGCCCCTCTCTCAGCGAGGCCTGCTCCTGGGCCGGGCACTGAAGCCCAGCCTAGAACCACACTCGACCCCCCAAGGCTTCAAACACCTCTGCCCTCCACCCCCACACTCACATGCCCAAATCCCAGAGGCCAGCTGCTGGCCTCAGACTGCCTGTTCAAACTCTGGCCTCAGCACCCAAGAGCATCTCAAACTCCGTTCCTCACCCCCATCTCCTGCTCCTCCCCAAAAGCCTCTCCCACTTAGCATCCTCCAGGTGCTCAAGCCTAATCCCTGTAGCTGGCCTGCTGATCTTTTGCCTCTCAACCCCCTGAACCCAGCCAGTACTCCAGCATTGCTACCACCGCCACTTCCTCCCTAAAGTCTGAGCCATCGCCATCTACCCTGGGACTGCCACAACAGTCACCAGCGCCCCCCTCAAAACTGTACTGGAATAGGATTTTTTTTTTTTAAAGTCATGGCTGGGTGCGGTGGCTTACCTGGCCAACATGGCAAAACCCCATCTCTACAAAAAAAAAAACAAAAAACAAAAAAAACAAAAAAACAAAAAAACACACAAAAAATTAGCCGGGCATGATGGCACATGCCTGTAGTCCCAGCTACTCAGGAGGCTCAGGTGAGAGGATCGCTGGAGCCCAGGGGGTCGTGGCCGCAGTAAGACGAGATCATGCCACTGCACTCCAGTCTGAGATTGTCTCAAAAAAAAAAAAAAAAAAAAAAAGTCATTAAATACTGCCAAAAAGGAGGGGAAACTTGGATACAGCAAACAATGGTAAATAAAGTAACCAGTAAAATGTATACTTCAATCTAATAATCATGGTTGCTTGATGGGGGAATAAGAAGCACCGGAACTAAGATGACATACAGCCTCCACCTAGGGAAGGTGGCACACAGGACCGATCAGCTCTCAACAGTTACACAAAGAGGGGCTCACGTGTTTGTTTTTAAAACTGAAAGATGGGCTGGGCACAGTGGCTCACAATTATAAACCCAGAGCTTTGGGAGGCTGAGACGGGAAGATCCCTTGAAGCCAAGGGTTCAAGACCAGCCCAGGCAACATAGTAAGACCCTATTGCTACAAAAAATTTTAAAAATTAGCCGGATGTGGTGGTATGTGCCTGTAGTCCCAGCTACTCGAGAGGCTGAGGTGGGAGGATGGCTTGAGCCCAGGAGGTCAAGGCTGCAGTGAGCTGTGATAGGACCACCACACTCCAGCCTGGGTGACAGAGCAAAGCCCTGTCTCTTAAAAAAAAAAAAAGAAAAGAAAAAATTGAAACATATCCACTAGAAGAATAATAAGAAAACGGTGAGGAAGCCTAACAAATTAAAAAGGTAGGCCCGAATTCCCACTTATCAGTAATCACAATTGTAAATGACTAAATTACTCTACAAAAAGACTTTTGGATTGAGTTAAAAATATAACTATAAAATAAGATGAAAAGGTTGAAAATAAGGAAATGAAGAAATAAGACGTTAAACGGGACAAAAAGGAGTTTCTTGTGTTGGTAACAGGAAAACTTATGCATCAAACAGCATGGTCTTGAGGCAGAAAGCAAAACTTGGACATACAAGCAGAAACGGGCACCTCCAGAACCACAGGGGAGGTCTACCTCACCTTTCCTGGAAATCAGCAGACCGAGAGCCTGACAAGAAGCTAGGGAACGCTCTGGTCCGCTGACTAACACAAGTAAGCAAGTGCCCAGCTTCAGGCGGGAACAATATAACCAAGGAGTGGTGAGGATACATTCTTCTAGCACTACACTGCAACAGTCACAAAAAGGGACTGTGTTAGCCACAGTGAAGTCTCAAAGGATTCCAAAAAGCAGAACTCCTTCAGTCCTTACCATTAGACCTTAATGCAATCAAATTTTAAAGTAACTACAAAAAAATTTGCTCCCCTCGCCCAATCTGTGTGCACTGAAAAATCTGTCAACACCCTTTTAAATAACCACAGGGTTAAAGGGGGCATCGAGGCTGGAATTACAAACGACTCAGAAATGAACAGCAACAAAAGCAGAGAGAGGCAGATCCATGGCACGCAGCCCAAGGAACAGCAGAGCCACAGCCTCCATTGCAGGGTTAAGGAACACGCCAGGAACCAGAACTACAAGAAAAAACCCAACAAAGCAAAAAGATGTAAGGATTAACCAGCATAAACAACAACTCAGAGACACGAAGGGCTGGCTGTTTGCAAAAACCTGTAATGGAGACAAACTTCAGGAAGTTTAACCAAGAGGAACAGAGAGAAGCTGTCTAAAGCAGCATTAGCTCTGATAACTACAAACAGCTTTAAAATTCCAAGAGAAGCTGGGAGGCCGAGGCGGGTGGATCACCTGAGGTCGGGAGTTCGAGACCAGCCTGACCAACATGGAGAAACCACTGTCTCTACTAAAAATACAAAATTAGCTGGGTGTGGTGGCGCATGCCTGTGATCCCAGCTACTCGGGAGGCTGAGGCAAGAGAATTGCTTGAACCCGGGAGGTGGAGGTTGCGGTGAGCCAAGATTGCACCATTGCACTCCAGCCTGGGCAACAAGAGCAAAACTCCGTCTCAAAAAAAAAAAAAAAAAATTCCGAGAGAAGGCCTGGTGTGGTGGCTCACAACTGTAGCCAACATGGTGAAACATCATCTGTACTAAAAATATAAGAATTAGCCAGGTGTGGTGATAGGGGCCTGTAATCCTAGCTCCTTGGGAGGCTGAGGTAGGAGAATTGCTTGAACCCAGGAGGCAGAGGTTGGAGAACTGCTTGAACCCGGGAGGCAGAGGTTGCAGTTAGCTGAGATCTCACCACTGCACTCCAACCTCGGCAACAGAGTGAGATGCCATCTCAAAAAATAAAATAAAATTCCAAGAGAAAAACAGTATACAATTTCAACCCAAGAATCCGAAAATCTAGATTTGATCTGAAAATCTAGGTCAGCAGTACTCAGTGGCACCGTTCCTCCCCAGGACACATCTGGAGAACATGTCGGATGGGCTTTGTTTTCGGTTGTGCTAATAGCTGTTACCCTGAGGATCCAGGAGGTCCTGAAAATCTTGTCCCACTATCATATACTTATTGACAAGCATTGATCCAGATGAAATCAACAATGTGGTAGGAATATGGTTTTCCTATGTACACGACAGGCAAAGGAAACCATCCGCCATATGTAAACATCTAGAAACCAATTTTAAGAAATACTTAACAGTAAAATATGGGAAAAAACAGAAATAGAGCTAATATACATACAAAGATTACACAGGAAATTTTGTTTTTTGAGACAGGGTCTCACTGTCACCTAGGCTGGAGTACAGTGGTGCAATCACAGCTCACTACAGCCTCGACCTCCCAGGCTCAAGCTATCCTTCTGCCTCAGTCTCCCAAGTAGTTGGGACCACAGGCGTGCACCATGGTACTCGGCTAATTTTTAAATTATTTATAGAGATGGGGTCTCCCTATGTTGCCCAGGCTGGTTTGAACTTCTGGACTCAAGTAACCTTCCCTCTTCGGCCTCCCGAAGTGCTGAGATTACAGGCAAGAGCTACTGTGCCTGGCTTACACACCAAATTTTTAATAACAACAAGGAATAGAACTTGGGAGGTGGATGACAAACAATAATTTTTTTACCACTTCTTAGTCTATTTCTGCAGTTTTAATTTTTGCAACAGAGAATGTATTGTATTTCTTTTTTTTTTTTTTTCTCTTTTGAGACAGAGTTGTGCTCTTTGTCACGCAGGCTGACAAAGAGTAGTGCAGTGGTGCCATCTCAGCTCACTGCAACCTCCGCCTCCCAGGTTCAAGCTATTCTCCTGCCTCAGCCTCCTGAGTAGCTGGCATTACAGGAGTGTGCCACCATGCCCGGCTGAGAATGTGTTTCAATAGATGTGTGTCTTTTTTTTTTGGAGACAGAGTCTTATTCTGTCACCCAGGCCAGAGTGAAGTGGTGCAATCCTGGCTCACAGCAACCTCTGCCTCCCAGGTTCAAGCAATCCACCTGCCCCAGCCTCCCCAATAACTGGGATTACAAGCGTGCACCACCATGTGCAGCTAGTTTTTGTATGTTTTAGTAGTATGTTTTTGTATGTTTCACCATATTGGCCAGGGTGGTCTCGAACTCCTGACCTCAAGTGATCTGCCCACCTTAGCCTCCCAAAGTACTGGGATTACAGGTGTGAGCCACCGAGTCCAGCCTCAACAGATGTTTTAATTGAATAGATGTTAAAATAATTATTAATGTTCATGATGATTTAACTTCAAGGATATTCCTTAAAACGTGAACAGAAAGAACCTCCTCATGATTTTAACAGTTTCTGATATTTGCTTTTTCTGAGAGTTTACTCTCTTATTTTCCATCTAGTTCCTAACTCATCTGGAATTTCTGTTGCATAAGGTATGAAACAGAAGCTATCTTTCCCTGTGCACTCTCCACGGAGGCGTTCAGGCACTCCTGGCTGACGCGTGCTGCCTGCCTCCTTCACGGCCTACATCCCTACACACACAGATGCCTCTTGTGGGACCAGGTGCAGTGAGGCCTGCTTTCTAACCTGGATTCCCTCATCCACAAGGTATGGTTACGACCAGAGCTTCCTCCTGAGAGCGCAGGGAGCTTGTGACACCTCCCAGAAATGCTCAGGGGACGCTGGCCACCTTGCAGAGAAACCCCTCCTAACGGGAAGGGAACATGGGTACGCGAGGCTCCGGTACTGACCGCGGCTGGGCGACAGCAGGCTACTTGGATAGGGGACGCTCACTCTCCTCAGCTCATCCAGCTTCTCCTGTAGCTTCCGCACCTGGCTGTCGGAGCGGCTGACCCTCTGCCGCAGGCTCTTCAGCTCGCCGTTCTTCTTCTCCACCTGCTCCCGCAGGCAGCACACCTGGCTCTTGTTCTGCCGGGAGGAGAAGCAGTAGGAGTGCAGTGAGTCGATGAGCTTGCAGGCCCCTGACGCCGACAGGATGACCTCGTTGATGGACATGGGGCTGGCGTCGCTGTGCTCGCTCTGCACGGCTTCCGTGGCTGGCTTTGGGGTGACGTCGGCAGGAGGGGCAGAGGGGCTCTGGGAAGGCTTCTGCGGTGTCGCGGTAAGTGATGAGCTGGGAGGGCTCTGGGCCAGGCCCTTGTCGGGTCCCAGGCTGCTCCCACTGCAGCTTGGTTCCACATCTTTCTTCAGCCTCTTGCGGTCAATGGGCTCTCGGGGGACAGATGGCCTTTCTCGGGTGTGCTTAGAGGAGAAACTGTACGAATGAAGTGAGCCGATAAATTTGCACGCCCCAGATCCTGGGGGCGTAAAGTCATCCATAGAAATGCCACTCTTATCTGTCACGCCCCCTTCGATGGAGGAAGTGGCGCTCTCATCGCCAGCATCTGTGGCAGACGCTTCTGCTTTTCCCTGACTGCCTGCCACCATGGTGGCCAGTCCATCTCCTGGAGTCCGTTCCAGAGCTTGCTGGGCCTGCTCCTGGCTGGCGGCCTCCTGGGCCGCCCTGGGTGTGGCTTCACCTTGCAGAGCAGCTTGCTTCAACCTGCGGGACTCTGGCTTGGCCATCGGGTTTCCACTCGAGGACGGTGACCAACCTGCAGCTCCTCTGCTGGTGGCGGCACTCGAGTGTCCCCTCACACCCCCTGTGGCCTTGCTGGCATCTTTTCTCCGGGTGCGGCCATGGCCTCCAGCCCCCCTCTTCTTCTCGGTCAGGTGGAAGATGGATGGCACGGCCGTGGGCTTCAGCAGGCGATGCTGGTCCTCCAGCCTCTTGGAGAAGCTGTCTTTGGTGAAATGCTCACTACAGAGAAATGAATACTTAGTGGGAGTCCAGTTATCCCTCTGAACAGCTTTTAACCATTGGATTAGACGTTTTGAGTCCTTTAGGGGGAACCTACAGGACAAATGACAAAAAGTAATTAGAAATAATTAAATGTCTCCCCTTAAAATAATCAACTGTAAAAGCAAAACAAGTATTTTTGCACGCACCCTAAGCCGTATTGACTTCATCCACTTAAAAAAATACTTCAAAAAGATTTAAAGAACATCTTCTACCTGCAGTTATTACTGGAGTAGAAATCTGAAAGACCCGTTGTCTACCCATACAGAGCTTATAGTCTGTAGGGCGGATGGGAAAGAAGGTAACCAACTGCTCCCCAGGCTGTGGTAAATGCCCAATGGGGACACAGGATGCTGACAGACAGTGCCAGGATGGCCTCAGGACAGCAGGAAATAGCTCCTAGAAGCTGACTGCTAACCAACCCTCCCAACTTGCCTGGAAGGTAGGACTCTGGGTACCAAAACCAGGGCCAGCATCCACAGACACTAGGGCGTGAGAGGTCAGGACTGCATGGAGGCAGCCCTGGCTGTGCGCAAGCAGCTGAGAATCTGGAGACCTCCAGAAGACTCCAGAGCTACAGTTCTGTGTTCCTGTTGCATGCCCACCTCCAGGAGTAAAAATGCTCCTTTTAAAAGTCAACCAGCCCAGGGACAGGGCACAATGGTGCTCACCTGCAGTTCCAGTTACTTGGGAGCCTGAGGCTTGAGGGTTCTTTGAGCCCAGAAATTCGAAGTTACAGTGAGCTAAGACTGCACCACTGCTCCCCATCCTGGGGAACAGAGTGAAACCCGGTCTTCTCCCCTCAAAAAAAATCAACCAACTCAGATGATCCTTGAGGACATTATACTGAATGAAATAGGGCAGGTGCAAAAAAACAAACACTGCATGATACCACTCACATGAGGTACTCAGAGTAATCAAATTCATAGAGACAGGAGAATGCGGGTTCCCAGAGCCTAGGGAGAGGAGGACTGGGGTATTAATGTTTAATGAGTCCAGAGATTCCGCTTTACAAAATAAAAATAATTCTGGAGGTGGATGGTAGTGACAGCTGCACAACAACGTGAATGTATTTGTTGCCATGAATTGTACACTGAAAAAGCGGTAGGAAAGGCTGGGAGCCGTGGCTCATGCCTGTGATCCCAGCTACTCTGGAGGCTGAGATGGGAGGACCACTTGGGTCCAGGAGGCTGAGGCTGCAGTGAGCTACGGTCATACCATTGCACTCCAGCCTGGGTGACAGAGTGGGACTCTGTCTCCAAAAAAAGTTAGGATGGTAAATTTCATGTTACATGTATTATACCATAATTTAAAAATGGTGAGAAAAAAGCAACCAGCGCAGGAAGATACTGAATAGGATGTTTAGTCATTTCTTTATTACCTAATAAAGATCCTTCATAACCATTTCTTCATTAAGGCAAACTCTGTGTTTAAGAACATAGGCCTGGGCCGGGCGGGGTGGCTTATGCCTGTAATCCCAGCACTTTGGGAGGCCGAGGCGGGTGGATCACTTGAGGTCAGGACTTTGAGGCCAGAGTTCGAGACCAGCCTGGCCAATATGGTGAAACCCTGTCTCTACTAAAAATACAAAAAAATTAGACAGGCGTGGTGGCGCTTGCCTGTAATCCCAGCTACTTGGGAGGCTGAAGCAGGAGAATAGCTTGAACCCAGGAGCGGGGGTTGCAGTGAGCCGAGATCGCACCAATGCACTCCAGCCTGGGCGACAGAGGGAGACTCCTTCTCAAAAAAAAGAGAAAAAAAGAAAAAAAAACCAGGCCCTAATGTGCACATAAGGGACAGGGTGGTCAGTTCTAACTGCTATTTGCTCCACCTGAGGCCAGTGTGGACCAGGACAAATCCTAACAGGATGGACTGGGCCGTTCTAAGCAACAGGACCTTCTAACCTCCTTTCTGAACACTGTGAGGCCAACTGCAAAGGTACCCCCCCACCCCCAATTCCGATGTCCTTTCCTCCCATACCATGTTAGACCGTTGCAACACGTTGCCTCGTTTTCAAAAAACAATAACAAAACTTCTAGGACACAAGCTCTGAAGGAAATTGTCAAGAAAGTGCGCTGGCTGACTTGTGAAATAATCTAATGTTACTAATTCTTATAATACATTGTAATGATTTAAGACTTACAGCAAACTACTGTGAACTTTCAATAACCCTATAAATAACACGTGCCATTCCCGTCTTTAAAACTTAAATAACACCATGCAACATAAAACAGAAACATCTCCAAAGTGGTTTTTAAAGTCTGTTCGCGGTTCTGGTGCCTCCCGCGTGTAATCCGCAGAAATCTCACTGAAATAGGCTGAACTCACAAGGCCTTAGAGGGGTTTGGGCCCTGCCGCGGGGGCCCACGTGGGAAGCGGCCGAGAGCCCCGGGCCAGGCTCTAAGGGAGCGCAGGAGGATGCCGTCCCCAGCCGGCCGTCCCGTAGACTCTCCGCGCGTACCCGCGTCCTGGGCTCGGGGGCCCAGTCCCGGAAAGCCCTCTCGGGGGCTGTCAGCTACGGAGGCGCAGGTCGCGTCTGCCCGGTCGCTCCTGCTCGCAGACATCCAGGCCGACGGCCCGCGCGGTCCGGAGAGTCAGCAGTCGCGGCCGAGCAGGACAATCGGCCCAGGACCTGCGCTTCCAGAGCGTGCGGCTTCTGAAGCCTAGGCGCCGGCCGGATCGATCGCGCGCAGGGCGGACCCAGGCGGCCGGGGTGGGGGCGGCTGCGCTGCCCGAGGCGCCCGGCCCAGAGACGGCGGCCGGGCCAAGGTCACACAGCGCCCACGCCCGCTCCCCCGCGCCCCGGCCGCCGAGGCCCGGCGCCCCCGCCCCCCGCGTTCGGGCCGGCCGCGGGGCCTCAGTTTCCCCGCAGGGCCGGGTCGGGGCGGGGGCGTGGCGGCCCGGGGCCCGCGTACCTGTGGAAGGAGACGGCGCGCTTCTCGCCCTTTCCCTGCCGGTTGGAGCAGTTCACGGCCGCACAGCAGATCACCATCGCGGGCCTTGGCCCAGCCGCGCAGCCAGGCCCCGGCCCTAGCCGCCCGCCCGCCCGCGGACCGCCCCGAGGGAGGGAGCGCGGCGGCGACACGGCTCGGGACGTGGGCCGGCCCGCGGCGTCCGCGCCGTACGGCAAGATGGAGGCGCAGGCGCCCGCAGCGGGCCCGCCCCCGCCCCAGCCCCCGCCCGCGTCCTCGCCAGCCGCGGGTTCGGGCGTCTTCGGACCAGCGGGGCGCCGCAGGCCCCTCGCAGCGTCCGTCGGCAGGCGGGCAGACGGGCGGGGGAGTCGCCCCGGCGGGGCAAGTCCGTACCGCGACATGGGCGCGCCGAGCACGTCCGTACCGCAAGATGGCTGCTCGGACGGGGACAGAGCTCGCCTCTGCCGCCTCGACAACTGCTCCTGGGTCCTCTAAGAGGAGGAAGCGCCACCCATGGCACACAGTGTCCCGTCGGACAGCAGAACCAGCCGTCGTCCCACGACACGACCCCATGCCGCCCGCAGGGCGCCCCGGGGCTCGCGTCGGCCCGGCCGTACGCCAAAATGGCGGCTCCCGCGTATTTCCGCTCGCGCGCCGTATCGTCTTCGCCGCCTGCGCCGGCACACCTATTGGCCCCCGCGGCGTCCCGTCGCCGCGTCGCGTTGCTGGCCCGTCGGAGCGACGCCGCTCGGGTCAGTCGGCGGCCGGACTGGGAAGATGGACGCAGGTGAGGAGTTGCCGGGGGTCGGTCTTTCCGCAGGAGGTGCTCGCCTTATCATTGGCCTCCCCTGCTCGGGTCGGGCTGCCGCGACTCGCCTCGGGGCACGCCGGTGCGGGCCAGGCTGGGCCGGGGCGGCGGGCGCTGCGGGAGCGCGGGGCGGTGTTGGTGGGTGGTGGGCGGTGGGAGCGGGAGGGGGACGGCGGCGCACTGCGCCGCGGAACCCGCCGTCGGTTGCGCTGGAGCTTCTGCTTTTCCGGTCCCGTCCGGAGCGCTCCGGAGGTTGTGGCTGCACAGGCCCTTGCGCCAGGTCGGCCGTGGAGGGCGGCGGAGCCTGCCGGGCGGGGAGAGGCGCGGCGGCGAACGGGGCGGCCGCGGTCCGGGCCGGGGACGCGAGCGGCGGGCGAAAGCGTAGCCTTTCCGCAGCTGAGCGTGAAGGGATGGAAGCTCTTTAACTTTTATGAAGTTATTGGTAGGTTGGAGGAGAGAAACGTGACGTGTTCATCACAGTATACGTATCTTTTTTGTTTTTGTCTTCAATTTAGTAACCAGTAGATTCTCCAAGCTGCTTTTCCGTGACGAGAAAGAGAAACAGTGAATTTGTATCATCGGGTCTTAGTTTCTTGGGGTCCTAAGAGAGAGAGAAAGAGAAGGAGTGTGTGTGTGTGTGTATAGGGAGTGTTGGTTTTTTTCCTATCCTTTCATGCTTCCGCTCCATTTTTGCTAGCAAGATTATTTTAAGTCAGCGCCAAACCCATCGCTAGCCCAGTAGCCCTAGAAATATTTTTACACAGAAGTTTTAGCTCATTCATTCTTTGTGGGAACTGATTTGCCTTTTACCAAGTATCCCCCATCTGTAAAGAAAGATTTTCATCTGGTTTAATTCTGTCATTCTGAATGGGATTGTTTTTACTTTTTATTTTTCTGGTAGCTACAACATAAATTTATTAAGATCTGAGTTGGAAAACTGTAATGTGTATTGCCAATATCTATTAAAATGATTTGTAGCAGCTCACCACTTAAATGTGGTAGGTGGCTGGAGGAAACAGGAGCCCTGACTCCCTAAGGAGCATGTTGACCAGGTGTATATCTTGTGAAGTTTGTCTTTTAGAATAACCGTCATTCACGGTTGAACTATTTGCAGCTGTGTACTATTTGTTGTTTACTATTTTACAACTGTTGTATTATATCTTTTTAGGTGTTATTGTTTGTGATGCAGGATTTTTCTCAGCCACTCTGGCAGCCAGAGACCTCCGGCTGGCGAGGCCCCTGCCCAGGCCTTGCTTGGGTCCAGGCTCGCCGCAGGAGATACCCCATCTACTTGGTCCACCGGTGGGCACCTGGTTTGCACTATGGCACGGATACCATGGCCACCATGACTGTATGCTCAGCCCCTGGCGGGAGTGGGTGTGTGGGTGAGTGAGTGCCGGGTCCCGCCAGCTGTTTCAAGCGCAGGCACCAGAGTGGGCTCTGCAGAGCTTACAGCTAGACATGTGGCAAGCAACTCCCACGGCGGACTCCAGCGTCCAGACAAAGGGACAGTGGATTCTGGTGTCCAGACAAGGGGAAGGTAGTGGCGCCCAAGCAGGGGTGCTTACAACCCTGAAGCCCAAGAGGGGGTGTTGCAGAGTGTCAGCAGCCCTGTTACTCCCATTGCCCTGCTCCAGGCTATAGCTCTGGGGCTGGCTCCGTCCCCGCTGCTTCCCTTTGCTGCCTCCTGTCACGTGGGGTGTCACAGTGGGTGGCTGCCCTTTGCCGGCAGAGGGCCCAGGGCCACAGTGTTACAGCCTTCTTTGTACTTGCATTCATTGGGTCCCTAGTTCTTGTCCCACGTCCAAGAAGAATGAGACTACACTTAACACTGACAATCGAAGGGTGAGGAGGGTGGAGAATAGTTTTATTGAGTGATGAAACACCCCTCAGCAGAGAGGGGACTCAAGGGTGGTCTTCCACCCAAAGTCGGGTGGTCTCCCTTGGTGTGGCTGGGTCCAGGGCTTTTATAGGCTCAGAATGGGGAGTGTGTGCTGATTTGTCTGTGAGTATGCAAAAAAGGTTAAAACAAAGTCACTACTCAAAGGTGGGCACAACAGTGTAATAAACCAATTAGAGAAAAGTAGGTATATGTAAAATAGGTGAAGGGTGGGGATTAATTAGAGGAAAGCGCACCAAACAGGAAGAGAGGTTCGCAATCCAGTCTGTGGATTTATCCGAGACTCGTCGCTTGGCTTTCAGGCTTTAAACTGTGGCTTGAAGGTTGGGTTTCACTGGTGACCCACCCCTCTCTGCCTAGGATTTGTCTGCCTCCTGCCTCTATCATTTCGATACCTTGAGGCTGGAGTATCATATGAGAGACTTGGCTAAGGTCAAAAACACGGTTCAGTGTCGATCATATGACCTAAAATGTGAAAATCATCATGTTCAAGTTGGGAGAACAGTTATGTTGTTACATGGCGATACTTTATTTTATCTTTTATTTTCCCTTGACAACTGTGTTGACATGGTGATACTTTAATAGGACACTGGATGTTGCTGCATGTGGGATCAGAGTAGAAAAGGTGTTTGCATTTAAAGGTCTCTGTTTATGCTGATAAAAACGTATATGATGTTTGTAGGATATCATGGGGAATTTTCCTTCTGACTTGATGCTGTATTTCCTTTCAGAGATGATTAATGATCTGCCCTCCTTTGATCTCTAGAGTTCTTGAAGATTCTGCCTTCCTTGACCATGTGTAATACAGTTTCTGTTCTGATAGTCATTAATTCAATACACTGTTTGTTACTGACTGTCAGATATGTGTTAGGCATTGTTCTAGACACTAGGACTAGAGAAGTAACAACATAGATGAAAACCATTGCCCTGGGGTAGCTAACGTTCTAGACATGAGACCAGCATTAGCAGCGAAGTGCGTGGCTCCTGGGGGATGGTGATTTGGGCCAAGGATGAGGAGGATTGGAATTGTAGCCAGGATGGCCAGGAAGGGTCTCACTCTGAAGGTTTAAGTTTTGACGAAGACTTAAAGCAGTGTAGGAGGAAGGGCAGGTAGCAAGAGCCTGGTGTGGCTCAGGTGCAGCGGGTGGCGGTGGGAGAAGCAGGAGCTGAGGATAGAAAGGTGACTTAGGCTCAGTGTAGTGGGGCCTTGCCAGCTCATAGTGAGGACTCGGTGTTTATTCTGAACAGGATGGCAGCTCATAGTGAGGACTCAGTGTTTATTCTGAACAGGATGGCAGCCGTTTGGAAGGTTTCATTCTAGAGGAGGAGTCACATGATAGACTGTGTTCAACAGGCTTGCTCTGGCATCTCTTTTGAGAATGTACTGCAGAGGGGCAAGGGCAGAGGCAGCGAGACCAGCTAAGAGACTGTTGAACAAGCCAGCAAGGAGATGCCAGTGGATTAGCTCAGGGTGGGTAAGAGGTTGACTTCTGCATGTGTTTTGGAGGTTGAGACAATAGAATTTGTTTGTAGATTGGAAGTTGGGAGAGGGATGGGTAGAGAGGGAGGAGTTAAAGATGGCCCCATAGTGTATGGCCTGAGCTAAGCAACTCAGATGGAGGGGGGCGGGCGTGGTGGCTCACGCCTGTAATCCCAGCACTTTGAGAGGCCGAGGTGGGCGGATCACAAGGTCAGGAGATCGAGACCATCCTGGCTAACACGGTGAAACCCCGTCGCTACTAAAAATACAAAAAATTAGCCGGGCATAGTGGCGGGCGCCTGTGATCCCAGCTACGCAGGAGGCTGAGGCAGGAGAATGGCGTGAACCCGGGAGGCGGAGCTTGCAGTGAGCCAAGACTGCGCCACTGCACTCCAGCCTGGGCGACAGAGCGAGACTCTGTCTCAAAAAAAAAAAAAAAAAGAAACTCAGATGGGGAAGACTTGGGGAGGTCCTGTCTGGTGGGAAGCTTTCTGTTGCGAGTTTGGATTTATGTGTGTTGAATGTGAGGTGGATGTTAGACATCCTTGTAGAGCAGTGTCCAGTGGGCTTTTGGGTCTACAGGTTTGGAGCTAAAAGAATAAGCCTGGGCTGGAGATAGACTGGAGGTCACATCAGATGAGGTCACCCAGGGTGTGAATGTGGGTGGGAAAGAAAAGAGGCCAAAGGCCTCTGCGGGTGTGGAGAGGTCCAGGAGGTGGCAGGCAGACCACAGTGTGGCTGTGTTCTCCACCAGTCCCTAGCACTGTCCCTAAAAGCATGCTCCCCATTCAGACGACTGGCAGGTGCCAGCACTTAAATAGCCACACTGCCCATTCCTTGAGGACAGAGCTGGTGTCTTGTGCTTGCATTTCTAGTGCATCACTTGTGTCTGGCATGTGGTTGGTAATAAAAAAAAAACAGAACTTGAATTAATAATAACCTACACATTCCCCTACTATCAAAGCTTTCAGTTTGTAGAGTTTAACATAAATCCAGTATGTTAGCATAACATGTAATGAATGCAGAGGCTGCTGGGGAGTGGTTTTTTTTTTTTTCTTGAGATGGAGTCTTGCTCTGTTTCCCAGGCTGGAGTGCGGTGGGCGCGATCTAGGGGAGTGGGTTTTAATGTGCGCAATCTGCCCAGTGTGTGCACTGAAACAGTGTTTTCTAGCTTTCTGATGTAGCTAAATTTGGAGTTCCTTTCTCTCTTTCTCTGTTTTCATTCAGGACTGAACTACTAGCATTCTCATGTAAACTCTTGGAGATTTAAAAAAAAGTAGTAATCATATGCAAACTGTTATCTTAAACCTAAGAGCTTTCTAAAGGAAAAGAAGAACCTTTGTTGAATTTATAAAATATAAATCTTTTGGAAAATAACTTCTAAGTGTTTTAGGAAGGTTTCTTCGAAATGAAGTGGTTTACAGTAAGCTCTTAAATTTACTCGTTTTTTTTTGTAGTCCTCTCTGGTTGAATGAAGTGTAATTGGTACTAAATGGAGAGAAGTTGGTTAAATTCATTGAGTACAATTCCCTACATTTCTGCCTGTCAGATTAGTAGTACTAAGTCACATGTTTTTTCTGATGGAATTACTATATTATTAAAATGCCATCTGCCCTCTTCTGCTTGTGATCGCAGAAGTCCCAGGGAAGAGGGCGTGGAAAATCAAGTGTCTGGGATCCAGCCGACCAAATGGGAGAACTGCTTCTAAGGGGGACTCTTTCTTAAGGTGTACAGCACCTCTCCGTCCTTTTTTTTTTTTTTTTTTTTTTTTTTAAGACGGAGTCTCACTGTCGCCCAGACTGGCTGGAGTGCAGTGGCTCTATCTCAGCTCACTGCAGCCTTCGCCTCCTGGGTTCAAGAGATTCTCCTGCCTCAGCCTCCCGAGTAGCTGGGATTACAGGTGTGCACCACCATGCCTGGCTAACTTTTTTATATTTTTAGTAGAGATGGGGTTTCACCATGTTGGCCAGGCTGTTCTCGAACTTCTGACCTCAAGTGATCTGCCCGCCTCGGCCTCCCAAAGTGCTGGGATTACAGGTGAACCACCACACCCAACCTACTTCTTCATCTTGTTCCTCCTGCGTGTCATCTTTTTTTGAGGCAGGGTCTCACTTCATCGCTCAGACTGGAGTATGGTGTTGCGGCCTCAGCTCATTGCAGCCTTGACCTCCTGGGCTCAAGTGATCTTCTTGCCTCACATTCCTCAGTAGCTAAGACTACAGATGTCCACGCCTAGCTATTTTTTTTTTTTTTTTTTTTTTAAGAGAGACAGGGTCTCCCTGTATTGCCCAGGCTGGTCTCAAACTCCTGGGCTCAAGTGATCCTCCCATCTTGGCTTCTTAAAGTGCTGGGATTACAGGCATGAGCCACGGCACCTGGCCTTACATGTCATCTTATTTCAAATTAATATCATTACCTGGAAGTCTAGAGATGGGTCTATATATTTATTTATGTATATATGTACATATATATATAAACATATATATACGTATATATACACATAAATATATACACATATATGTATAAATATATATATACGTGTGTGTGTGTGTGTGTATGTATATATTTTCCCCCCCCCCCGTCGTCCAGGCTGGAGTGCAGTGGCGTGATCTCGGCTCACTGCAACGGGGTTTTGCCATGTTGGCCAGGCTGGTCTTGAACCCTTGACCTCAGGTGATCCACCCACCTTGGCCTCCTAAAGTGCTGGGATTACAGGTGTGAGCCACTGCACCCGGCGAGTGGATATTTTTTCCGAAGTTTGACTCCTTTTCTATCAGGAGCTACATGAATTACCTTATAAATCACATGATGTGGCACGGGAAGATGATGAAATTATGACAGGGGCTATGAAATAAGACAAGGGAACCTCTCCATGGCGAATTGCTGAGGCAGCTGGTGTCAGGCCTAAGTGGATCTCATACATCTGAGAGTCAGTGAAGGAACAAGTGTGGTGGCTCACACTTGTAGTCCCAGCACTTTGGGAGGCTGAGGTGGGTGGATCACTGGAGCCCAGGAGTTTGAGACCAGCCTGCTTAACATAGGGAAACCCCACCTCTACAAAAAATACAAAAATTAGGCATGACGGTGCATGCCTGTAGTCCCAGCTACTCAGGAGGCTGAGGTGGGAGGATCCCTTGAGGCCGGAAGGGGGAGGTTGCAGTGAGCTGAGATCACACCACTGCACTCCAGCTTGGGTGACAGAGCCAGACCCTTGGGTGACAGAGCCAGAAGGAACGTTTGGGAATGGAATCATCGTGTTGGTCGATCTGCAGATGTTAGTGATTGTGAGCGTTAGTTTTGCACCCATTGTGGGTTCTCACCCCACTTGGAAAACTGGTGGCTGTGCCCCATTTCATGGGTGAGGAGACTGAGGCTGGAAGAAGTCCAGGCCTGTGTCTGTCCTGTAGCTATCGACCAGGCTCTCAGACTCCAGAAACAAACCTCAGTAGGAATCAGAAGTGTTGGCCGGGCGCGGTCTGCCTGTAGCTATCGAGCAGGCTGTCAGACTCCAGAACCAAACCTCAGTAGAAATCAGAAGTGTCGGCCGGTTGCGGTGGCTCATGCCTGTAATCCCAGCACTTTCGGAAGCTGATGTGGGCGGATCATCTGAGATGAGGAGTTCGAGACCAGCCTGACCAACATGGGAGAAACCCATCTCTACTAAAAATACAAAATTAGCCAGGCGTGGTGGCACACACCTGTAATCCCAGCTACTCGGGAGGCTGAGGCAGGAGAATCGCTTGAAACCGGGAGGCGGAGGTTGCAGTGAGCCGAGATCGTGCCATTGCACTCCAGCCTGGGTGACGAGCAAAACTCCATCTCAAAAAAAAAAAAAGAAAGAAATTAGAAGTGTTAATTCCAAAAAAGTTATCTTCCTCCATTATAAAGTAAGATCTGGAAGGTCAGGGAGGTCTTTGTACCGTTCTGATGCCTCAGTCCATGGCTCCTCATTGTGTCTTCCTCTTCAGCTGGAGCTGCGAGGGTGTCCAGGAGGGGTGAGTTCTGCTCGGAGGGCCTGCCGAGGGCATTCCTTCCTGTCCTCCAGCATGAGAGGGACAGTGTGGGGCCCCTAGAGTACAGGGAAGACCTCCTCATAACTGAAGAGATGCGAGTCTGAGAGTCTTTATTGGCTCTTTTGTAGGAATCGCTGCAGGTCTCTTTGGTCCTTGGAGCCAGCCCGTGAGGCCGGGGGCAGGCTCTTGCTCTCTAAATGCAGTCACTCTTGGAGGAAAGGACGTTATGTTGGATTCAGTGTTAGTAAAGAGACTCATGTTTGGTTGGGTCTCTGTTGACCTTGTACTCTGTGCTGCACCTCTGCTTACAGAATACCTCCCATCCATGCCGGTTCGTGACTGCTCACCCGTTTCAGTGATCTGAGAAGGCTGGCCCTGAAAGAGTGGTTACTGCTCCCGTGCAGTTTAGAGCTTTTCCTGCACCTTGACTTGTCCGTTTCACAGTGAGGACACCAAGTCACAAGAAGGTCACTAGCCTGTAAGGTTGCGTGACTGCTCAGTGGTGGGCTCAGACTTCTGACTCCACAGCTGGCGCTCCAGCTGTCAGGAACGTGCTCCAGGTGTGACGTGTGGACACTCCCCACTTGCAGCGTCCTCCACAGTACCGAGAGGAGGGTGCAGTGTGGTGGGAGAAGCAAGGGATCATGTTTTCAGAGTGTCCGCCACTAGCCCTAGGGGAATGTATGACTCGCTCCCAACAGAGGGCAGGATTCTCGGGGAGGGCCGGAGTGCGTTTCTCTGGACGGAGGAGCAGAGCAGCTTGGGGCACGGTGTGGGAGCCCTCCTTAGGGACCTCATGGGTCACGTTCGCCGTGGCTGCGCCACTCCTGTTCACTGCCAAGCACCGTGATTGCTCCTTGGATTTGCTCCCCTGGGGTTTCCTGGTCTCCTTGATGGTTTATACAGTGAGCAATCTGAGGCCACACACCTGTAATTTTCACAGTTATAGCTGGAGGTGTGGTGGTGTATTTGAACTTAATGGAACACCTCTTATTCCCTTCACTCTGAAGTTGGCTTCCTTGCCTATAAAGTTTGGTGATAAACCTAAGAAATACACCTGCTGTGCATTTTACTGCGTCCGTGATGAAAATCCCTCAACTTCACAGCCGCTCAGGCCTCGTGACCCTGCTTTCAGAGGGAGCCTTTTTCCTTTTCTTCCTTATCTATACTTCTCTCATTCCTTTACCATTTATATTTTTAATATGGGAAACTAGACATCCTAGAAGTTTCTCAGCTTCCAGATTCTGTTACTGCAGACTGTTACTGATTCAACAATATGGTCCTTTTCCTGATGACATACGCCACATTCTTCTGAAGTACAGATGGTCTCCAAACTACCATGGTTTGACTTACAATTTTTTGACTTTACGATAGTGTGAAAGCAGTATGCATTCTATGGAAACCATACTTGACGTTTTGAATTTTGATCTTTTTCTGGGCTAGCAGTATGCCTCCAGATACTCTCGAGATGCCAGATAGCTCCTCGTCAGCCACATCATGAGAAGGGGGAATGACCCCTGCTCTACAGGGCACTGTGTTGCCAGCTGAGTTTGCCCAACTGTAGGCTAATGTAAGTGTTCTGAGCACATTTAAGGCAGGCTAGGCTAAGCTATGATGTTAGGTAGATTACGTGTATTCAATGCTTTTTTTTTTTTTTTTTTTGAGACAGAGTTTCACTCTCCCACCTGGGCTGGAATGCAGTGGCGCGATCTCAGGTCACTGCAGCCTCCGCCTCCTGGGTTTAAGCAATTCTCCTGCCTCAGCCTCCCGAGTAGCTGGGATTACAGGCACCTGCCACCATGCCCGAGTAACTTTTTGTGTTTTTAATAGAGATGGGATTTCACCATGTTGACCAGGCTGGTCTCCAACTCCTGACCTCAGGTGATCCACCCGCCTTGGCCTCCCCAAGTGCTGGGATTACAGGCATGAGCCCCTGTGCCTGGCCTCAGTGCATTTTTGACCTAAGTATTTTCAATTTACAATGGGTTTATTGGACATAATCCCATCCTAATTAAGGAACATCTGTAGTCTACAAAGAGATACTTGCCAGTGTTCATTTAGCTCTGCTGTACTTTAAATAAAAGATATGTGTATCTTTAGTTCAAAGCTGGTGCCTTGGAACGGTGTCAAACATGAGAAGAATGTTCCAACAGCAAGATGGAATCATTGTCTTGCAGTGTTGAAATTAGACCGGTGGTGGCCAGGCGCAGTGGCTCACGCCTGTAATCCCAGCACTTTGGGAGGCCGAGGCGGGAGGATCATGAGGTCAGGAGATTGAGACCATCCTGGCTAACACAGTGAAACCCCGTCTCTACTAAAAAAAATACAAAAAATTAGCCAGGCGTGGTGGCGGGCGCTTGTAGTCCCAGCTACTCAGGAGGCTGAGGCAGGAGAATGGCATGAGCCGGGAGGCAGAGCTTGCAGTGAGCCGAGATCGCGCTACTGCACTCCAGCCTGGTGGGCGACAGAGTGAGACTCCGTCTCAAAAAAAAAAAAAAAAAAAAAGAAAAGAAATTAGACCGGTGGTGTTTTCATCCTTTTTCCTTGAGAATAAGTTTTCTGGATTTTAGTCTATATATTGAATAAAGCCTACAGGTCAAAGAATAGTAGGGACTTCTGAAGATTCAGGAGTGGCTTTAGAGAGGTAGCAGGGACATCATGATGTTTTTCAGCTCTTTAAAAAGATAGGAGTGGGCCGGATGCTGTGGCTCACGCCTGTAATCCCAGCACTTTGGGAGGCCGAGGTGGGTGGATCACTTGAGGTCAGGAGATCGAGACCAGCCTGGCTAACACAGTGAAACCCTGTCTCTACTAAAAATACAAAAATTAGCCGGGCATGGTGGCAGATGTCTGTAATCCCAGCTACTCGGGAGGATGAGGCAGGAGAATTTCTTGAACCCGGAAGGTGGAGGTTGCAGGGAGCCAAGATCATGCCACTGCACTTCAGCCTGGGCAACAGAGTGAGACTCCATCACAAAAGAATAAAAAAAAGGCATGGACCTTAATTCATCCTAATTCAGTTTTTGTAATCATGTGCAGAAACAAGTAACATATATATAAAAAGGCAGGAGAGAATGTAAACTTGGACTTTATTTATTCACAGTCACCAAGCAGTTTGGTTGATAATGTCTCTGAAAGCATGGACAAGTGAAATATGTAAGAGCAGAGCTCTTGGGGGCCAGGTGCAGTGGCTCATGCCTGTAATCCCAGCCTTCGGGAGGCTAAGGCAGGTGGATTGCTTGAGCCTAGGAGTTTGAGACCAGCTTGACAACATGATTAGACCTCATCTCTACAAAAAATACAAGAATTAGCTGGGTGTGGTGGCACATGCCTGTAGTCTCAGCTGCTCAGGAGGCTGAGACCGGAGAATTGATTGAGCCTGGGAGTTTGAGGCTGCAGTAAGCTGTGATTACACCACTGTACTCCAGCCTGGGTGACAAAATGAGTCCCGGTCTCAAAAAAAAAAAAGAAAAAAAAACAGGAGCAGAGCTCTTGGACAAAGCCCTGCTGTGGAAAGCTTGCTTCATCTGGCTGCAGCCGCTCCACAACGCCCGTCATCTTGCTCAGGAAGCCACAGCACTACTCTAGGAAAGGGGCAGAGAGGGGCCTGGGTCTCCCACAGCTGAGAATCCTTTAAACAGTGCCTGTAGGGCCCTCTATTGTGGATTTGGTAGTTCTGCCTGCACCGAGGGAGATGCTTGCAGGTGCTTCTGAACCCTGTGTTTGGGAATTAGCTGCGCATACAATTAAGGCTTTTGGGTATAGTAAAATTTGTGTGCCTTTGACCCTGTGGTTCTGAGTCCTCGATGTTAATGACAGAGCGGACATTGCAGCCCTTCTGTCTGCCAGCCAGCACCTCATTGGAAGTGTTTCATTGAAACGTCACACCCATATGCTGAGGCTGTCCTGTTGTTATCCCATTTTATGGATGAGGGAACATTCACACTTAGAAGTTAAGTGAGTGGCCCAGGAAACTACAGTTTACCAGTACCCAAGCTGGGCTTTAAATTCTGACTGCCCCCTGCCTCCCCAAGGGGATTGTGCACAGCACAGAAGTTCACACACGATGCTTTTTAGTATCAGCTTAGGTGGAGATCTGTGTTTATGTAGAATGCTGAGGAAACCACAGGCATAGTATGATTTCACGTACGAACCTGTGCATAAAGACTTCTGGAAAGAGTCATTGCTGGGCAACGAGGCTTCACGTGATTTGTGTATTTTTGTAGTCTTCAGAATTTTTTATGATTAGCATATGTCATTCTTATTGAAGTGTGGGGTTGTTATCAAAAAGTAAATTTAGATGTGGGAGAAATTCATATGTGATTGATTTTCAAAAGATTGCTGTAAAGTTGCTGGTGAAGGATGAGTGATCAGACACCATCAGAGCTGGAGAGGCAGCAGATGGGAATTGTGTGTTCCCAGTTCCCTGAAGAGCAGCTGGAGAGAGATGCCTCTGGTGCCGCCCCAGAATACGCAATGGGCATCTCGCCACATGGGTGTTTGGGCTGGTGCATTGCTGCTGGCTGGCGCCTTCTTTTCAGGAACATTGTGGGACATGGGTATCCTCAGCCACAGTTCTGTGGACAGGAAGACCCTGGGCCTCTCTAGTTTCTTTCTTTCTTTTTTTTCTTTTTCTTTTCTTTTTCTTTTTTTTTTTTTTTTGAGATGGAGTTTCACTCTTGTCACCCAGGCTGGAGTGCAGTGGCACAATCTCAGCTCACTGCAACCTCCACCTTCTGGGTTCAAGTGATTCTCTTGGCTCAGTCTCCCTAGTAGCTGGGATTACAGGCGCCCGCCACCACGCCTGGCTAATTGTTGTACTTTTAGTAGAGACGGAGTTTCACCATGTTGACCAGGCTGGTCTCAAACTCCTGGCCTCAGGTGATCTGCCCACCTCGGCCTCCCAGAGTGCTGGGATCACAGGCATGAGCCACTGTGCCTGGCCTAGTTTCTTAATTGAAGTAAAACAGAGTAAGATGGCATGCAGGGCTAATCATTAGCCCAGCAGGTAAGCACCATGGCTCTGCAGCCAGCTGCCTCCTTAGAAAGTGGGGTGTTGCCCCATGGAAGTGGTGGCATGCTCTTCTGGTAGCATTGTTGAAATGAAAACAGGTTCAGTCCTTGATCACTAGGCTTTTTGTACCCGGGTACCTCTGGGGACTTGGCAGAGAGTTTGATCTCTCAGTGTCCAGGGGTTAACTTTCTACCTGAGAGTAGCACCCCATGCTTCTCCAGCACCTGCTCCTAACCAGGAAATTGGGGTAGACCAGAACCCCAGTCTTCCCAGCAGCTCAGTGTTTCTTGCCCCGGAGCATCTGCCTTCATCACAGTGACTCTGAACACGCTGCCATGGTGACATCTGGTAAACCTTAGGATGGCCATGGAAAACGACTCTTTGCCCTGTTTCTTCTTGGCTTCCCTTGCGTACAAGGATGAAGGAGGTGGTTTAACTTTATTTTTGTCCTTTACTTTTTAAGTCTAAAGTAAGTGCTTGAATCGGGTGGGTTTTCATTTTTTTGCTTTCTCACCCCTCAGGTTGGCCCCTAACTTGGCCTCTCACCCTCGTGTCAGCTGTTAGACACTGACTCAGTGGCTCAGAATATGAAAGGCTCAGGAAGTAGCATGCTGGCCCCACCTCCCTGTCCCCATACCTTAGCAGAGCAGCTGCCCAGCAGGGCCTCCTTCTCTTTCCTAAGAGTTTACTCCATCCATGGTGGGTGTCTTGGTAGGCCCGAGATACGAGAGGGAGTGCTGCTGTTACAAGAATTTACAGTTGTTCTCTTCAGCACAGAAATGCTGTAAATGGCCTCTTTCGATACTAGTTTATGAAATTATAAGTGTCTGATGATTGTGCATCTTTGGTTTCAACAGCTACTCTGACCTACGACACTCTCCGGTTTGCTGAGTTTGAAGATTTTCCTGAGACCTCAGAGCCCGTTTGGATACTGGGTAGAAAATACAGCATTTTCACAGGTATCGGCCATGCTGGAGCCCACCCTGGTCTGACCGCTTGGCCTGCAGAAGCATTTTGTGATCACTGTTCTCTGCTAACTCTGCCATAACTTGTGACTTGCAAACTTAAGGCGTTGTGTGTGTGTGTTTTTTTTCTTTTAAACAACCTCTAGAAAAGGACGAGATCTTGTCTGATGTGGCATCTAGACTTTGGTTTACATACAGGAAAAACTTTCCAGCCATTGGTAAGTACTCTGTTTTATTACAACGCGGGACAAAATATGTTTTTAGGAAGGAGGAAAACTTACGCTTGTAGATTTGACTTCAATATGCCACTGACTTCATTTGAATCTTCACAGCAATCCTGCTTAACTGAATTGGCCGAGGCCTCACGTGTAGTAGTGGCAAAGCTAGAATCCACGGCGCCTGACTCTAGGCTAGTGTGTTTTCAACTGCAAATCCCAGCTTATTACTGGAGCTGGAAATCAGTATCATGAGTTATGACCAACGTTGTTTTAAATGTAGGACAGAATGTCATAGAAAGCGGTGTGTGTCCGCCACGGGCACGCAGCATGGCGCTTCAGGGATCTTCGTTTTCGTTTGCATGTTTGAGTGTGTGTTCTGGGTCACAGCTGTACAATGTGTTTCTTACTTAGGTCCAGAATGTTTGGAAGCCATTCTCTGTAGCCCTCATCTTTTTTAGTATTTTCCACACTTAACCTGTGGGGAGATTTGAAGGGCCAGGTGAATGTGACATGTTTTTATGTAACACTAAGGTGCATTCTGTTAAAAGCCATTCATCATTGTTGTATACCCTGGAGCTGGAAGGAGATGGGGACTGGTTCTCAGCCTTGCCTCTCACCGGCGGAGAACTGAGGCCGGAGGTGAGGGCCGGGCTGGCGTCATGCTTCCTCAGTGCCAGGTCAGGGTTTGGTCCCTCTTCTAGGGGTGGTTTCATTCTTTATCCTGAAGTGAGGTGGAAGTCAAATAGCCACAACGGCTGGACATTGGAGAACACTGACGCGTAGGGACATACGACAGTGTCTCCTTAGGTTGATATTTAATGATACACCTTGTGAGATGTACCCTGGGAATATTGATATGTAATGATATATTTTAATGACATACCTTGTCAGATGTGCCCTGGGAATAGTTGCTCATTCCACAGTTTCCGCTTGTTTCGCAGCTGCGCTGAACCTGCTCTCTTGGCCGCCTTGGATGCAGGTTTGTCCCCAGCCTCCATCTCCTTCACAGCTACCCTGCCGCGTGCTGGGAAGGAGAACAGGACTGGAGCGAAGCCTTTCTGGTTTGGCAGAGGCCTTGTGGAGGAGGTAGAGGCTGGGGATGAGCCTGCACATGAAGCAGCCCTGTCGCAGTTCTGAAGGGCAGTGTGCTGTGTTTCCTTCTTAGCCCCACGGAGATAATTTTTTAAAATTATTACTTTCATTTTTTTAATAGATGGGGTTTCGCTATGTTGCCCAGGCTGGACTTGAACTCCTGGGCTCAAGCAGTTCTCCCTCCTCAGCCTCCTGAGTGTCTGGGACTACAGGTGCACACCACCACGCCTGGCTCTGAGATACGTTTTTATCAGCAGTAGAGCGATCAGCAGTGGAGCGAGGGTGACCATGGGCACTGCTGATTGGGTTGTTGGTGGGTGACGGCCACCACTACCCCAAGACACAGGGTTTATTGTCCGTGCCAGTGCATGGAGAAGCTGCCGGAAGCCCAGAGGTGGGCACAGGGCGAACCTTGTGGTCTGACCCCTGAATCTCTGCTTCTCACCCTGGTGTGCAGCCACCTAGCAGCCTCTTGTCTGCTGCACAGGTGGCCCTCTCTGTTGTCACAGCTGTGCAGTGGCCTTCCACTGGACCCCTGCTATGGGCTGGCAGTGTTTCCCACGTGCCTGTCACATGCCGCGCAGTTCCATGGTGCATGTTGTCCATCTTTCTGGGCCCCAGGGAGTGGCCGTGAGGGCAGGGCCCAGGCACCTGTGCTGGAAGGGCTGAGTTGCTGCCCTTGCGGCCCTTCCTGTGCTCTCAGCAGCACTGGATGTCATCAAGCGTTTGAATTTCTGCCTTTCTGATAATTGGAAAATGCGTTGTTTTGTTTAACTTTGCATTTTCTGGATGACTTACGGGGGTCAGTGTCTTCATATGTTTGTCAGACATTCCTTTTGCTCCGTGACTGACTTGTTCATGTGTTTTGCCCATTTTGAGGAGGTTGTCGGGACATTTCACTCTCCAGTAAATGTGGCCCTTGGCGTTACTGAGTCCTAAGAGGTGTGTGTTGCCCCAGGTGGAGCTGATGGAGGAGGGAGTCGGTGCCTGTGGTGTGGGACTGACCGGCTGCCTCCTGCCAGTGGGCTTGTGGCCTGTGGGGCCATCTGGCCATGAGCACTTCTCTCTCTGTCTGCCACGACAGGGGGGACAGGCCCCACCTCGGACACAGGCTGGGGCTGCATGCTGCGGTGTGGACAGATGATCTTTGCCCAAGCCCTGGTGTGCCGGCACCTAGGCCGAGGTGAGTCACAGCCCTGGGGAGGGCGCATGGCCACGGTGTTCTCAGGAAGCAAAGGGGACTGTGGGGTCAGGGCTCTTTAGAGCAGACCACAGGTAAAACAGTAAGTAGAACTTGGGGGTTTCTTGAGTAATGAGCCACTTGTTTTTCTTGATTTAAAAAACTGACTTTAAAGAATGCTAATAAATCCGCATGGGCAACATGGCGAGACCCCGTCTCACAAAAAATACAAAAATTAGCCAGGCGTGGTGGCTCCTGCCTGTAGTCCCAGCTACTTCGGAGACTGATGTGGAGAATTGCTAGAACCCAGGAGATGGAGGCTGCAGTGAGCTGAGATCGCACCACTGCGCTCCAGCCTCTGCAACAGAGTTAGACCCTATCTGAAAAAAAAAAAAAAAAAAAAAGAAGAAGAAGAATGCTAATAAATGTTTTAAATTACTGAAACTGTTTTCTGTACAGATTTGTTTTGATAACTTGGCGTATATGTATTTGAAATCCTGGAGAACATGGGTTTTTACTTTTAAAAGATTCTGGGCTGGGTGTGGTGGCTCACGCCTGTAATCCCAGCACTTTGGGATGCCGAGGCGGGTGGGTCACGAGGTCAGGAGATCAAGACCATCCTGGCCAGCATGGTGAAACCCCATCTCTACTAAAAACACAAAAATTAGCTAGGCTTGGTGACATGTGCCTGTAGTCCCAGCTACTCGGGAGGCTGAAGCAGGAGAATCGCTTGAACCCGGGAGGTGGAGGTTGCAGTGAGCCGAGATCACGCCATTGCACTCCATCCTGGGTGAGAGAGCGAGACTCTGTTTAAAAAAAAAAAAAAAAAAAAAAAGATTCTGAAAAAGGTTTGGATGCCATCTGTATCTTTAGTGTGAAAGTGAAAACTTGTTTCTCATATTTATGGTAGAGCTGACCTGTAATTTTTTTTCCAATAGATTGGAGGTGGACACAAAGGAAGAGGCAGCCAGACAGCTACTTCAGCGTCCTCAACGCATTCATCGACAGGAAGGACAGTTACTACTCCATTCACCAGATAGGTGGGAGGCTGCAGAATGTGCCAGGCCCCACCCGGGCTGTCTGGAGAGGGTGGAGTGGTCGGTTTCCCCTCAGAGCTTTTCTGGTGTCGTGGGATGTGGAGCAGGAGGCTGTAAACCTGTAAACACTGACCTCTGACCATCTGTGCGCTGCTGTCACATCACCCCCGTGTCATCCCACATCACCCCCGTCCCACCCAGGCCCAGACCCTGGGCCTTGCCCTTCCTGCTGTCCATGCGGCTTGCAGTGCCTGGTGCTCGGCACAGTCTGGGGAAATTGGCCTCGCCCCATCAGTGAATCTGAATGCTCAGATTGAAGTGGAGTGAGTAAAGAAGAGTTGGCCTTTCTTGCAAGCAAGGCCGGCTTTTGAGCACTGTGTTTTCACTTATAGAAGGAAGTGGTCCCTTCATTTCCCCTCCTTTTCTAAGTTCATAGTGAAGGACAGTCCCTGAGACCTTGTTTGCCCCCTCATGCCTCCCCCGATCTTGTTGGGGCATCCTTCCGTCTGGAGGCTGGGTCGGGTGCTGTCCAGGCCTTCCTGTGACGTGTCTCCTGGCACCACGTGCCACCAGAGGTCAGGGCTGGGGGCGGGTGTGTGTTGCTAATGTGTATCTGTTCCCTGCAGCGCAAATGGGAGTTGGCGAAGGCAAGTCCATAGGCCAGTGGTACGGGCCCAACACTGTCGCCCAGGTCCTGAAGTATGTACTGCGCTTCCACTGCTGAGCATGGGGCAGCAGGGATGTTCCCTGGGGGTTAAATTCTCCTTGAGTCTTCATGGCTACAGGAAATAAGGGGTCTCTAATTATTTACTTCATGGCCCTCAGAAGGTTTCTCAGCGATGACTGTGTTGAGGTCTTGTGAATAGGAATTTATGTTTTCTAACAAAATGAACACCGTAGTCCACATCCTGGCTGGCACATTGGACCCTTGTTCTTTGCTGCATGGATCCACCTGTAATGGTGGCTTCTGATGGGGTGGGCAGCTGAAGCTAGTCTGCAGCCATCTGTGCGGGTGCCGGGCCCTTCCACCTCTGCAGGCTTGTTGGAGGCTGCCCTCCGCGGGCCTTGCCACCTGCCTTTCTCACTCTACCCGGAGACTCCCTGTAGCCTCGCTCACCTTCCCATACACCTCAGCGTCTGAAAGTGTGCTCTGCACCTGCTCCGCACCGCTTCCTTTCGCACCTCACTCAGCCCCATTGCGTGCCCGCCCCCCAGATTCCTCTGAGATGACCTTCCCTGCAGTTCCAGAAACTTGCCTGTGGTTTCAGCTTCGTGTCCACTCTTCACTCCTCTTGACCCATCCAGGGTCATTTGGTCTGATTCCATGTGTCCTGGCATCCCAGCATTTTTGGGGAGGCTCTGGCCAGATCCCCCAGGACTTGTCCCCTCAGGGTCTCCTCCCCACTGGTCTGAGGGCCAGCGTCTCCCCAGCCTGTCTTCAGCCACGGCCCCCTTGAAGCCTCTCCTTCTGCATCTGCCTGTTCTGTATCCCACTCAAGGCCCTCAGGCATCCCACGTTCCACATTCCTGAAATGGCCCTGTCTCCCCTCACCCACAGCCTGCTCCTCAGCATGGCAGTCACTGTCTCCACCCAGCTTTTCTGTCAGGTTCCCTGGGGTCCTGCACAAGTCCGTCTCTGCCACATCCCACGTCACCCGCGTCCCACGTCACCCCCGTCCCACATCCCCAGCCTGCTGCTCCCTCTGTCTCCAGGGCCCGCCCTGTGTTTGGCGTGGCACCTGCTCAGTCCCTACTGCATGCCCTTCAGAGTCCTCTGTCCAGCAGCTCCCCAGCCCCCACCACACCCTTCCACTCACACTTCTCTTGCTGCTGCCTGGAGTGGCCCCACCAAGTCAGCGCTGTTTCTCTGGAAGCACCAGGCCACTCGCCATGCTCGCTGTTTCTCCTGGTCCCCTGCCTGCTCCCCACCAGCCCCCGCCCCTGTTGCTGGATGATCCTCCCCAACCTGCAAGTGCTGTGGCACTCAGGCACATGGACGGCTTCCAGGGCTGATTTGTCCCTGGACTCCAAGCTCAGGTCCAGCTGCTTATTCTGCATTTCCACCTGGGTATCTGTGTGCATGGTGACCTGACAGCCAGAGCCCGTGCTGGCCCCAGCCTGCTTCTCCTACAGTGGTCCTTCAGGTGCTCAAACCAAAATCTGGGATTGTTCTAGACCCCTCTTTTTGAGACGGAGTCTCGCTCTGTCGCCAGGCTGGAGTGTAGTGGCATGATCTCTGCTCAGAATCCCAAGTGATTCTCCTGCCTCAGCCTCCCGAAGTGCTGGGATTACAGGCGTGAGCCACCGTGCCTGGCCAGGACTCCTCTCTTTTTTCTTTTTTTTTGAGACAGTCTAGCTCAGTAGCCTGGGCTGGAGTGCAGTGGTGCAATCTTGGGCTCACTGCTTCCTCCACCTCCTGGGTCCCGGTTCAAGCAGTTCTCCTGCCTCAGCCTCCCCAGTACCTGGAATTACAGGCACCCGCCACCATGCCCAGCTAATTTTTTCAATTTTTAGTAGAGATGGGGTTTCACCATGTTGGCCAGGCTGGTCTTGAACTCCTGACCTCGTGATCCACCTGCCTTCGCCTCCCAGAGTGCTGGGATTACAGGCGTGAGCCACCGCGCCTGGCCAGGACTCCTCTCTTTCTTTTTTTTTTTTTTATTTTTTTTCCGAGACAGAGTCTAGCTCTGTAGTCCAGGCTGGAGTGCAGTGGTGCAATCTTGGGCTCACTGCTACCTCCGCCTCCCGGGTCCCAGTTCAAGCAATTCTCCTGCCTTAGCCTCTTCAGTAGCTGGGATTATAGGCACATGCCACCATGCCCAACTAATTTTTGTATTTTTAGTGGAGACAAGGTTTCACCATGTTAGCCAGGCTGGTCTTGAACTCCTGACCTCGTGATCCACCTGCCTCATCCTCCCAAAGTGCTGGGATTACAGGCATGAGCCACCGCTCCTGGCCAATTCCTCTTTATTTCAGTGGGCCCATTCAAAATATCAATTCCTCTTTCTTTCAGTGGGCCCATTCAAAATATGTCCAGACTCTGACCAGTGTTCATCCTTTCACTCCCTGTGCTGGTCCCAGCCCCATCTTCTTCTTTCTTGTTGATCTTCCTTCTCTCTTTGTCATCCTAGAGTCTCTTTAGCAAATAACAGCAGAGCCATCTGCATAAAACATATTGGCCACTGCTCTGCCTTGAACCGCCCTGGCTCTTCACTGCTGACTCAGGCGGGGCTCTACCCGACCTCCCTGGCATGACACGTTGTGCTCCTGGGACACACCAGCCTCAGGGCCTTTGCATGTGTGGTGCCTGGCACTTGGACCCTGTTCCCCCGACACCTGCCTGGGTTGCGCCCCATGTCTGCCCAGGTACCCTTTGGCACCAAGGTCTTCCCTGTGGCTACGTTAGTAGTGCCACTCCCCGTTCCTGCGTTACTGTTCTCTGCAGTGTTGACCACCGGCCCACGTGGCTGCTGCTTCCTTGTTTGCCCTCCGCCAGGTCAGCTTTGCCAGTGCTGCTGTGTCCCTTGTGTGTGGGTGCGTCTTCGGCACTGCATCTGGGCTAGAGGTGGGAGGAGGAAGGTGGTGTGGGAGTGGGGCGGGGAAGCAGGCTGTCCTCCCATCTTCAGCACTGCAGCTGGGCTGGAGATGGGAGGAGGAAGGTGGTGGGGCAGGGGGGCAGTGGGGGGCAGGCTGTCCTCCCAGTGTCCCCCCTGGGCTTGTGCATTGGGAGGGGCTCTGTGTGGTCACCCCAGTCCCCTGCTCCACCCCCACCCAGCTCCCCTCCACAGGTCTTGCATTCTGTCCCCGGGAGCACCAGGTCTTTGCTGCCTCAGGGCCTTTTCTATTGTTTTACCTTTTGTTGAGGTCCTCTGACCCCACCTCCGCCAGACCTGAGATGAGATCAGAGTCGTGTTAGACTTTTGGCTGCAGAATCTGCCCTTCCCTCAGAAGGGGAAATCCAAGGCCATGGTTCCTCCTCACTGGCGTGCACAGTCGTGCTTCCCACTAAGCTGCAGATTTCTCTATAAGGACTCAGATTCCTTGGTTGTCAGCTCAGCGTGTTTGGTGGAGGGGAGAGCAGAGCAGAGCGTGAAGGTGCTGGGAGGCCTGCCTCAAAGTTGGCAAAACCCACAGCGTCTCAGAGCTGCGTTCATGTTCTAGTTCCTGCCTCTGTGCCAGTGAGACCAGAAAACCAGGCCACTCAAAAGCCTCTTGCGTGTGCTCTCTATGAATGGAGGCTGGGGCAAGGGCAGGACCCCTGGGCCTCAGGCGAGAAGAAGCAGATTTACCCTCAGCTTTCTTCCTGTCTGTGGCATTGGCTGTGCCCCGGATTTTAGGAGCCTTGGCCCTTCTCATCCGAGAAGCACCTCTAACGCGAACCCTCCTTCGCGCAGCTATAGCTGCAAAGATGAACCGTCTTTGAATTGTACAAAAGCTTATGGTCATTCTCCTACTCTCTGTAGGAAGCTTGCTGTCTTCGATACGTGGAGCTCCTTGGCGGTCCACATTGCAATGGACAACACTGTTGTGATGGAGGAAATCAGTAAGTGGCTCAGAGTTTCCATGGACAAGAAAGTTGAAATCACGGGCAACATACACACTTCCTCGCCTGAGTCCCCACGGGAGCCTCGGCGAGTGTTGTCAGTCGCCCCATGCCGTGCAGGTGCTCCGTGGGGCCTGTGCGCCAAGCCAGATGCACGGTGGCCTCGCTCTCCTATCCCGGCGGTCATACCAAGAGAGGAGAGCCCAGGCTGTCTGGAGGCCGCGACTTGGTATCTCACGTCGTGTTTTGTGTCTTGGTTACAAATCGTTTATGAAGGCCCTGCTGTGCTTAGGCGCCCTCGTGTGGGAATTCTGGTGAAGTTATTTTGCGTGCCTTGATGTGCGACAGAGAGATGTAGCAACCATCTCTAGCTGCACCATCTCGAGCAAAGGCACGTCGTGAAGGCAGAGCTCTTTTCAGCTTTCTGGAAGAAAGGTCTGCTGCAACCCTGAAGGAACCTGGGCGTGGCAACATTTACATCTAGGAGGAAAACTGTGGCTCAGTTTTAACAAATGGGCTCATTGAGTGAGTTCCAAATTCATGTTTCACCTTCCATGATGTAGCCAAGCTGAGAACTCTTAAAAATGCCTCATTGCCTTTTTCACTCAGGGCCACCTTTTTCCCAAGGAACTTCTCAAAACTCCCTCAATTCCAATTTTATTGAAGTTCTACATGTAGGCTATTGCCTTGAATCCAATTTTCCATAAGAAAGAGCTCATTTAGGCCGGGCGCGGTGGCTCATGCCTGTAATCCCAGCACCTTGGGAGGCCGAGGTGGGTGGATCATGAGGTCAGGAGTTCAAGACCAGCCTGGCCAACATGGTGAAACCCCGTCTCTACTAAAAATACAGAAACTAGCTGGGCATGGTGGCACGCGCCTATAGTCCCAGCTACTCGGGAGGCTGAGGCAGAAGAATCGCTTGAACCTGGGAGGCGGAGGTTGCAGTGAGCCTTGATCACGCCACTGCACTCCAGCCTGGCCACAGAGCGAGAATCCGTCCCCCGCCCCCCAAAAAAAAGACCTCATTCAGAGCCACAGCCGTAACTGCGCACAGATTCACAGTGGGAGTGGGTCCTGCCCTGTGACTGTGGGTGTGCCAGGTCACCACACAGGTGTGTGCTGGGTCACAGACACGCCCCTTCCCTGCCTCTCCATTCTGTTTCTTCATCGTCTGGCCATCCTCGGGGGCATTGTGACACAGCGGAGGGAGTGAGGCAGGACTTTATAAGGGAGAGTGAGGCTGGCTTCTGCAGCATTGAGAGCTTTGCCACAGCAGGCTCTCCTTCCAGGATTCTGTTCCTCAGAGACTTGAACTTGGGATCATAACCAAAGGGTGTTTGTTTCTTCCATCTGCCTTTTTCCTCCATTCTGTTTCTTGAAATTTTTATAAAACATTGGAAACACAGGAAGAGTACAAAGAAAGAGAAAAATTATTGATTTTACCACTCAGAAATAACTCATATGAGCATTTTGACATTCTTACTCTCAGTATTTCTCCTGTGCTTTTCAAAAACTTACATAGTTTCCTAAGTATTTTCTCCTGGCCATGAGTGACAGCATTGTAATTATTAACTGGCTACACAATATACTATTATACCTTAGTTCCCTGTTCACTGCCCCATCCTCCCTCCCGTGTTTGGGGAAATCACTTACCCCCTCGTTCCGCACGCGTGCTCAGGATCTCACCAAGTCACACCTCAGTCCCTGGCCTCGGATTAGGGAGGCTGTTGCTGGGTGCAGTGGCCAGGAAGGCGCAAGGGTCAGGGCTTCCTAGAACCTCCGTCCCTCTGGGTGCAGGTAGCACTGGTGGGAGTGTTGGGGGCAGCTTGTCTGTGTGGACTCCAGCTCCGTCCCTTCGGGAGTCTCAGGGCTGCCCAAAGCAGTGCTGCTGAAACGTGGCTTGTCAGAGTGAGAGTGGAGTCAGGTCCTGGAAGAGCTTGAATCTGCATTTCCCAGCCCCTGGGGATGGTGGCTCCCGGGAGGATGTGGAGGCTGCCTGGTCTGACTGGCTTCGTCTCACTGCGTCAGCTGCCTGAAAGGACACTGTTCCTCACAGGAGCATGTGGAAGGTGCCTGATGCCCCCATTTAGGAAGAAAGGCATCCACATCCAGCCAGCAAAGGCACTGGCATTGATGCACAAGGCTTGGGTTTCTGGGTTCCTGAGTGTGGCGTGGTGTTGTGAGGAGGACATCGGGGTCGTTCTGAATGACCCCTACCAAAAGCCCCAGGAGGGAGTAGTGGGGGGAGGGCAGGAAGCAGGCTGCTTTTTTCAGTCGTGCTGCTAAGAGTGCGCAAGGGAGGACGTCTGAGGAAGAAGTCCGCAAAGCCGAAGCTAGAGAAACAGACGTGTCCTTGGCTAAGCAAGGACTTTTCTTCTAGTTTCTCGGAACTGCTTGTGGAAGGAGCAGTTAGATAGGAGAAGACTGATGCCATTCAGAAATTCCACTAAAGCTTCTTCCTGCAGCGAAAGAGCTGCCTGACGGTGTTCCCACTCAGATTTTAGGTGAAGCCTGTGGGGTAAGGGGAGACCTTACTGCCTACAGTGTCCCCATCCACCAACCCATCCCCCCCGCAACTCATCCTTCTGTCCACCCCCAGTCAAAGGCCAGCCAGGACATCCTTAGCATGCTCTTCTTGTCCTTAACGTTGATGGGCTTAGACCTTTCTAACGACAGTAGACAGAATGTCACTGAATGTAGGGAGGAAATACAGATTGGAAAACGTGTCAGTCTGGCAGTGAGGACAAATGACTCCAATGAAAGAAAAGTAAATACCAGAGCAAGCACAGTCAGAAACAGAGTGGGGAGGAGAATCACAATAGCTGGAACTCAACTCTCTGAGAGGCAGTGCAGCCAAATAGAGGCAGCTGAGAGCAGAGTATGTGGATTAGAACTTTTCGGGAGAGTTGGCCACTGAAGGAGTAGGAGAAAATTCCCCTGAGTTGGTGAGAGTTGAGTCTTTAGAGCTAAAGACCCCCAAATTTTTTTATCAGAAGTACTTAAACATACATGTTCCTGATAATATTTCCAAATTGCAGAAGTAAAGGGAAACTTCTCTAAACATCCAAATAATAGTATCACTACTAAGCTGCTTTGAAGAAAGGCAGTCTCAACTGGCCTGGGCATCTCATCTTTGTGCCATACCAAATGCTACTGGAAAATGTTTAGAATTCTGAGAAAAGACCTGGCTTCATGAGGTGAGAGTAGGTATGTGTACTGTGTAGTTGTCATTGATAGAGAAATATAAATTTTAAATGTGTTCAAAATATAAAGAGAACACGAGAAAATTTCAGGTGGTGGCAGGAATAGGCAAAAGCCCGTTGCACCCTGTTGACAGCAGGGTGTTTGTGACGTGGTAGGTCACACACTCAGTGCTGGGCTCTGGAGGCACAGAAGCAACCGGCCCAGCTACGCATCAGCCCTTGAGCCGATTCATGTGTTCGATCATATTCCTGAGACAGTAGGGTCTGTGCAGGTAACAAAGCACCAGTCAGCAGGAAACTCACCACCGGGAAGCCTTTCTATCAAAACATAACTTCAAAATCAGTAAAGTGGGCCGGGCATGGTGGCTCACGCCTATAATCCCAACTTCAAAATCAATAAAGCGGGCCGGGCGCGGTGGCTCACGCCTATAATCCCAACTTCAAAACCAATAAAGTGGGCCGGGCGCGGTGGCTCACGCCTATAATCCCAACTTCAAAATCAATAAAGCGGGCCGGGCATGGTGGCTCACGCCTATAATCCCAACTTCAAAACCAATAAAGCGGGCCGGGCGCGGTGGCTCACGCCTATAATCCCAGCACTTCGGGAGGCCAAGGTGGGTAGATCACATGAGGTCAGGAGTTAAAGACCAGCCTGGTCAACATCGTAAAACCCCATGTCTACTAAAAAAAAAGTTAGCTGGGCATGGTGGCACGCCCTCGTAATCCCAGCTGCTCGGGAAGCTGAGGCACGAGAATTGCTTGAACCTGGGAGGCAGAGGCTACAGTGAGCTGAGATCATGCCACTGCACTCCAGCCTGTGTGACACAGTAAGACTGTGTCTCAAAAAACCAAAACAACAAAAAATAATAAAAATATATAGAAAACAGAATAATTAACAGATTAGCTATGGAAAGATCAAAGCTACAGGGGACCCAGATAACACAACAGGCAGAGTTTAGTAGATACGTGTCAAACCCTAGATTGTGACAGCAGAGTGTGCCTGGGAATTTCTATGAAACTAATGCGGAATAAAATGAAAAAAGGACAAAACCCTGCTGCCTGGAAATGTGAAACCTCAAAAAAGTCAAGTGTAGAGACCGTAACTATGTATCTGAACCTGATGTGTACAGAACTCAGAAGAAAACCTGTGTATCTTCAGTACTAGTATATGGGTTCTTTACAAAGTGAAAATTAATGAAATAAGCATACAACTCAAGAATTCGGAAAAAGCAAAATTAACTGAAGAAACCAAAGAATAATATTAAAGACAAATACAGAAATTAATGATTTAAAGGAAGAAATGTATTAGGCCAGGTGTAGTGGCTCATGTTTGTAATCCCAGCACTTTGTGAGGCTGAGGCAGGAGGATTGCTTAAAGCCAGGAATTCAAGACCAGCCTGGGCAACATAGCCAGACGTCTATTTTTTTTTTTTTTTTGGAACAGTTCTGCTCTGTCGCCAGGCTGGAGTGCAGTGGTGGCACGATCTTGGCTCACTGCAATTTCCGCTGCCCAGGTTCAAGTGATTCCCCTGCCTCAGCCTCCTGAGTAGCTGAGACTACAGGTGCATGCCACCACGCCTGGCTAATTTTTTGTATTTTAGTGGAGATGGGGTTTCACCATATTTCACCATGTTGGCCAGGATGGTCTTGATCTCCTGACCTCATGATCTGCCCACCTTGGCCTCCCAGAGTGCTGGGATTACAGGCGTGAGCCACCGTGCCTGGACCTCATTCTATAAAATATTTTAAAAATAAATTTTAAAATTAAATTTATTAGAACTAACACATACTAGAACTGGCTCTTTGAAGCAATAACATATATGTTTTAAAAAAATCAAAGTTAAAATCCCTCCCTTGGCTAAGCACTGTGGCTCCCGCCTGTAATCCTAGCACTTTGGGAGGTGGAGGCAGGCAGATTGCTTGAGTCCAGGAGTTTGAGACCAGCCGCCTAGGTAACATGGTAAAACCTCATCTCTACAAAAAAACAAAACAAAAAAACTAGCCGGACATGGGGGCATGTACCTGTAGTCCCACCTACTCGGGAGTCTGAGGTGGGAGGATCCCATGAGCCTGGGAGGTTGAGGCTGCAGTGAGACATGATTGCACCACTTCACTCCAGCCTGGGTGACACAGTAAGACCCTGTCTCAAAAACCAAACAGAAACCCAAACAACTCCCTTAAGGCTGGGCGTGGTAGCTCCTACCCATAATCGCACCTCTCAGGGAGGCTGAGTTGGAGGATTGCTTGAGACCAACCTGGACAACTCCCTCTCTATAAGAAATAGAAAAATGAGGCCAGGCACATGGCTCATGTCTGTAATCTCAGCACTTCGGGAGGCTGAGGTGAGCAGATCACTTGAGGTCAGGAGTTCGAGACCAGCCCGGCCAATGTGGCAAAACCCCGTCTCTACTAAAAATACAAAAATTAGCTGGGCGTGGTGACACACACCTGTAATCCCAGCTACTGGGGAGGCTGAGGCAGGAGAATTGCTTGAGCCCAGAAGGCGGAGGTTGCAGTGAACCGAGATTATGCCACTGCACTCCAGCCTGGACAACAGAGAATCGGCTTCAAAAAAGAAAAGTCAGGGGGCACAGTGGCCCACACCTGTTGTTCCAGCTACTCGGGAGGCTGAGGCGGGAGGATTGCTTAAGTGCAGGTGTTTGAGGCTGCAGTGAGCTGTGGTTGCACCACTGCACTGCAGCCTGGGTGACAGAGTGAGACCCCGTCTCTAAAAGAAATTTAAAAAGTTCTGTCTCAGAATCCTTGTTTTCCAGCTGTCTGTTTTGAGAAATTTGAGTCCTACAAAAAAGTTCAGTGAGTCATGGCCACAAACCCTCCACCTAGATCCACCAATTGTGTTTTGACACGCTTGGTTTTTATGAGCAAGCCTCCTACGAATGAGAGTGTTCCTGAGAGCCACACAGCCTCATCACCACAAAAGAGGTGACGCCACGACTCACCAGGGTCCGTCTTGGCCCCTTGCTGTCCAGGGAACAACCCGTGCCGCTGATTTGTGTTCCTGGTTGAGGGTCCGGTGCTGTGTGTATATAGTTGTGATGTCTTTCTAGTCTTTAATTGAGAAGGTTCTGCCTCTTTGTTGTGGTTGTTGCTGCTTTGTGGCATTTTTGACGAGTTCAGGTCAGCTGACCATCCCACACGCTGGATTTGTCTGCTTCCTCACAGTTGGGCTTGGGTTGAGCCTGTGGCTGAGAGTAGCCTCTGGGTGGCAGTGTCCTCTGCTCTCCCATCCGGGGCCTGCAGTGGGACACTATGTCAGATCCCCGGAGATGGTGTCTTTTTTCCTTTGTAATTAATGAATAATCCAGTGGTGACACTGAGCATGTCCTGGTGAGCTGTGTGACTCCTGCCTGATAATGGTGGTTTTTCTAGCCTGTCCTTTCCTTTCACGTTTATTGGTTGGCGTTCTGAGAAGAGCCGCCTTTTCTCCCATCACTTAGTGTGCAGTGTGCTACCTGTCACCTGTCTGTCACCTGTCAGTCACTGTCACCTGTCACTGTCACTGTCACCTGTCACTGTCCATCTTTTTGATGCTTGACGGTTCCACCTTTGGCCGGTGGCCACCTCAGTCTGGTGGTGTCTTTTGCCGTGTTCTGGCGTTTTTCGTTTATGTTTTGAGCCCTCCCTTATGTTCTGGGTTAAGCAGATGCTGCAGGCACCTCTGAACATTCCCTGCCTGGCCCTGGAATCAGCCTGGCTCCTCTGAGTGGGGAGTGGTGTTGAGAAACCTCGATCTAGACGCCGGGCATGCTCCATGCTCCCGGAGTGTCTTCTCCCATCACCGCACCCTCCGGTTGATGTGTCCTCCGGACCATTGACTCACGGGTGTGTGTAGGCAGAAGGGGTGGAAGCGAGGAAAGGCGTTGCTGAGGAGGCCCGGAGGGAGCGGGTTCTGGCTGTGCTGGCACTAGCCAGGCTGGCAGGCTGCGTGGGTACTTCTGTGATTTTCCTCTCAAGTGCACGTGGCTTTTTCTTGCACTGTTTCGTGTGTGTGCTTTATTTCACAATAAAACTCTTGAATTAAGTATGCATAGAAACTATTTCTTTTTTCTCTGGGTGGCAAGATTATGAAAAAATTTTCTTACGCTTTTCTATATTTTCCAAGTTTGAATTTCACTGTAAGCACCTGGCTTTGTACCGCCCTTTTTCTGTTACACAGTCATCATTTGCTTGCTTGTTGTGGGAGCACTTTTGCACAGGTCTGCTTGGTTAGTGAAAGCATGTCTCCCTTTCTAGGAAGGTTGTGCAGGACCAGCGTTCCCTGTGCAGGCGCCACTGCGTTTCCTGCAGATTCCGACCGGCACTGCAACGGATTCCCTGCCGGAGCTGAGGTCACCAACAGGCCGTCGCCATGGAGACCCCTGGTACTTCTCATTCCCCTGCGCCTGGGGCTCACGGACATCAACGAGGCCTACGTGGAGACGCTGAAGGTGGGTCCTGCCGTGCGGCGCTTGCCCTGAGTCCCCGTCCCCTTCTCCCAGTTCTTAGTCACTTTCAGCGCATCGTCGTCACGTGGCCATTTGTGCAGCCGGCTCTCGGGGGAGGGGTAAACAACCCTGGTTTACACCGTTGCCCAAGGGGTGAGTGGGCGTGAGGCACGTCCATCAGTAGGCACGTGCTGCTTTCGTTCTGCAAGTGTCAAGGCGAGTGTCGAGGATGAAAGCATGAGGCGCTTGCAGGGGGTCCTTGGAACCAGGTGCCACTCCTCGGCCTGACGGGGAGCCCCGCCCCCTCCCGGGTCTCCACTGTGCCCCAGGCATGCCCACCCCACTCCCCCACAGCCCTCTTGGCCTGAGGTCCCTTCGGAGGGTGGGTTGGCCTGTGAGGAAGGGACGTGTGGGCAGGGCCTGGGGATGGGCAGGGCTGTGTGAGGAGCTCCAGCCACAGGCTCCCCCATGTCATGAAAGCAAAAGGGGGCGGGGAGCGGTGGCTCATGACTGTAATCCCAGCACTTTGGGAGGGCAAAGCGGGCAGATCACGAGGTCAGGAGTCTGAGACCAGCCTGGCCAACATGGTGAAACCCTGTCTCTACTAAAAATATAAAAATTAGCCGGGCATGGTGGTGCGCGCCTGTAGTCCCAGCTACACAGGAGGCTGAGGCAGGAGAATCTCTTGAACCCAGGAGGCGGAGCTTGCAGTGACCCGAGATCATGCCATTGCACTCCATCCTGGGTGACAGAGTGAGACTCCATCTCAAATAAAAAAAAAAAAAAAGCAAGCAGAAGGGAAAACCATCCTTTCTTCAGGTAACTCAAATTTTAGACCAAGGAGTCACATTTGTATGGAACTGAAATGTGGCTTCCTGTTAAAATTATTCAGTTGTCTGAACTTGGCCCCTCCGTCCAGCCTTCTGCCCATCCTGTGGGGTCTCAGCTGCCCCCACACATAGGCCCCGTCTCCATCGCTTCTGCCCTGTCAGGTCAAAGCACTCAGCAGGGCCACCTCCCGCACCCCTGCTCACATCTCCTGCCAGGCCCCCTCACTCCCGGCCTCCCCAAAGCCCACCTCTGACATGAAGCTTCCCTGAGCTGAGCCTGCAGATTGGGTTTCTTGTGCCTGTGGGATGTCCTGTGGTCTTTCCTGGACAGTAAGCTCTTTGGTACCATGTCCCCTCCTGTCCCCTCTTGTGTCACCCAGTTGGGCCTCAGCAGGCCCTTGGGCCCCCTATGGCAGTGGGTGGGGGGACCGTCTGCTCCCACCTGGGACCTGTGCTCAGTCCCCCGCCCCTCCACAGCACTGCTTCATGATGCCCCAGTCCCTGGGCGTCATCGGAGGGAAGCCCAACAGCGCCCACTACTTCATCGGCTACGTTGGTGAGTCCAGGGTTCCCACCGTGTCCCTGTGGGCCTGGGCCTTTTAAGGGCATTCCATGAGCAGGTACCACACCCCAGGTGACCACTTGAGGCCACTGGTGGAAAAGCAGCATGCCCTGGGGTTCATTTTCAGCCTGGTCGCGGGCGGCCTCCTGTGTGCCCCTTTCCCTGATGGTCTGGTGCCCTCGGCTCCCTCCCCACCTCCTGCCCACTGCTTCTCAGTGTGATGTGGGTGCAGTGGGTCTGAAATGCGGCCTCCTCTGTCCCTTTCCTCTGCCGGCTCGGCCACCCACCTGCCCACCTGCCTCATCCTCCCAGGTGAGGAGCTCATCTACCTGGACCCCCACACCACGCAGCCAGCCGTGGAGCCCACTGATGGCTGCTTCATCCCGGACGAGAGCTTCCACTGCCAGCACCCGCCGTGCCGCATGAGCATCGCGGAGCTTGACCCGTCCATCGCTGTGGTACGTGGCGGCCACCTGAGCACACAGGCATTTGGTGCTGAATGCTGTTTGGGAATGACGAGGAAAACTTTCGGATTTTTGCGTTTTTTTTTTCAGCATGTTGGGATAAGTACTGTGTTCACGTGGTTGGGAATCTGAAGGGTATAAGAGCCGGAACTGTGTCCTTGCACCCTCACGTCCCTCCCCCAGGCACCACCTCCTGTGCAGCCTTCATGGCCTTCGAGTGGCCCAGAGAGCGTGTGTCTGGATGTGAGCGTGTGTGGGCGCGTGCTGAGTGTGCATGGATGAGTGTGAGCCATGGTGAGTGTGTCCCCCTCACACCTACATTTAAACACACGGGCGGCCCCTCCACCCACCCCTGCACCACCTTCGTCACACCCACATTTAAACACGGGCGGCCCCTCCACCCACCCACTCCTGCACCACCTTTTGTTTTCCGGAGGCTCTGACTTGACCTCTCTGGGGGATTTCCTAAGAAGGAGCTTCCCTGTTTTTCCATTTTGATTACCTAGTTGTGATTTTTGGTGTGTGATTTATGCAGACCTGCCTGCCCTCAAATATATTTGATGGGGAAAGAGGCCAAAAAACCCCCCTAGAAATCATGAATGACGGTGACATGCTCAGGGAAGCAGTTAACCGAATCGGGGGCTCTGTTGTGGATGCTCCGCCCCATTTAGGAGGAAGAAGGCAGATCTGGGCCTGAAATGGGACGGTCTCTGAGCTGTGGCGCAGCCCCAGAGTGCACACCACGCTCCATGCACCTCCTGGGCAGGGTGGCAGTAGTGGGGAACATGGGCTGGAGCTCTGTGGCTCACACTTTTTGTTTGTTTGTTTGTTTTTGAGACGGAGTCTCACTCTGTCGCCCAGGCTGGAGTGCAGTGGCACGATCTCGGCTCACTGCAAGCTCCGCCTCCCAGGTTCACGCCATTCTCCTGCCTCAGCCTCTGGATTAGCTGGGACTACAGGCACCCGCCACCACGCCTGGCTAATTTTCTGTATTTTTAATAGAGACGGGTTTTCACTGTGTTAGCCAGGATGGTCTTGATCTCCTGACCTCATGATCCACCCACCTCGGCCTCCCAAAGTGCTGGGATTACAGGCGTGAGCCACTGCGCGCAGCCTGGCGCACACTTCTTACCAGAACCTAGTCACGAATTCCTCGTCGAACTAGAATTAGGTATGTTTGTTACTGTAAACGCAGCTTGGTGGCTTACAGTGATTGGCACTCTAACAGTCAGGTCAGGCTAGAGAGCCAGCCACCGCAGACAGAGGAGTGGACGCGTGAACGTTGAGTTGAGACCAAAGGGGCCACCTGGTGGGATAACTGTCCTCACCCGTGAGGAGGAGGAATGTCCCCTGTCCCCGGGGGAGAGTGCTCCTACACCAGCGCCGAGGCGGCAGAATGGTGTCTTCAGGGGAAGAGAGTGCCCAGTTTGAGCTTCTCCCCCCATTTCGTTTCTTTTTGTGTTAACATCTGCGCATCTGGCAGCGTTGAGAATTCCTAGTGACTGTCATTACAGGCGGCAGCTTTAAGGATGTGATTGCCGGTGACCCTTGGCCGGTCCCCTGTCTCCTGGCTCCTCAGCAGGAGGCTCCCTGTGTCACGGTGTCCTTGGGCAGTTCTCGGTGGCCTTTGCCGCCAAGCTTCCAGGGAGCTGCTGGGCGAAGGCTGAGACCCAGCGGCCCTGCCTCACAGTCACAGAGAGAAGAGCTCCCCACTTGGCCCTAACTCATAACCTGCCCCAATCCCGGAACACTCGGTGAGGTTTGAGAGATGCACACCACGTAACATCTCGTGGGCGAATCAAGGCACAGCAACGCAGTGGAGCCTGAGGGGAGCCGGGCACTGGTGCAGGGGACCATGCACAGGGCACCCTCGGAGCTCCGTTCCTGGCCACAGGAGCCAAGGCAGGCTGGAATGTCCAGCACCTGCATGCTGGGGGCCTCTGCTGCGCCACTGGCAGTGGGAATGGAAGCCCCCACCTCTTAGCCGACTGCAGATGGGGGTGTCGTGTTCTGCTCATCGTCATTTCGTTTTAGGGGTTTTTCTGTAAGACTGAAGATGACTTCAATGATTGGTGCCAGCAAGTCAAAAAGGTTTGTAGCCGCCCCACACCCACAGCCGAGCTGAGCCACCCAGGGAGACAGGCAGTGGGGCGTGCAGGGGTCGAAGGCCTGCGTCCAGGTCTCAGGCAGCCTCACTGGGCCGTGGGGAGCTTTGTCCCGCCTGGCACAGCTATGTAGCTGAGCAGGGTGGGGCGTCCTGGATTGCCCATCTGGCAACACAGTTAACAACCCTGGGGACGGATGTTGCGTGTTGACTTTAGAATGGGATTTCCAGTGTCCTCATCCGTCTCCTGTTGAGATGGGGGTGGTGATGGGGTGCTGAGCTACGCCGGCCGAGTGCGTGTGGCCCACCCCCCTCTGCCGTGGTGGTCAGACTGTGCTGTGTGTTGATCACCACACTGGGTTCTCGTGTAGCCTTTAGTGTGGAGCTGCCTCTGTTTTCTCATCAGTGAGATGGGATGACAGGTTTGTCCGCTGGCTGTGGCCGGCTGGCCCCTTTCTCTTGGCCGCAGCAAGCACTGGGGTGAGGCTGCACCTAACGGCCATGTCTCACTAACAGCTGTCTCTGCTTGGAGGTGCCCTGCCCATGTTTGAGCTGGTGGAGCTGCAGCCTTCACATCTGGCCTGCCCCGACGTCCTGAACCTGTCCCTAGGTGAGAGCTGCCAAGTCCAGGTGGGGTCCCTCGGAGGTACGATCTGTGCCCTTGCTTCCCCAGTCCTGGCCCCCTTGGTTTTGACCATTAAGGTGTGTGTGAGCCTGAGCCGTGAGCACTTGGCAGTGGTTCGCCTGTGAGACCAGGTATGGAGTGGAGCGTCCCCTCCTCCAAGCTTGCGCCCAGCAGCCCAGGACCCACCTCGTCTTCCCCACCAGCGCTGCCTGCCCGGGCGCTGTGGAGCTGGGCGTGCTACCATGGAGTCCTCAGGGGTCTGGAGCAGACAGAACATGCAGGCTCTGTGGTGACGCAGTCCTGGGTGGGGGACTGGTTCACTTGGGCACCACTGGCCATGGGTGGCGTAGACCCCTCGGACCATGGCCAGCGTGCCGCAGGAGCCGGCCTGGGCTCGTGCAGTGAAGTGAGTGGCCGTGAGCGCGTCCTCCTCATCTCTGTCTCCCTGTGGGAAACTCTACAAACAAGGCAATGGCAATGGAACCACTCCTGATGACCACGAGGGTCAGACGCGGGACAGAGGCCCCTCAGGCCTGAGATTGTGCCGGCCGCCCCCTGCCCTCCTCACCCTGCCCTGCTCCTCTTCTCTGCTCCCTCCCCCCATATTCGCAGGTCTGCACAACCCCCGGACCTGTTCACACCCGCATGGGGACAGCTGTCTGTGGGCTGCAGAGCAGGCACTGCTCAGTCTGCCCCACGCCAAGGGCCCTTGACTCACACCCAGGTGGCCCACCCAAGATGCCTGATGCGCTATGTCCTGTTCCTTCTAGATTCTTCTGATGTAGAGCGACTGGAAAGATTCTTCGACTCAGAAGATGAAGACTTTGAAATCCTGTCCCTTTGAAAATCCTGGGGTCGGGGGTGGCACCTGTGAGAGCCTGGGGCTCCTGGTGCCGCTGCGTTTCATCCATCCCGCCCGCTCGCCTGCCGAGGGCTGCGCCCCGTGCTGCCTCCCCCCAGAGGGCCACCCGCTGTGCTCGTGGACTGAGGCTGCGCTGCCCGGGAGGCCTTACTGCTTGGTGTCAGACTGCCCAGCTCAGAGTGCCCGTCAGGGCCTGTGCATCCGCACGCGGAGCCGTCTGTTAGGAGCTTCCAGAGTGTTCTCTCGACACTGCCAGCCCCGTGTTAGCACCTGGGCCTCAGTCCCACTTGCTCCCAGGCGCCGGTTCTGTGGTTGGTTTGGAATTAAAGTCCTGTTTGAAGTTGTCAGACACAGACATGAATTTCTGGGCGCTCCCTGAGTCAGAGTCTCAGAAGACCTGTGCAGGCTGGCGTGAGAGGAGCGGCAGCCACACTGCGGCCCCACGCCCAAGGACTGGGCTGCTCTCGAGGGGGGCGCGCCCACCGCTGTGTCCTCTCTGCCCAGCCTGGCTTACCAAGGGCTACCTCAGTGGGAGATGAGGTTGGAGGAACGAAGGCGAGGTTCCTCCTTGCTTTGGGGAGAAAAGTATTCAGGAAGTGGGTGTGTGGGAAACCTGAAGATGGCGTGCACAGGACACAGCGTGGGCGGCCTGGGCAGAAGGGCGGCTGGCTGTCCTGGAGCTGCTGCTGGAGCCTGCCCTCAGAGTGTCCCTTTCCAGTGCTGTGGCATTCTGTGGCAGCTTCCCCAGGTGTGGTGACGGGGGGGGGGCGGGGCCTCCACCTGTGACAGCCAGGCTTGAGGGTGGACGGCGTGCCTCTCCCAGGAGCCTTCCCCATGTCCTTGCCTTGCTGAGAATTGCCCTCCCATGCCGCTGAGGTGTTAGGTGGTTTAGGGCCAAAAGGGGAAAACCACTTGAGTCTTGTGGTGTGTGGTGGGCAGACACCACAGGGTGGCATCACCTGGTGGCATTTCCAGAACCTCAGCCCCGATTCCAGCACCCACCACCGCCTGACCCTGTGTAACCTGCTGTCCCGGGTCCCAGAGTGCACTCTGCCCCGCTGCTCTGCTGCCTGTCCTGGGAAAGTATCTTTGCCCCACTAGGAAATGTAAACAGGAGGGCTTGGGGAGCGTGGGCACTTTTCTCATGAGCAGCTACTGCGGCGTTGGCAGGACTCGCTGCTGCTGCTGCTGCTTGTGTAGGTCGGGGAGCCAGAGATCCCCGAGGACGCGCGCCGGACAGTCGGCACTGACCGGCCCACCTGGTAGCAGAGGACACCCCCAGCCCCCCAAGCATTGAAGACATAGTGTATTTCCTCGTATCCTTTCTCCCTTGGGTGTAGTTGGGGTGGGGAAGCAGGGAAGGCTGGTGCGATCTCCATTCCTTGGGCTCCACGTCCGAGTTCATGGTGCGCCGCTGTGCTGGGAGCTGCAGTGGTAATGTGTGGGACACCTTGACCAAAGGGGAGCTTTGTCTCGTGTGTTTTGAAAAAGGCTTAATGAAGAGAATGTTGTTCATTCTTAGTAGTATAGTTTGCAATTCTTAATGGCAAATAATAAGTTTCAGTAGAAAACAAACCTTGTGTCTATTTTTTCCTTAAGTTCTAATTGAATGTGAGTTCCAGAAAAAAAATAAGTGAATGTTTCAGCCCGTTCACACGTAAAGGATGTGGCTGCCTGCGTGGCGGGCTGTGGGGCCCTGAGCAGGTGTGTCCCCAGCCCTGGCAGGGGGCCTGTCCTGCCTGCAGCCTGGCTCTCTACCAGCCGTGGCATCAGCCACCTCATACAACCCTAGAAGGAAAAAGTGCAAGGAAAATAGGATTTTAGGAAAGTAAAATGGCGGTTCCCATCTTCAGCAGGAGGAAGTCACAGGAAGTGCCTGGAGTTGCAGGGTTTGCCTCGATTTGAATCATAGCAAAGCCTTCCCCAAGTGCGCAGTGACTGTCCTGGCCTGTGGGAGGCCATGCCTGGGGCACAGCAGGGGGCTTGGTGAGGACATTGCTCACTCTGGCCAGTGCATCCCTGTGGGCAGCCCTGGTATAGGTGTGAAGGGCCCAAAGCCAGATCGGAGGGGGCCCTGCTGGGTCCCCGGTGAGGTGGCTGAGGACTTGTGGCCTCTCCGATGCTCGTATTCGCTTCTTGTGGCTGCTCTAAAAGATGATCACATTCAGTGCCTGGAACAGCACAGCCTCTTCCAGACCCGGAGGGCAGACAGCCATATCGTGCTGTGGGCTCTAGGGGAGAACGTTGCTGTGCCTTTCTAGCTTCTGGATGCCAGAAACTGCTTGGCTCATGGCTCTTTCCTCCAACCACACAGCCAGCAACATGGCATCTCTCCAGCTTTTGCTGTTGGCATCTCATTTCCTGACTCGGACCGCCTGCCTCCCTGTTATGCGGACCCGTGATGGGCCAGGCATGGTGGCGCCAGCCTGTAATCCCAGCACTTTGGGAGGCTAAGGTGGATCACTTGAGCCCAGGAAAGAGAGGCTGCAGTGAGTCAAGATTGCACCACTGCACTCCAGCCTGGATGACAGAGTGAGACCCAGTCTTAAGACAACAAAAAAAGGCCCCTGTGATGACACTGGGCCCACCTGGATAGTCCAGGAAAGTCTCATCTGAAGGTTCCTCACCCAGGCCCATCCCACAGCCCCTGGCAATGCTTACCCAAGAGTGAAATCCTTTTGTTTTGCCTGGGTTTGTCTCTTGGCCACAGAAGGGTGCTGAGACCCACAGCTGCTGCCCCCACAGATGGGGGACCCTGCCTGCCTTCTACTCCAGCACACTGTATGCTGCTGTCTATGCGGAGTGTGCTCTGTGGGACAGATTCTGCCAGGAGTGTCAAATCATTCCTTCTAAGTGTCACTTAAAAGGGGATGCAATGGGCTCGGCATGGTGGCTCATGCCTGTACTCCCAGCACTTTGGGGAGGCCAAGGCAGGTAGATCACTTGAGCCCAGGAGTTTAAGACAAGCCTGGCTGGCAACATAGCGAAATCCTGTCTCCACAAAAAAATTACCCAGGCACAGTGAAGGCCTGTAGGCCTAGCTACTCAGGAGGCTGAAGTAGGAGGATCACCTGAGCCCAGGAGGTCAAGGCTGCAGTGAGCCACGATCGTGCCACTGCACTCCAGCCTGGGCGACAGTGAGACCCTGTTTCCAAAAAAATAAAAAATAAAGGATAGGATGAGAAGTTAAGCTCCAGGGTTGCAATGAAAATAGCAGAGTTAACTTAGGTGAGTTCAGGACGTAAGCTGTGATGACACTCGGATATAGCCTGGCTGGACCCAGCGAGCCCAGGGCATGGCTGCAACTGTTCAGACCCACAGTGGGACTCCCTCAACTAGGCAGGAACCAGGGTCCAGGAAGGCCCTACTGGGCCCAATGAAGGCTCTTCTCTCCTGGGATGGAGGTTCCCATTCAAAGCCAGCTCCGTCCTCAGTCTAAGAAAAGTGAAGCGTTCCACAAACAATTTTCAGGTCGTTTTTTACTAGTGTCTGGAAGACATTTAGGAGAATTCCAACTGATTACCATTTACAGTGATCACAATGAAACTGCTCAGAGTTATCACTGAACTTCAGTAAGAAAATACAACAGAGTGCCATCAGGACAGGGGAGAGGGCAGGAGACTGCTCCATCGCTCTGCTCATGTCCACACTGCCAAGGTCCCCACCACGGGGGTCCCCAGTGCACCCCAGCTCCGGGGCAGAAGAGGCAGCCTGCAGATCTCTGCTGCCGGGAAAGAGCTCCTGAAGTTGTGGGGTCTGGACTCTGCTGGGGACGGGGCCTTCCGCGAGTCTCCCACCTCTCGGGGGACTGCAGGGAGAGGCGTCTCCAGTGGGCAGCCTTGGGTCACTTCCATAGCTCCCCCAGCGGCTTCTCTGTGGCAGTGCGGATGGCGTCCTCAGAGAGCACGCGGATGTCCTCATGGACAGCTTCGATGCTTTTGGAAGCATCCACCATCTGTTCCCACCGGGGTTTCAGGAGAAAAAGAGGCTCATCAGCACGTTCCAGGCTGGTCACGGGAGCCCACGCCTGTAATCCCAGCACTTTGGGAGGCCCACGAGGGAGGACTGCTTGTACCCAGGAGTTCAAGACCAGCCTGGGCTACACAGGGACACCCCGTCTCTACAAAAAATGTGGCACCACTCTACTCCAGCCTGGGTGACACAGTAACACCCTGTTTCAAAACAACACCATGTTTCGTTCTGTCCTCTGTGCTCGTGGGGATTTCACACAGGCCGGGCTCTGGAAGGCCAACCTGAACCTCCTGGCACACTGTGGTGACCTCCGGGATACCCCACACCTTTCTCTGAACCTCAACCTTGACAAGTGTCTACGGTAGTCACCCGGCATTCCTGCCACAGCCCTGATGCAGGAGAAACATGATGTGCCAACTGCCCACTCCTGCTTTAAGCCGACCTCAGCCTCGTGACCCCAACCCCGCTGAGTGCCCACTTGCAGGAGTGAGGCACAGCCCACAGCACAGCCAGACCCACCCAGCCCACCAGGTCGAGGTGACTGTCCCTCCAGCTCGCAAGCGGCGAGTCGGAAGCACAGAGGGCAGACCCTGCCCTGCCCACGCTCCTGTGGCTCCTGGGCCCTGCCTGGAAGGTGAGGAAGTTCCGCAGCAGAAGCCAGACAGCAGGACCAGTGCAACACTGGGCCTGACTCGTCCTTGCGGGGAAGATGAATTTGGTCCTAACAGCTGTGCTGCACAATGGCGTGAACGGTGCGAGGAGCGTGGGGAGGGCATAAGCCCGCAGGACAGCCTTCTCTCCACCAGAAGGCAGGCAGTGAGAGGGACTCAGAAGCGCTGGCATCTCAGCGGCATCCCGGCTTCTGCTGTCGGGTGGCACCGGACCCTTCTCAAGCTTCTGGGACAGCAAATTCTAGAAAATCTGCCAGGGGCGTAGAAGGCACTTGGAAGAATCTAACCATTTCATGAGGTGTGACCGTGACGGAAGGAGAGTGACTCCCTACACAAGGGCCACCTTCCCAGATGCCTCTCACTGGCCACTGTGCAGCCACACAGCTGTCGCCCAGAACCGCCCAAGATGAGCCTCTCCGGGCGGAATGACTGCCAGAGAGAATGCCGCACTGCCAGAAAAGGGCACTGCTATCCCACCTGCGTTCCGGGAAACGAAAAGCTGCGTGACCAGCATCATCTGCAGGCACAGCCAGTCGGGCTGGGGCGAGACCCTCGGCCCTGCTCTGGAGGAGGAGCTCAAGGGACTGAAGCTCCGCGGGCCGTGGCCACAAGCGACAGTGCTGGCGCCCGACGTGCCAGAAGCCCTGGCTGCCGCCTGGAAAGAGGCCACGTGGGCAGCGGTGGGCACGGGCGACTGGAGTCTGGGAGAGAGGTAGGGGCTGCGGTCGGGAGGAGCAGAGGCGGCCAGCCTGCGAGTCCACTGGGAGGGGAGAGTCCAGCGTCCTGGGAGCAGAGCCAGACCTGGGACTGCTGAGATTGAAGGAGGCAGGACTGAAGGGAGAGGCAGCACACAGCACCCTCCTGAACTTAGATGGCCAGGTGCTGCTGCAGGGCCCATGCCCAGCGAGAGGCCGCACCAGAGGACACAGTGGCAGGAACAGGCTGGCGCTCGTGTCTGAAGAGGGGCTGAGGATGTGGAGGATTGCGCAGACTCTCACCTGACCCACCAGACAAAGCGCCAAATGTCAACATTTAGCAAAACTCATCGGGTTAGAATTTGCTGGCACTGGCCGGGCGCGATGGCTCATGCCTATAATCCCAGCACTTTGGGAGGCCGAGGTGGGCAGATCACCTGAGGTCAGGAGTTGGAGACCAGCCTGACCAACGTGGAGAAACCCCATCTCTACAAAAAAAATTAGCCAGGCATGATGGCACGTGCCTGTAATCCCAGCTACTCGGGAGGCTGAGGCAGGAGAATCACTTGAACCCAAGAAGCGGAGGTTGCAGTGAGCTGAGATCGTGCCATTGCACTCCAGCCTGGGTTGGCACCCAGAGCAAGATTCTGTCTCAAAAAAAAAAGAATTTGCTGGCACCGAGAACCCCTGAACGACTACTCCCGGGGCTCCACATCTGGGAGGACCAGACGGAAACGGCAGCAGCTTTGCTGACACAACTGTGCCAGCCACCACGGTGTCATCCTGAGCCACTTCTCCACGCTTCCTAGTGTGCAATTCTGGGATTCTCACCTTCCAGTTCAAAGTCGTGTCTTTCATGAGCTGGTGGAAACACCGGAGCGCCCGCTCCTGGAAAGCCCCGTTCTCATAGCGCTCATGGCCAAACGCTCCCCGCTTGGCAGCATCCGCCAGCTGTAACTGGAGGAACAGGACCAGGTCGGGTTTGGGAAGGCCCACGTCTGGCTGTTTACACCAATCTAGGGAAAAATTCTGCCAAGAAAGAACCCAACAGTTAAAGCTTAGTGTAGTCTAGGTTTTTGTTTCGAAAGTCGTAAAAACAGGAAAAAATGAGGGGACATTTGGTGAGGTACCAAGATGTGAGACTGTTTATATTGTGGCTCGTTTAATTTTTAGAACCTCAAACGTGTCGGTTTCTCCAGTGTCACCTTTGTTTTTCCTTTGTAAACAGACAAGTGGACAGAAAAGTAGGTAGATAGAACGGCTGCCAGTCCCCGCCACCCACAGCCCAGGCCCCATGGAGGCCCTCCCAGCACAGCTACAGGCCTGCTGGCCAGGAGCAAACAGTCTATGTACAGAACCCCTGGAGACCCCCGGCCTAGAACGCCTGCAGCACAGAGCAGCTGGGTCCGGACACAGGCACGAGGTCCTTGGCAGTGTCTTTTCTGCCACACACACGCCAGGGTCTCCTCTCCCGTGGAAGAGCAGGAAGAAGACAGGCACTCCTAGAGCCTGTTATGTGCCAGCCTAGTCTCATCCACTGGCCCTTCTTGCCAGGGCTGTGCCAGCACCCTCTCTCCCTCCCTTACTCATCCCATCTCCCTCCAAATGCTGTCCTGTTTCCGGAGGAAAGGTAGGACCAGAAAGGCTGTGACTGCAGGCCACACATCACACAACAGCACAATGAGCTGAGGGAAGGCGTCCACGAGAACCTCCCACAGAGCCTGCGGCTCTGTCAGCTGATCCGCACAGCAGGAAGAAGCAAAGGAATCATGAGTCTTGTCCTCCTTATTATACAACGTAATACTTCAGAGGGGAAGGACTCAAGCTAACACATGAAGAAATGGCAGAATTAAAAAGTGAGGGCGTGGCCGGGCACGGTGGCTCGCGCCTGTAATCCCAGCACTTTGGGAGGCTGAAGCGGGAGGATCACTTGGGCCCAAGAGTTGTTATAGCGAGCTTTGCTTGTTCCACTGTACTCCAGCCTGGGCAACAGAGGGAGACGCCCTCTTTCAAAAAACGGGGGAAAAAAGTACTACAAATGAACCATCTTTGAAAATGCATCTGGAGGCTGGGTGCAGTGGCTCATGCCTGTAATCCTAGCACTTTGGGAGGCTGAGATGAGTGGATCACTTGAGGTCAGGAGTTTGAGACCAGCCTGGCCAACATGGTAAAACCCCGTCTCTACTAAAAGTATGAAAATTAGCTGGGCACGGTGGTGCATGCCTATAATCCCAGATACTCGGGAGACTGAGGCAGGATAATCGCTTGAACTCAGGAGGCAGAGGTTGCAATGAGCTGAGATCGTGCCACTGCACTCCAGCCTGGGTGACAGAATGAGAGACTGTCTCCCCAAAAAAAAAAAAAAAAGCGTGTGGAAAATATAATCCAAATACCAACTATGGTTCTATCTGTGAAACAATCTCTAGCTACATAAATGTTTGCTCTTCTTATTGATAAAACCAAATTAATCTAGCAAAGAGATAAAAGGAATATAAGAATCACGAAACTCTGCAGAGTAATCTGAGGCATGTCACTCGTACTCGCATTCAAGGGCAGTCCTGGGTCCACACATCTGTGCTCGCCTGACAGGAGGCCAAGTGGCACTCACCTCCTTGGCACCGGTGAAGGCCACACCAGAAAATGCGTATCTGTCCACGACGAGGGTCACGCCCTGGCTCAACTTTTCCTTAATTAACGGCCTGAAAAAGAGGATGCTCCTGAGCCCTGGTCCTGTTTCATAGGCCTTGAACTGTCAAGCTTAAATTATCCCAACAGGCTGTGCGCAGTGGCTCACCCCTATAATCCCAGCGCTTTGGGAGGCTGAGGCGGGCGGATCACAAGGTCAGGAGATCGAGACCATCCTGGCTAACATGGTGAAACCCTGTCTCTACTAATACAAAATATTAGCTGGACATGGTGGCAGGCACCTGTAATCCCAGCTACTCGGGAGGCTGAGGCAGGAGAATTGCTTGAACCCAGGAGGTGGAGGTTGCAGTGAGCCGAGATCACACCACTGCATTCCAGCCTGGGTGACACAGCGAGACTCCATCTCAAAAAAAGAAAAAGAAAATTATCCCAACAATACAACTCAGAAATCTCATATGACAACAAGTACAGCACAGTGATTTGTAACCTTACTTTTAATCCAAAAAGGTCTGGATCTTCTCTAGAAGATGCCATACCCACACCTCCAGCAAAACCCAACATGGAGAAGATAACCTTACTAAATAGTAACAAACACAACTGGTAAAGTTCAATGTTCCAGAAACACGGCAGGGGAAAGGAGATGCACTGTCAGCTGTCTTGGTCAGAGAGGCCAGCTCTACCCTGTCGAGGAAGAAGAAAGCACAGGCAAAGAAGAGAGCAGAGGATGGTGGCGGGGGAAGCGTGGGCACAGCCAGCAGGTGACTCATCCATGCTCATGACCCCTAGCCTGGACTGCAAGGATGTTCTCAGCCAAATACCACAAGTCCACCATCATCCCTACAGCTGCCAAGATCACAGATGTACAAAGACACGGGGCCTGACACTAGTGAGAAGCACTGCTCAAGACAGAGAAAGAAAAGTCCGATTCATTCGACTCAGCCAGTCTCACTGGGGCCTTCAAATCACAGGGGCACCCACATAAGGAGTCAACTGGCCTCTGACAAAGCAGCAGAGGGATGCAATGGTGCAAAGGCATTTTCCTCAATAAACGCTGCTGGAACAACTGGACATCCTCATGAAAGAGAATAAATCTAGACCAGACCGTATACCCTCCACGAACATAAATTCAAAATGAATCACAGGCCTGGCACGGTGGCTCACGCCTGTAATCCCAGCTTTCAAGGAGGCAGAGGCAGGAGGATTGCTTGAGCCCAGGAGCTCGAGACCTGCCTGGGCAATATAGTGAGACCCCGTTCTCCACAAAAAGTGGGGGAAAAAAAAGACAAAATGAATCACAGACCCAAATGTAAAATGCAAAACTATGCAACTCCTAGACAGTAACACAGGAGAAAACTTAGATCACCTGGGGTTTGGCAGACTGTTTAGATACAAAACCAAAGGCACAGCCCATGAGAGAATTGATTAAGATGGACTTCACGAAAATAATAACTTTGTGCTTTGTGAGAGACACTGTCAAGAGAAGGAAAGGACAGCCGGACGTGGTGGCTCATGCCTGTGAGCCCAGCACTTTTGGAAGCCATTTGGCGGGATGGATCCCTTGAGGCCAGGTGTTTGAGACCAGCCTGAGTAACAATAGTGAGACCCCATCTCTACAAAAAATGTAAAAATTAGCCAGGGATAGTGGCACGCACCTGTAGTCCTAGCTACTCCAGAGGCTGAGGCAGGAGGATCACTTGAACCCAGGAGTTTAAGGCTGCAGTAAGCTGTGATCATGCCACAACATTCCAGCCTGGGCAACAGAGCAAGACATTTCTCCTAAAAAAAAATAAGGCCAGGCAGGGTGGCTCATGCCTCTAATCACAGCACTTTGGGAAACCAAGGCAGGAGGACTGCTTGGGTCCAGGAGTTCAAGACCAGCCTGGGCAACAATAGTGAGACTCCATCGCTACAAAAAATTTTACAAAAATTAGCCAGGTGTGTTAACGTGCCTATAGTTGCAGCTACTTGGGAGGCTGAGGTGGGAAGATCACTTGAACCCGGGAGGTCGAGGCTGCAGTAAGCTGTGATTGCGCACTGCACTCAGCCTGCATGACACAGAGACCCTGTCTAAAAAAAGAAAAGAGAGAAAGAGAGTGAGAAAACAGAAAAGGCAAACCACAGCCTAGGAGAAAATATGTATAAAAGACACATTTTATAAAGGACTGTTATCTAAAGCATACAAAGAATTCTTAAAACTCAAAAATAAGAAATCAACCAACCCCCTTAAAAAGTGGGCCAAGGCTGGGCGTAATGGCTCATGCCTATATTCCCAACACTTTGGGAGGCGGAGGCAGGCTCATCACTTGAGCCCAGGAATTTGAGTCCAACCTGGGAAACATGGTGAAACCACATTTCCTCAAAAAATACAAAATTGGCCGGGCATGGTGGCTCGTGCCTGTAATCCCAGCACTTTGGGAGGCTAAAGCAGGTGGATCACCTGAGGTCAGGAGTTCAAGACCAGCCTGGCCAACATGACGAAACCCCATCACTAACTAAAAAATAGAAAAATTAGCCGGGCGTGGTGGTGGGCACCTGTGATCACAGCTACTTGAGAGGCTGAGGCAGGAGAATCGCTTGAACCTGCGAGGCGTAGGTTGCAGTGAGCCAAGATCGCCCCATTGCACTCCAGTCTGGGCGACAAGAATGAAACTGTCTCGAGGAAAACAAAAAAGAAATACAAAACTTAGCATGGTGGCATGCACCTGTAGTCCCAGCTACTTGGGAGGCTAAGGCAGGAGGATCGCTTGAGCCTGGGAAGTAGAGGCTGCAGTGAGCCAAGACCGTGCCACTGTACTCTAGCCTGGTTGAGACCCTGTCCCAAAAAAAAGAGTGGGCCAAAGCACTCAACAGATCCCTTACGAAACCAGATACACAGATGGCAAACAAGCATATGAAAAGATACTCCACATCATATGTCAGCAGGGAAATGCAAACTAGAACAATGAGATGCCACACACACCTATCAGAATGGCAAACATCCAAACACTGACAACACCAAATGCTGGTGAGGGTCTGGAGCAATAGCAACCCTTGTTCACTGCTGGTGAGAATGCAAGATGCTGCAGCCACTTTGGAAGACAGTTCACCACAAGCTTGTCCAACCCAAGGCCCGCAGGCTGCATGCAGCCCAACACAAATTTGTTAAGCTTTCTCAAAACGTTACGAGATTTTTTTTTTTAAGCTCATCAGCAATTGTTAGTGTATTTTATGCGTGGCCCAAGACATTTCTTCCAATGTGGCCCAGGGAAGCCAAAAGACTGGATACCCATGGTTTAGCAGTTCTTCACAAAAATTAATAGTCTTACCACATATTAAAGCAGTGGTGCTCCCTGGCATTTACCCAAAAGAAGTGAAAGCTTATGACCACACAAAATCCTGCACCAGGATGTTTATAACAGATTTATAACTGCCAAAACTTGGAAGCAACAAAGATGTCCTTTAGTAGGTAATGAACTATGGTACATCCAAACAAGGGACTATTAATTAGGGCAAAAAAGACATGAACTATTGGTCGGGCATGGTGGCTCATGCCTGTAATCCCAGCACTGTGGGAGGCCGACGTGGGAGGATCACTTGAGGTCAGGAGTTCAAGACCACCCTGGCCAACATGGTGAAACCCTGTCTCTACTAAAACATAAAAATTAGCTGTGCATGGTCGTACGCGCCTGTAATCCCAGCTACTCAGGAGGCTGAGGCAGGAGAAATGCTTGAACCCGGGAGGCGGCGGTTGCAGTGAGCCGAGACTGAGCCACTGCACTCCAACCTGAGCAACACAACGAGACTCTTGTCTCAAAAAAAACCAAAACAAAACAACAAAAAAAAACTATCAAGCCACAGTTAGACATAGAGGAAACTTAAATATCTATTAGGGAAACAAGTAACCTGTAGGAGAATAGATGGACACAAGAGACGTAGCCCTGGGTACCTGGGATAAGATTATTATCTAAAAAGTAAAATCAGGATTATTCTTCATTTTAAATTGGGCATATACGTGTTTCATCACTTTTCTACAAAGCCACAAAAAGCAAAATCAGAAGAACAATTGCCTCCATAAATTCTAGATGTGTTAAAAAGATTATTAAAAATGGTCTCATTTTCATTTAAGACTTGGAGTGGGGACAGCCTTTCCAAGCAAGACACAAAGCTAAGCCGGAGGAGAGTAATGCAGTGTTTCATGTAACACGGATGATGAGGAACCACTGAAGATTCACCAGCAGGGAACTGGCTACACGTACCGTGGTTCTAGAGACAATGCGACGACAATTAAAGAGAATGAGAAGGGCAGAGTTAGGGGATCTGTAAGTGCAGAAATCTGTAAGGCAGAGTTAGAAAGAAAGCTGCCAAATAATTTGTATGGTATGACCTCATTTATGTTAAAAAACAAAATTCTAACTATAGTAGTTTCTACATATGTATATAAATGTAAATAAAAACATTGAAAGAACACACATCAACATTAAGTGTTGAATGAAGAGGAAACCTACTACAATGATGTAAAACAAAAAAAGGTGGTAGGAGAGTTCATATAAACTCAGTTACTAATGTATCAATATTGGTTATCAATTTTAACAAATGTAACATAACACAGCACATAAATAATGGGGAAGGGGGGAAGGCAGGGGTAGTATGTAGGGAGCGCTCTACATACTCTACTTTTTGATCAGTTTTTCTATATACCTAAAGCTATCTTTAAAACATTAAGTCTATGAGGCCAGGGGTTTGAGACCAGCCTGGGCGTGATATGGTGAGACCTTGACTCTACATTAAAAAAAAAAAAAAAAATTAGCCGGGCTTGGTAGCATGCCCCTATGGCCCTAAGCTACTCAGGATGCTGAGGTGGGAGGACTGCTTGAGCCTAGGAAGTTGAGGCTGCAGTGAGCCATGATCGGGTGCCACTGCACTCCAGCCTGGGCCACAGAGCAATACCTTGTCTTAAAAATAAAAAAAAAAGGGCCAGGTACGGTGGCTCACACCTGCGTAATCCCAGAACTTTGGGAGGCCGAGGCGAGTGGATCACAAGGTCAAGAGAGACCATCCTGGCCAACATGGTGAAACCCTGTCTCTACTAAAAATACAAAAATTAAATTTAAAAATAAAGTAAATTAAAATTGCAAAAATTAGCTGAGCATGCTGGGGCGCGCCTGTAGTCCCAGCTACTCGGGAGGCTGACGCAGGAGAATCGCTTGAACCTGGGAGGCGGAGGTTGCAGTGAGCCGAGATCACACCTCTGCCTGGCGACAGAGCGGAACTCCGTCTAAAAAAACCCGAAAAACTGAAGTCTATTAGTTATGGGGTGTGGGGAGCAGGAGGACGAAACAGCATTCATTAGCGCCCTTTGGGAACTAGGGCGCTTCACCACCTCTGCCCACAGGACTGCTAAACAGAAGAACATCAGGCCCAGCACTACTGTCACTGTCATTCAGAATCGAGTGCTGCGTTCACTGAATCTCAGGAGGAAGGAAAGTGGCAAGGGCAGAGGGAGCAGTGTGCAATGGTTTTTACACTTGTTCCCAGCGATTTGCAGAAAAAAGCAGGTGCACCGAGTGATCCTCCACGTCACTTTTCTTTTGCAAGTAGGAACTCAGAAGTTTGCCGATTTCAGTTGATCTTTCTAGAAAAAAAGAGAAACACACAAAATGCAAGTGAGATCAGGCTTTCCCTCTATATTACAATATAGTTTGGACTGAATTTCTCCCGGACTCAAGTCTCACGTTGAATTTTACTTTACTAAATCTCTAGACAGGCTTGGATCTTCTGCGGAAGCCAAAGGAATTTCTCTGAGCAATAACAGCAATCTGCAAACAAGCTGGGATGAAAAATGCTTTAGGAAAAAAGAACTCGGGTAGAAAGTAGAGACTTCAAAGAAAGCATTTATAAAATTTGTGGACTGGGTGGCCAAAGATTAAGGTCAATGCTTCACTTGAAAACTTTTAAATATATGCTATAAAACCCCTGAAAGCGCGAACAGCCATCAAACAAAACACAACACCAGAAAAACCCACAAAAACGAGACATGGATTACAAAAGAGCTGGAGGAGACTTTTGGGGGAGACACCACGGTTTCGCGCGGGTTTACACGTCAGTCATCACCATACCCCGCACTTAAAGACACGCAGCGTGGACCGGGCGCGGTGGCGCGCGCCTATGTTCCCGGCTACCCGGGAGGCTGAGGCGGGAGGATCGCTTGAGCCCGGGAGGTCCAGGCTGCCGTGGGCCGAGATGGCGCCACTGCACTCCAGCCTGGGCGACACAGGGAAAGCCCGTCTTTCAAAATAAAAACCGCACAGTTCACAGCACGCCAGCCGCAGACAACGAAGCGGAGCAAAGAGCCCCTGGGAAGGCAGAGGCACCGAAGGCCGCGGCGCACCCCCCGCCGCGCGCACCCACCCGGGAACCGGAGCAGTTCGGCGCGGTGGCCCGCGGCGCACAGCGCTTCCACCAGCTTGCGGCTCTGCGTGCTCTTCCCGGCGCGGTCCACGCCCTCCAGCACTATGAGAGCCCCGCGCCGGGCCGCCATGACTGTCCACCGCCCGCCGCTGGCGTCTCCACGCAGCCTTCCGGAGCTCCCATTGGCCGGCGTCAACAGCGCGCGCCGTGATTAGCTAGTATTTCCCGGCCTCGGCCAAATTCGAAGGGATTGGCCGGGGCCGGGGCGAGGACGACGCGCGGTGGGACCGACACCCGCGCCTGCGCCCTGGGCCGCGCCGCCACTGGAGCCGTGTCCTGGGCTTCCGGGGCGGAAACTGGGGCCCCGTGTCCCGTGCGGGCCTCCGTCCTCGGGCGAGCAGGGCCCTTCGCTCCGGGAGGGGAGGTGACGCGGCGCGGGCTGGACGGCCGGAGACGCGGGGTCAGGGCGCGGACGAGGGGAGCGCAGGGTCGGAGGGGCTCCCGGACGCTGCCCGCCCAGCGTCGGCTCTCGTTGGCCCCTGGCTGCGCGCAGCGGGCCCGACTCTCAGGGCCCTGCGGTGCCCGCTGCCAGCGTGAGGGCTCCGGTCACGCGGCGCGCGAGACGAACGAGCGAGATGCTTCCCGAAGCGCGGGGCCCAGTGCAGGGGCTCAGCCGGGGCTCCTCCCAAAGCTCACCTGGAGCCCAGCACGACTGCGTTCTGGAAACGCTGTGTTTGACAGCAGGGGCAGGATGGGGGGCTGTGTAGACGCTGGCCACGTGGCAATTGTAGGAGAACCATGGGATCGATAAATGTTCACTGTTGTCCCTGAAGCGCAAAACTGCAGGGCTCTGGAAAGTCCGTGTGTGTGTTTTTGTTGTTTTTGTTTGTTTGAGACAGAGTCTCGCTCTGTCACCCAGGCTGGAGTGCGGTGGCGCGATCTCTGCTCACTGCAACCTCCGCCTCCCGGGTTCAAGCGATTCTCCTGCCTCAGCCTCCCGAGTAGCTGGGACTGCAGGCGGCCGCCACGACGCCCGGCTAATTTTTTGTATTTTTAGTAGAGACGGGGTTTCACCGTGTTAGCCAGGATGGTCTTGATCTGACCTCGTGATCTGCCCGCCTCGGCCTCCCAGAGTGCTGGGATTACAGGCGTGAGCCACCGCGCCTGGCCGAAAAGTCCGTTTTAAAAGATGATGTATACAAATTATAGCACGGAGAGGGAACGGGCAAGTTGTTTCCTCTTTCCATGCCTCCAACTCCTCTGAAATGTGGGTCATGATGATAATAGGAAAAACTGTCTCTGCCATAGAGAGGTGGAAAAAGTCCCGCGAAGTGTCCCCGGTATCTAGAAAGCGCTCAGTAGTGTTTGCTGTTATCTTAGGGATATCAGGCTGCCTGGACATTTCTCAGGTGAGACTTTTTGTTATTTTAGATATCTAAAATACTACTATCTATATGTGCCATATTGTCAGTTGTCAGCTAGACATCACTTTCTCTGCTTAGCAGAAGAAATGGTAGGAACTGCATTTCCCAGAATCATCTGTGTAGCCCTGGATTACAGTCTACCAGACGAGGCACTCTTACCTTTCGAGGCGATTATTCTTGGGAGGCACCCTCAGCCAGAAATATAGATGAAATTCAAAGCTGTTCTGTTTTCAGAACCACCTGCCTCTGATGTAGACCAAGAAATTGCTGGTAGCTTTCTAAGTGTTGAGTTTGCATTGGTTTTTTCCCCATGAGCTCTTGAGACCACCACCCACTTCAGTGCTTTGGGCTGAGGTCATTGGCAACAATTTCCCGGACTTTACTCCCAGCATTTGTGTAAGCTCGCGATTATATTATCATTGCATACCTAGAGTAGCTTTATGTTTTCCAGACTGAAGCCTCCCCAATTCAGTTTGGGGTTCTGGAAGGATATGGGTTATATTGTTATTACCAGTTATGCCCTTTCTTCCTTTTTAATTTACTTTTATTGCTTTTATTTTATTTGAGACGGAGTCCTGCTCTGTCCCCCAGGCTGGAGTGCAGTGGCGCGATCTCAGCTCACTGCACCCTCCACCTCCCGGGTTCAAGCTATTCTCCTGCCTCAGCCTCCTGAGTAGCTGGGATTACAGGCGCCCACCACCACGCCCGGCTAATTTTTGTATTTTTATTTTATTTTTTTGAGATGGAGTCTTGCTCTGTTGCCCAGGCTGGAGTGCAGTGGCGCAATCTTGGCTCACTGCAAGCTCCACCTCCCGAGTTCATCCCATTCTCCTGCCTCAGCCTCCCCACTAGCTGGGACTACAGGTGCCCACCATCATGCCCGGCTAATTTTTTTTGTATTTTTTAGTAGAGACGGGGTTTCACCGTGTTAGCCAGGATGGTCTCGATCTCCTGACCTCATGATCCGCCCATCTCAGCCTCCCAAAGTGCTGAGATTACAGGCGTGAGCCACTGCGCCCGGCCAATTTATTTTTTAATTTAATTTTTTTTTTGAGACGGAGTTTCTGTCTTGTGGCCCAGAGTGGAGTGCAATGGCATGATCTTGGCTCACTGCAACCTCCACTTCCCGGGTTCAACCTATTCTCCTGCATCAACCTCCCAAGTAGCTGAGATTACAGGCACCTGCCACCACGCCCAGCTAATTTTTGTATTAGTAGAGATGGGTTTTCACCATGTTTGCCAGGCCGGTCTCAAATTCCTGACCTCGGGTGATCCGCCCACGTCAGCCTCCCTAAGTGCTGGGATTACAGACGTGAACCACTGCACCTGGCCTACCCTTTCTTCCTTTACGTCAAGCTTAGTGGTGAGACTTCCAAATGGTAATGTAAAGTAGTCTGCTGTCATGTGCCCTGTTCAGGCAGAAGCTTTAAAGGGTGTTTTGTGGTTTGGTCCCTCCCCTTCTGCCCCCAGCATGAACACAGCATGTGCACAGTGAGGGCTGGTTTTTCACCCCAGATCCTGTAACAAAGGCCCATGAAGTACAGCCGTTGTAGCTGATGGGCAGCACCAGCAAGAAGTAAACCATCGTGATTTCGAGTCACTGAGACTTCGGGATCCTTTGTTACCACAGCACAACCTAGCGAACGCTTACAAGTACTAAGAATAGTACTTACTATTCCCTTACATAGATAAGTAATAAAAGTAATATCCTTTTTTCTGATTGATGTCTCCTTATAAAATTCCATCTTGTTGCCTTCCAGAGGATGAAGGGGATTGTAGTAAGGAAGACCACCTTCCAGAGGATGAAGGGGATTGTAGTAAGGAAGACCACCTTCCAGAGGATGAAGGGGATTGTAGGAAGGAAGACCACCTTCCAGAGGATGAAGGGGATTGTAGGAAGGAAGACCACCTTCCCGGGGCTGGGCAAGGCTGCGGTACTGTCTCTCATCAGGTCCAGGAGGACTCAGCAGGCTGATGCAGAGGGACACAGCGCATCCGCCTTGGTGGATGCATGGCTTTCCTGGCTCCCCTGGGACGGGGGAGGAGGGTGAAGATGGAGGGAATCTGGCTGGCTGGGCCTTGTGTACTGGGGGGTGGAGGGCCCATTTGACTGCAGGAATTGCTCAAGCACATAAGCACCTTGAAGTGTGTTACTAAGATACAAGAAACAGGTTTGCTTTTGCCTATTCCAGCATGGTGTACCTCTCTTAGGATACCTTTTAGCACAGGTAGCAGAATACCAGCCAGCCTCCTGTGGCTCACAGCATTAAGATATTTAATCATCTGACATTACATGAAGTCCAGTGTTAGGCAGGCAGGAGCTGCTCCCGTGACTCAGTGACATCAGGTTGGTCCACATCCTAGCAGTTCTCTTGGTGTTCCTGCGTGATCAAAGGATGACTGCCACACCCCAGCCTGCTGACCTCAGCCCTGGCGTGGGCATAGGAGGGTCTGCGTGGCTGAGCATCCAGTGTCCTTCGTACTGCCACTGACAGCCTCAGGCCTGATTTCCAGCACTGTCTGTCCAGGAGCAATGGGAGCAAGAGTCACTCCACGAGACTCTGGAGGCCTGATAGGTGAGTACATCCACTTTATAGGGGAAATGGTGGGATGCTGGGTCTGTGTGGTCAGAGATACAGGTGAAATGGAGTTGGCCACAGGCTGATAATTGCAGAAAGATGCAGGTGAACACATGGGTTCGTGGGTTCATTAGGTTCTCTGCTTGCTTTTTTTTTTTTTCTTTTTTTCCCAGACAGCCTCGGTCTGTTACCCAGGCTGGAGTCCAGTGGTGTGATCTCAGCTCGCTGCAACATCCACCTCCTAGGTTCAGACGATTCTCCTGCCTCAGCCTCCCAAGTAGCTGGGATTTACAGGCGCCCGCCACAACACCCGGCTAATTTTTTGTATTTTTAGTAGAGACAGGATTTCACCATGTTGGCCAGGCTGGTCTTGAACTCCTGACCTCAGGTGAGTCCACCTGCCTCAGCCTCCCAAAGCGCTGGGATTACAGGCGTGAGCCAGCGCACCCAGCCAGGTTATCTGCTTTCTTGTGTTTGAGATTTTCCATTTAAAAAAAAGGACCTGGGTGTTGTGGCTGACACCTGTAATCCCAGCACTTTGGGAGGCCGAGGTGGGTGAATCATTTGAGGTCAGGAGTTCAAGACCAGCCTAGACAACATGGTGAAACACCGTCTCTACTAAAAATACAAAAATTAGCTGGGTGTGGTGGCACATGCCTGTAATCCCAGCTACTTGGGAGGTTGAGACAGGAGAATCACTTGAACCTGGGAGGTGGAGGTTGCAGTGAGCTGAGATCATGCCACTGCACTGCAGCCTGGGTGACAGAGTGAGACACTGTCTCAAAAAAAAAAAACAAAAACAAAAAAACTGAAGGAGCAGGAAAGCTCTTTTGCTAGTCCCTGTTTCTTAGTGTGCTGCAACTTCCACCACGCAGGGAATAAAGTCTCTCACCGTCAGTGGGCTGGGGCTGTCACGACAGACTACCTTAGACTGGGGAACTGAAGCAATAGGCATTTATTGGCTGGAAGTCCAAGATTAAGGTGCCCGACAGATTGCTGCCTGGTACGGGCTGTCTTTTAGAGTTGCACATAGCAAAGAGAATGCTCTGGTACCTCTTCCTTTTCTCATGAGGGTACCAGCCCTATCGGATTAGGGTTGCACCCTTATTGAAACCATCCCTGGCCAGGCATGGTGGCTCACACCTACAATCCCAGCACTTTGGGAGGCAGGTAGATTGCTTGAGCTCAGGAGTTTGAGACCAGCCTGGGCAACATAGACTTATTTGTAGATTTATTTATCTCTACAAAATAAATAGGTGGGCGTGCCTATAGTCCCAGCTACTTGGGAAGCTGAGGTGGGAGGATCACTTGAGCCTAGGAGGTTGAGGCTGCAGTGAGCCATGGTTGCGCCACTGCACTCCAGCCCAGGTGACAGAGTGAGACCTTGTCTCAATTTTTAAAAAAATATAAAAAAAGAAAACCGTCACTAAAAACACAAAATTAATCAAGGAAGAGGGGAGGGGGAAATGGAATAACCGAGCTTGCAGCACACGCAGCACCAGTCATGTGGTGAGCCCCTCTGAGCTGGCGCCTCGTGCCTCAGAATCAGGTAGACTCTTGTTATAAGATTACAGTTACCCTTAACTGCTCCAGAGATAACAACTTGAACATTATGAAACCTTAACTTTTCCCTTTGAGATTTTTTTTTTATTTTAATTTTTTTTTCTTTTTAGAGACAGGGTCTCACTCTTGTTCAGGCTGAAGTGCAGTGGCACAATCGTAGCTCACTGCAGCCTTGAGGTTCTGGTCTCGAGTGATCCTCCTGCCTCAGCATCTGAAGTATCTGGAACTACAGGCACACACATCTGGCTTTTTTTTTTTTTTAAATACTGACGGGGTCTTGCCCTGTTGCCCAGGCTGGTCTTGAACTGGTGGGCCCAAGCGGTCATCCTGCCTCGGCCTCCTGAAGCCCTGGGATTGCAGGCATGAGCCACCACGCCCAGCCTGAGATTCTTTCAGGCCCTGCATACCAGTGAAAGTACTGATGCCAGCTGCTCTGAAGGACCCCACAGGAGCTGACTCAGCAAGGAATGCAGTTTCCACATTCTAGTGAATCATCCTCCTTACCCTGGCCAGTCAGCGACCCCCATTTTCCAGCCCCTCACCTTCCATGATCCCCTTAAAAACCTTAGCTCAGAACTCCTGAGGGAGATGTATTTGAGGAGACGTCTCCTTTCACCTCCTCACCTGGGCCTTGTTAAACTCTTTCTCTGCTGCAAACCCTGCTGTCTGAGCATCATGGGTCTGTTAACTGTGCAGCAGACACATGAAAACTGTTGGTCCTATCACATTAGGACTTCATTTAACCTTAATTAGCTCCTTGGCCAGGTGCGTTGGCTCACGCCTGTAATCTCAGCACTTTGGGAGGCAGAGGCGGGCAGATCACGAGATCAGGAGCTCGAGACCAGCCTGGCCAACGTGGTGAAACCCCGTCTCTACTAAATATACACAAATTAGCTGGGTGTGGTGACGGGCGCCTGTAATCCCAGCTACTCAGGAGGCTGAGGCAGGAGAATTGCTTGAACCCAGGAGGCGGAGGTTGCAGCTGAGATCGCCCTATTGCACTCCAGCCTGGGCGACAGGGCGAGACTGTCTCAAAAAAAAAAAAAAAAAAAAGCAAAGCTCCTTAAGGGCCCTATCTACAAACAGTCACGTTGGGGGTCAGGGCTTCAACACAGGAATTTTGAGGGACACAGTTCAGTCCATGTCCTCACCTGCTCCCAGGAGCTTCGAGTTGTGCTGGTACTCACTGCTCTGCTAAACTCCCAACCCTCCTTGCAGGTAGATGTGGCATGTGGACCTTCACACAGCAGGCTTGCATCCCCTACGCTCTCCGACATACCCCTTGTTGCAACCCAGCCTTGACCAGGCAGACGATGGCAAGGCCCTTTGTGGACAGACACCATACAAGAAGGAATGTGGGTCCCTGAGAGGCCCCATGGAGTGTGCTGTCCCGCCTGTTCACATTAGAGTTGTTGCACTGAGAAATACAACTCTTTTTTTTTTTTTTTTTTTTTTTGAGACTGAGTCTTGCTCTGTCGCCCAGGCTGGAGTGCAATGGCGCAGTCTCGGCTAACTGCAACCTCCACCTCCCAGGTTCAAGCAATTCTCCTGCCTCAGCCTCCCGAGTAGCTGGGATTACAGGCACCCACCACCATGCCTGGCTAATTTTGTATTTTTAGTAGAGACGGGGTGTTTCACCATGTTGGCCAGGCTGGTCTCGAACTCCTGACCTCAGGTGATCCACCCGCCTTGGCCTCCTAAATTGCTGGGATTACAGGCATGAGCCACCGCGCCTGGCCCTCTCTGGCAGTTTCTAAAACAGGGTCCCTTCAAAAGGGTTTGCCAGTTTTGTGTGTGTGAATGAAAGAAGACAAATTGATCTCTGGGAGAGTTATATTTAATATATGATATGTGAGGGCCAATAACCCTTAATAATAAAGATTTTTTTTTTTTAGACAAAATACATGAAGACCAGTTTCTACACAGAGAATCACTAAAAGATGGCCAGGCGCGGTGGCTCACGCCTGTAATCCCAGCACTTTGGGAGACCGAGGCGGGCGGATCACAAGGTCAGCAGATCGAGACCATCCTGGCTAACATGGTGAAACCCCATCTCTACTAAAAATACAAAAAATTAGCCCGGCGTGGTGGCGGGCGCCTGTAGTCCCAGCTTTTCGGGAGGCTGAGGCAGGAGAATGGCATGAACCTGGGAGGCAGAGCTTGCAGTGAGCCAAGATCACACCACTGCACTCCAGCCTGGGCGACAGAGCGAGACTCCATCTCAAAAAAAAAAGAATCAGTAAAAGATATAAAGGAGAAAAGGACAGAACCACAAATAGGCAACAAATATGTTAAAAAAAAGTTTAGCTTCACTTAAAATGAAATAAATGTGATTAAAATATTTAAGGTTGGCTTTTTCCCCCCTCTAATGAGTTAGCGAAGGTTAAACATTTAAAAAGCCTGATGAAATCTAGGGTTGGCAGAAGTATGGAAAGCAACCAGTGGCCATGCTGGTTGGTATAACCTTCCCTTTGGGCAATTCATTTATAAGTATCAGCACTTAAAATGTGCAATACTCGGCCAGGCATGGTGGCTCACACTGTAATTCTAGCACTTTGGGAGGCCGAGGCGAGTGGATGATGAGGTCAGGAGTTCGAGACCAGCCTGGCCAACATAGTGAAAACCGGTCTCTACTAAAAATACAAAAAAAATTGGTAGGGCTTGGTGGCGGGCGCCTGTAGTCCCAGCTACTTGGGAGGCTGAGGCAGGAGAATCGCTTGAACCCAGGAGGAGGAGATTGCAGTGAGCCGAGATTGCGCCACCGCACTCCAGCCTTGCGACAGAGCAAGACTCCGTCTCAAAAAAAAAGGACTGGTAAGACAATGTGGTATTCTTGCTCCTCCTCCCACTGTTAGTTGTGGGTATAATGTTTCTCCCATTCAACCTGGGTCGGCCCCAGTGACTTGCTTGACCAATAGAATGTAGTGAGGTGATGTCTTAGGGCTACCAAAGTGAGGTCACAAGAGCCGGTGGCTTCCACCCCAGCCTCCTGGGACTCTGTGAGACCCGCTGCTACTGAGACTGCTGTGCTGGAGAGGCCACATGTGGGTGTTCTGGCCCACGGTGCCAGCTGACATCAGCCTTCCAGCCACCCCAGTGATCTCTTTTCTGTCACACTGGACAGGACAGTCACCTGGTGGAGCTGCTGAAATTCCTGGCACGCTGTCACATATAACAAAATAGTTCTTGGCGGCACGGTGGCTCACGCCTGTAATCCCAGCACTTTGGGAGGCCAAGGTGGGTGGATCACAAGGTCAGGAGTTCAAGACCAGCTTGGCCAATTTGGTGAAAGCCCATCTCTACTAAAAATACAAAAATTAGCTAGGCATGATGGCACGCGCCTGTAGTCCCACCTACTCAGGAGGCTGAGGCAGCAGAATTGCTTGAACCCAGGAGGTGGAGGTTGCAGTGAGCTGAGATCGCGCCACCACACTCCAGCCTGGGTGACAGAGCAAGATTCCGTCTAAAAAAAAATGGTTCTTTTAAACCACTAAGTTTTCAGGGGTCTGTAAGGCGGTGATACATAATGGGAACAGATACTTGCAGTTCTATGTATAGCCATGTTCATTACAGCATGATTTATGATACTGAAATATTGGGAACATCTGTAAAGAGTTTGTTAAAGTCTGATACACCACTACAATGAAATAGATCTAGTCAGTGGGACAAAGCAGGGTGAGTAAAGCAGGGCCAGATGCTCACAAGGAGTATTCAGCTAAAAATGTAAGACAGGCTGGGTGCGGCAGCTTATACCTATAGTCCCAGCATTTGCGGAGGCCAAGGCAAGAAGATTGCTTGAGCCCAGGAGGTCAAGCTGCAGTGAACTGTGATCACACCACTGTCCTCCAGCCTGGGCGACAATGTGAGATCCTGTCTCAAAAAACAAAACAGGCTGGGCTCGGTGTCTCATGCCTGTAATCCCACCACTTTGGAAGGCCGAGGCGGGCAGATCACGAGGTGAGGAGTTCGAGACCAGCCTGGCCAACATAGTGAAACCCCGTGTCTACTAAAAATACAAAAAATTAGCCGGGTGTGGTGGTGGGTGCCTGTAATCCTAGCTACTCGGGAGGCCAAGGCCGGAGAATCGCTTGAACCTGGGAGGTGGAGGTTGCAACAAGCCGGGATCTCGCCACTGCACTCCAGCCGGGGTGACAGTGCAAGACTCCATCTCAAAAACAAAAACAAAAACAAAAACCCCCCAAAACAAAAAACAAAACAGAATGAAAAGTAGTAGAAAAATGGTGAGTCAGTAAAAGAACAACCCCATGAAAAAATGGGCAAAAGTGCTGGGTGCGGTGGCTCATGTCTGTAATCCCAGCACTTGGGGAGGCTGAGGCTGGAGGAGTGCTTGAACCCAGGAGTTGGAGACCAGCCTGGGCAACATAGATACCCCAACTCTACAGAAAAAAAATTAAAAATTAGCCAGGTGTCATGGTGTGTGCTTGTAGTCCCAGATATTGAGGGCTGAGGCAACAGGTCCTTTGAACCCAGGAGGTCGAGGCTGCATGAGCCATGATTGTGCCACTGCACTTCAGCCTGGGTGACAGAGCAAGACCCTGACTCTAAAAATAATAATAACCAAGGCTGGGTGTGGTGGCTTATGCCTCTCATCCCAGCACTTTGGGAGGCCGAGGCGGGCAGATCACAAGGTCAAGAGATAGAGACCATCCTGGCCAATGTGGCGAAACCTTGTCTCTACTAAAAATACAAAAATTAGCTGGGCATGGTGGCAGGCACCTGTAATCCCAGCTGCTTGGGAGGAAGAGGCAGGAGAATCGCTTTAACCCAGGAGGCGGAGGTTGCAGTGAGCCGAGATTGCGCCACGGCACTCCAGCTTGGGTGACAGAGAGACAGACTCCGTTTCAAAATAATAATAATAATATAATAATCAAAAATTGGAAGTAACCAAGATGCTCTTTAATAAGTACATGGGTGGCCAGGGGCTGTGGCTCATGCCTGTAATCCTAGCACTTTGGGAGGCCGGGGCAGGCGGAACACAAGGCCAGGAGATCAAGACCATCCTGGCTAACACGGTGAAACCCCATGTGTACTAAAAATACAAAGAATTAGACAGGCGTGGTGTCGGGCGCCTGTAGTCCCAGCTACTCGGGAGGCTGAGGCAGGAGAATGGCATGAACCCGGGAGGCGGAGCTTGCAGTGAGCCGAGATCCTGCCACTGCACTCCAGCCTGGGTGACAGAGCGAGACTCTGTCTCAAAAAAAAAAAAAAAAAAAGTACATGGGTAAACTGTGGAACATCCGGACGTTGGAATATTTTTCAAATTAAACATGAACTAGCTATTAAGCCACGGAAAGGCACGCTGGGACCTTAAATGCATATTGCTGAGTGAAAGAAGCCATTCTGAAAAGGCTCATACTGTATGATTCCAATTACATGACATTCTGGAAAAAGCAAACTGGAAACAGTAAAATGATCAGTGGTTGCCAGGGGCCTCGGGAGGGGGAGAGGGATGAATCGGGAAGCGCAGGGGATTTTTAGGGCCACAAAACTATGCTGTATGACATGTAATGGGGGGTAGCTGACATTATACATTTGTCAAAACCTATAAGAATGCACAAGGCACTGGGCGTGGTGGCTCACGCCCGTAATCCCAACACTTTGGAAGGCTGATGCCAGTGGATCACCTAAGTTTAGGAGTTTGAAACCAGCCTGGCCAACAGGGTGAAACCCCATCTCTGCTTAAAATACAAAACTTAGCCAGGCGTGGTGGTGCCTGCCTGTAATCCCAGCTACTTGGGAGGCTGAGGCAGGAGAATGGCTGGAACCCAGAAGGCGGAGGTTGTAGTAAGCCAAGATTGCACCATTGCACTCCATCCTGGGCGAAGAAGCCAGGCTCCATCTCAAAAAAAAAAAAAAAAAAGCACAAGGCAGAATGAACCCTTATGGAAATAATGATGGACTTTGGTTAATAATAATGTATCGGGCCCGCCGTGGTGGCTCACGCCTGTAATCCCAGCACTTTGGGAGGCCAAGGCAGGAGGATCATGAGGTCAGGTGATCAAGACCATCCTGGCTAACACGGTGAAACCCCCGTCTCTACTGAAAATACAAAAAATTAGCCGGGCATGGTGGCGGGCACCTGTAGTTCCAGCTACTCAGGAGGCTGAGGCGGGAGAATGGCGTGGATCCGGGAGGTGGAGCTTGCAGTGAGCCGAGCCCAGCTAATTTGAGGTCTCAAAAAAAAAAAAAGTATCAATATTGTTTCATCGATTGTAACAAATGTATCACATTAATGCAAAATGTTTATAATAGAGGAGTGTGTGTGTGTGTGTGTGTGTGTGTGTGTGTGTGTGTGTGTGGAGGAGTATATGAGAAGTCTACTTTCTCTTCAACTTTTCAATAAACCTAAAACTGATGGAAAAATAGTCTATAATTAAATGAGGCCAGTAAGGATGCACTCAAACTGCTAACATTAGGACTGAAAGCTGAACAAGGCAATCACAGTCCTGCCCCCTGGGGAGGTGGGAAGCTAAAAGTTCCTGTATTGTTTAATTTTTTTGTTTTTGAGACAGAGTCTTGCTCTTGTTGCCCAGGCTGGAATGCAATGGCATGATTTTGGCTCACCGCAGCCTCTGCCTCCTGGGTTCAAGTGATTCTCCTGCCTCACCTTCCCAAGTAGCTGGGATTACAGGCAGCTACCACCACAACCAGCTACTTTTGTATTTTTAATAGAGATGGGGTTTCTCTGTATTGGTCAGGCTGGTCTCGAACTCCCGACCTCAGGTGATCCACCCACCTTGGCCTCCCAAAGTGCTGGGATTACAGGCGTGAGCCACCACCCCAGCTGAATTTTTTTTTGGGGGGGGAGGGGTTTGCTCTTGTAGCCCAGGCTGGAGTGCAATGGCATGACCTCAGCTGACTGCATCCTCTGCCTCCTAGGTTCAAATGATTCTCCTGCCTCAGGCTCCCGAGCAGCTGAGATTGCAGGCCCATGCCCACCACGCCTGGCTAATTTTGTATTTTTAGTAGAGACTGGGTTTCTCCATGTTGGTCAGGCTGGTCTCAAACTCCTGACCTCAGGTGATCCACCCACCTCATCCTTCCAAAGTGCTGGGATTACAGGCGTGAGCCACCATGCCTGGCCTGAATTTTTATAATGAACATAATAGTGGCAAAAACATTGTTTCTGGTTTTCAATATTTGACTGGGGTTTAGGGAAGAGTCCACCAAGGGGGACATAGCTTGTTTTTTTAGGTGGGGGTCTCCGTCACCCAGGCAAGAGTACAGTGGTTTGATCATGGCTCACTGCAGCCTAGACCTCCTGGGCTCAAGCCATCCTCCCGCCTCAGCCTCTCATGGTGATCATACGGATTTGAGTCACAGCAGCTGGCTTAATATCTTTAAAAATGCATTTTAAATAATGAAAGTACTGCTCCTTTGATCAGCTTATGCTAATTTGTGTGACCAGCAACGTTGCATCTCGGAAGTCAAGGATGTGGCTGGGGGTGGGGCGGGGGGTTCTGGGGCCTACACGTTACATCTAGTGGTCATCAGTTCTTGGGGCTCGGGGAGCCTTTGGGACGTCCTCTTGAGATCACAGGGAGTGGAGACAGGACTGGGAAGTGACACACCTCACCCATGAAAGACCTGCCAGAGATGAGTTTGATCCCCAGCTTGGGGGCGTCCAGTGGTGAAGTGGGAAGAGGAGTGACATGGGTACTGGTGAGCACTGCATGATGATGCTACACAGTTTGGAGGCAGAGAAGAATCACCCCAAAGACTAATATTTAAACACTTTAAATTATTTTATTTTATATTTTAAGATGGAGTCTCGCTCTGTCACCCAGGCTGGAGTGCAGTGGCACGATCTCGGCTCACTGCAACCTCCACGTACCAGGTTCAAGTGATTCTCCTTCCTCAGCCTCCTGGGTAGCTGGGATTACAGGCACCAGCCATTATGCCCGGCTAAGTTTTTTTTTTTTTTTTTTTTTTTTGGGACGGAGTGTTGCTCTGTCGCCCAGGCTGGAGTGCAATGGCACGATCTCGGCTCACCGCAAGCTCAGCCTCCCGGGTTCACGCCATTCTCCTGCCTCGGCCGCCCGAGTAGCTGGGATTACAGGCGCCCGCCACCATGCCCAGCTAATTTTTTTGTAGTTTTAGTAGAGATGGGGTTTCACCGTGTTAGGCAGGATGGTCTCAATCTCCTGACCTCGTGATCCTCCCGCCTTGGCCTCCCAAAGTGCTGGAATTACAGGAGTGAGCCACCGCGCCTGCCCTATTTTATTTTATTTTTGAGATGGAATCTTGCTCTGCTGGCCAGGCTGGAGTGCAGTGGTGCAATCTCGGCTCACTGCAACCTCCGCCTCCCAAGCTCAAGCGATTCTCCTGTTTCAGCCTCCCGAGTATCTGGGATTACAGGTACTTGCCACCATGCCCGGCTAGTTTTTGTATTATTATTATTTTGAGACGGAGTCTTGCTCTTGTCACCCAAGCTGCAGTGCAGTTACATGATCTCTTCTCACTGCAACCTCCCTCTCCCAAGTTCAAGTAATTTTCCTGCCTCAGTCTCCGAGTAGCTGGGAGTACAGGCGCCCGCCACCACGCCCGGGTAATTTTTGTATTTTTAGTAGAGACATGATTTCGCCACGTTGGCCAGGCTGGTCTCAAATTCCTGCCCTCAAGTGATCCGCCCGCCTCGGCCTCCCAAAGTGTTGGGATTACAGGCGTGAGCCACCGTGCCGAGTCTGAAACATATTTTAATTATGTTTCTCCAGTATTTTTTTTTTCTTAAAATTTTCTTTTTTTTTTTTGAAGACAGAGTCTTGCTCTGTCGCCCAGGCTGGAGTGCAGACGCGATCTCAGCTCACTACAACCTCCGCCTCCCGGGCTCAGCCTCCGGAGTAGCTGGGACTACAGGCGTGCGCCACCACGCTTGGCTAATTTTTTTTTTTTTTTGTATTTTTAGTAGAGTCGGGGTTTCAACACGTTGGCCAGGCTGGTCTCAAATTCCTGCCCTCAAGTGATCCGCCCGCCTCGGCCTCCCAAAGTGATGGGATTACAGGCGTGCGCCAGCGCGCCGGCCTTCTCCAGTATTTTTGCATGCATCTTACGGCACACCTTTGCACGCCATCTTATTAACTATATCATACTGCCGCACGTGCCTTTTCGGCCAAGGCATCCAGATGGTGCGGGTCCTGCCTGCCTCGAGAGGTGGCAGCAAAGGAGCCAGTGCCCTCACTGGTGCTGGGCGGGGCGGCCGCTTTCCTCGGAGGGAAGGGGCGGCGTTGGCGGGGGAAGGGCGCCAGGGCCCAGGCCCTGAGGGAGGGGCAGCTCGCCCGGGCCACGCGGTGCCGGCCCTCGGCTCAGGCCGGGCTGAGGCCCCGGGGGCTCGGGGTCCGGGGGAAAGGCGCTGAGCCAGACAGGTCCCAAGGAGCCTTCGGGAAGGGAGGGCCTCGTGGCGGCCTGTCCGGGACCCGGCCGGGAGCAGGGGTCGCGTGGGCGCCGTCAGGACGGGCGTGAGGTCCCCGGGACCACGTGTTTGCGTTTGGTGGCCCAGGGGTCGCTGACAGGTGCGGAGGGGAGACGCCCACCTGGGTGCCCTGGGCCGCACGCCGGGCGGTGGGGCCGGGAACCCCTGCTCCTCCTCGGCCTCCGATCCGCTGCGGCCCTGGGTCCTGCTCGCTGCCCGACGCCGCTGCCACAACCTCCGCCCGGGCCCCGCAGCCCGCCGCCCGCCGGAAGCTGAAAGGCGTGTCCGACCCCGCCCCCGGGCGCGACCAATCAGCGCGCGCGACTCATGAATAGTGAGCGCGCTGGCACCGCCCCGCCCCCGCCTCCCGCGGCACCGCCCGCCCGCGCAGACCCCGAGCGCGGCCGCGGACGAAGATGGCGACCGCCATGTACTTGGAGCACTATCTGGACAGTAAGCGCGCCCCACGGGCCCCGCGCCCGCCGCCCACGCGGAGTCCTCCGTGCCGCAGCCCCCCGCGCGCCGGGCACCGCATGCAGACCCCGTGGGCTCGGGAGGGCGGCGGGCGCGGCCGGGCGCGACGGGGGGCGCGCGGACGGGGCGGGGCAGGGCCGCAAGGGAGGGGAGGGCGCGGGGGGCGGGCGCGGGGGGTCCCGCCGGCTGGGTCGCGCCAATTCCAGGTGCGTCACGGCGGGGCGGGGCCTGGCGATGCTGGGCGGGGCTTGCGGCCTCGACCCCGCCCACATATTAGGTCCCGCCCCTACCCAGGCCCCGCCTCATCTCCGCCCCCAGCTCCGGCCCCGGCCCCGCCAGGTCCCGCCCGTCCCTGTCCCGTCTGCAGGAGGAGCTGGCGCCCGCTGCGGGGCTCCGGGCCTTGGGGGCTCCGGGGTCTGGGCCTCCGCCTGGCTGTGCGCCCGTGTGCGCCGGCCTCTTGTGTGACCGCGGCTGGGGAGGGCGTGCGGGCCGCGGGGCGTCTCTCCCCGGCACTGGGGACTGCGGCGCGGAGGCGGGGAGGGCGGTGCCGAGTCGGCCCTGGTGGGCGGGCTGTGCTGTTTCCAGGTGGCAGCAGGTCGGCGCCCCCAGCGGCTGAGCGGACGGTGCTTTCCCTCACTTTACACACCAGGGAAGGTCCAGCGCTGCCGAGCAGCCTGCTCAGGGTCTCCCGCTCGTAGAGGGGCAGACCCCACGCGGGACCCCTGACGTCGGCCCGGGATGGGCACAGCTTTGGGGTCGCGGTGTTTGGGGTTGTGCCGGGTGGCTCTGGAGGGCCCTTGTGGGGGCGCTGCACTGGGGATCCTCATGGTCTTCGGCCTGGCACCCGCCCAGGGGCTGAGACAGTGGCGAGTGAGCCGTGGCCTGGAGCTGGAGACCGCTGCCCTAGAGGGACGCCCGATTCTGCCCATGTGCTCCGCTGTCTCTTGGGGGTCTGAGTAGTGGGGGGTTCCCTGGGTAGAAGAGTCAAGCTGGGGAGCACGCTGGAGGGGAGGCCTTCTCTATCCTGGTGCCCAGCCAGTGGGCTGGCCTCCCAAGGAGGGTTGACTTTGTGTGTGTCTGGGAGGCTGTGCCAGCCGGGAGGCTGTGCCTCTGTCCTCTAGGGGAGCTGGGAAAACACTGGGGCTGGAAGCATCAGATGCATAAGATAGAGTTAGGTTTAAAATGATTGCCTGGTAACTGTGAACAGCAGATGGGAGGGTGGCCAAGACTGGAGGAGGCAGCCCCCCTTAGGAGCCTGTGTCAGCTGTGCAGGGGGCGGAGGTTGGCCTGGTCTAGGGGGTAACAAAGCAGACGCGAAAGCAGCACGGGGGTCCTCCTGGCAGACTGTGGGGAATGGTTGCGCTAGCCACAGGGACTATTTAAGTAAAATTAAAAATTGAATGGCGTTAGTCCCATTTCCAGTGCTCAGTAGCTCCCTATGGCCACCACTGTCTTGGGCAGCTCAGAGAGAACATTTCTTTTCTTTTTCTTTTTTTGATTTTTTTTGAAATGGAGTCTCACCCTGTTGCCCAGGTTGGAGGGTATGATCTCAGCACACTGCAACCTCCACCTCCCAGGTTCAAGCAATTCTCATGCCCTAGCCTCTCGAGTAGCTGGGACTGTAGCTGTGCACCACCACGCCTGGATAATTTTTGTATTTTTAGTAGAGACAGGGTTTCACCATGTTGGCCAGGCTGGTCTTGAACTCCTGACCTCAACTGATTTGCCTGTCTTGATCTCCCAAAGTGCTGGGATTACAGGTATGAGCCACCACGCCCATCCGAGAGAGGAAACATTTCTATCCTTGCATAAAGTCGCGTGGGCAGCGTGGCTACACTGCTCAATGCACTGGATTTCTGGGTAAAGTAGGGGAAGATCAAGGAGGACCCAGGGGATTTTGGCTTGAGCCTTGGAAGATGCTGCTCACTGAGGGGGGGCAGCCTAGAGGGTGGGGTCAGTTGGCCTCCCCTGCCTGTGCTGTTGGTTTCCAAGTTTCCCTCTCCCTTCTTTGACTTCTGACAGCTTCCGAAGTGTGCACACAGCCTCTTGTCAGCACTGTTTGGTACCTGCATCTAAAAATGAGATCACAGTCCTTCCGCTCCGCAAACCCTGACAGAGACAGAATACAGAGTGGGCTTGTAGACTTGAAGTATAAAACTTTTGGCCAGTCCTGGTGGCTCACACCTGTAATCCCAGCACTTTGAGAGGCCGAGGTGGGCGGATCACCTGAGGTCAGGAGTTCGAGACAAGCCTGGCCAACCTTGTGAAACCCCGTCTCAACTAAAAATACAAAAACTAGCCGGGCATGGTGGCATGTGCCTGTAATCCCAGCTACTCAGGAGGCGGAGGCGTGAGAATCACTTGAACCTGGGAGGTGTAGGTTGCAGTGAGCCAAGATCGCACCACTGCACTCCAGCCTGGGCAACAAGAGTGAAACTCCATCTCAAAAAAAAAAGACAGAAAACCTTTGGAGGTGAATTTTTGTCTTGCTGCTGAGAGGTACATGGCTTCTGTGTTTTTGCGTTTCAGGTATCGAGAACCTTCCCTGCGAACTTCAGAGGAACTTCCAGCTGATGCGAGAGCTGGACCAGAGGACGGAAGGTGGGTTCAGACCTCTCCATACAACCAGAACTGAGTTCTGACAGGTGGGAGCCAGCAGCTCCTGAAGGCTGGGGGCAGAGGGTTTTGAGGGGACCCAGGTTAGTGGGGCATTGGCCTAGCCCTGGGCCGTGGGTATCACTCAGTGTCTTGCAGTAGGTGTTGATACTTTTGAAGCCACATTGTTTCTTGGGTTCTTACACATCTTTATATCATGTTTTTATAACCATCACCCTTTCCAATCAAAATATTTATTGCCAATTTTTTCTTTTAAATATTTTCAATTTTCAAAGTGTGTAGTGCGTGCATTGTTTTAAAAGTTTGGTAGTACTTTTTGGCCGTTTGATATTTAACTCCGTTTCTTTTTTTTTGAGACGGAGTCTTGCTTTGTCGCCCAGTCCGGAGTGCAGTGACGTGATCTCAGCTCACTGCAAGCTCTGCCTCCTGGGTTCACACCATTCTCTTGCCTCAGCCTCCTGAGTAGCTGGGACTACAGGTGCCCGCCACCACGCCTGGCTAATTTTTTTTTTGTATTTTTAGTAGAGACGGGGTTTCACCGTGTTAGCCAGGATGGTCTTGATCTCCTCACCTCATGATCTGCCCGCCTCAGCCTCCCAAAGTGCTGGGATTACAAGCGTGAGCCACCTCGCCTGGCCCTAACTCTGTTTTTTTCTTTTTTTTTTTTTTTTTTTTTGAGACAGAGTCTCACTCTGTTGCCCAGGCTAGAGTGCAGTGGCACGATCTTGGCTCACTGCAACCTCCACCTCCCGGGTTCAAGTGATTCTCCTGCCTCAGCCTCCCGAGTAGCTGGGACTACAGTCACATGCCACCACACCCAGCTAATTTTTTGTATTTTTAGTAGAGACAGGGTTTCACCATGTTCACCATGTTAGCCAGGATGGTCTTGATCTACTGACCTCATGATCCGCCTGCCTAGGCCTCCCAAAGTGCTGGGATTACAGGCATGAGCCACCGCGCCCGGCCCTTAAACTCCCTGTTTCTAAACAACATGTTTTTGTTGCTGTTTCTTATTTTATCTCTCGTCAGTTTTAGACGTTGTTCAGACGTATATGGCACAGGCAGCTGTACTTCTCCAGTGGCCCCCACACCCTCACATGCCCTCACCTGGCTCCCCCATCTCCTGGCTGTAGGTTGTTAGAATTTGTGGTGAGACCAGTGATGGGACTTCCATTGGGCAGCTGTGTAGGTACTTTAACACTGAGCCATGCCACCTGCTGTGCTTATATGACCTCTTTGGAATAACTTTGTGTATTTCTTAGAGTTACTCATGGCCCTGTTTGTTGGCTTTGTTTTCTGCATTCGACCCTTGTCTCCCCAGCTGGGCTTTTCCTTGTGGTCTGTCAGGCTGTCTACCCTGACAGTTCTGTGTGTGCTTTCTTTCCGCAGAGCCCTCTGTCCTGGAGGCCACAGTCCTGATTGTTTCCATGCCAACTGCACACTTGTTGCCCTGAGGTTTTCCTGGGATCTCCTTTCACCCCTCTTCAGTGTGGGACCCTCTTCCCTGAATCTTAAATGTCTTCTTTTTGCCCTTGCTCTCCTGTTTTGATAGAGCCTTTCCTTTGGTAGGTTCCTGAAAAAAAGGCACATAGGAAGGTAGATTTTCTTGGCCAGGCACGGTGGCTCATGCCTGTAATCCCAGCACTTTGGGAGGCTGAGGTGGGCAGATCACCTGAGGTCAGGAGTTCGAGACCAGCCTGATCGACATGGAGAAACCCCGTCTCTACTAAAAATACAAAATTAGCCGGGTGTGGTGGCGCACGCCTATAATCCCAGCTAATTGGGAGGCTGAGGCAGGAGAATCACTTGAACCTGGAGGCGGAGGTTGCACCTGGAGATCGCACCATTGCACTCCACCCTGGGCAACAAGAGCGAAACTCCATCTCAAAAAAAAAAAAAAAAAAGAAAAAAAGGAAGGTAGATTTTCTTGTAACATTGCATGTCTGAAAATGTGTTTGTTCTAGCCTCATACTCAGCTGATAGTTTGGTTGGGTATAGAATCCTAGGTTGACAATTGTTTTCACTCAGGAAGTTGGCGACATTGCTGCCTTGTCTCCTAGCTTCCACGTTGCTGCAGAAAATCTGGTGCCGTTTGGATTCTTGGTCCTTTATATGTGTGATCTATTTTTTTTTTGTTATTCCTATTCAGAAGCTTTTGAGATGTTTCCTTTATCTCTGAAGTTTTAAATTTCATGATAATGTGTTTTGGTGTGGCAATTTTTTTTTTTTTTTTTTTTGAGATGGAGTTTCACTCTTGTTGCCCAGGCTGGCGTGCGATGGCGCGATCTTGGCTCAACACAACCTCTGCCTCCCAGGTTCAAGTGATTCTCCTGCCTCAGCCTCCCGAGTAGCTGGGATTACAGGCATGCACCATCATGCCCAGCTAATTTTGTATTTTTAATAGAGATGGGGTTTCTCCATGTTGATCAGGTTGGTCTCAAACTCTCAACCTCAGGTGATCTGCCCGCCTTGGCCTCCCAAAGTGCTGGTATTACAGGTGTGAGCCACTGTGCCTGGCCTGAGATTTTTTATTCATTATGCTGGGCACAGGTTTGTTTTTTTTGTTTTGAGATGGAGTTTCGCTCTTGTTGTCCAGGCTGGAGTGCAATGGCACGATCTCAGCTCACCGCAACCTCCGCCTCCCGGGTTCAAGCAATTCTCCTGCCTCAGCCTCCCGAGTAGCTGGGATTACAGGCATGCGCCACCACACCCTGCTAATTTTTTGTATTTTAAGTAGAGACGGGGTTTCTCCATGTTGGTCAGGCTGGTCTTGAACTCCTGACCTCAGGTTCATCCACCCGCCTTGGCCTCCCAAAGTGCTGGGATTACAGACGTGAGTACCACACCCGGCCTGGGCACATGTTTTGCAAGACTGAGATAGCTGTGTTTTTTTCCTTAGGTACAGCATCTTGACTAGGGAATACAGAGAGTTATTTTATTGTGAAATGTAACATATATTCAGGAAATGAATGTGCAACAATTATAGATTGCTTAACAAATATTACCAGGTGAACCTCTCTGTTGTCTGCTACCGAGATGGAGAAATCAAGCCCTTTGGCACCTGAAGGCCTTTGTGACCCTCCTAGTCATGACACCCCTCCCCAACCAAGGGGTGACCATCCTGAGTTTGGTGACAGTCACCTTCCACCTTTAACAGTAGTTTTCTTTTTTTTTTCTGAGACGGAGTCTCGCTTTACCATCAGGCTGGAGTGCAGTGGCACGGTCTCGGCTCACTGCAACCTCTGCCTCCTGGGTGCAAGTGATTCTCCTGCCTCAGCCTCCTGAGTAGCTGGGACCATAGGCACGTAACACCATGCCCAGCTAATTGTTGTATTTTTAGAAGAGACGGGGTTTCACCACATTGGCCAGGATGGTTTCCATCTCTTAACCTCGTGATCCTCCTGCCTTGGCCTCCCAAAGTGCTGGGATCACAGGCGTGAGCCGCCGTGCATGGCCTTCAACAGTTTTCTTTTGTTTTTTTTTTTTGAGATGGAGTCTCACTCTTTCGCCCAGGCCGGACTGCAGTGGCGCTATCTTGGCTTTCTTCAAGCCCCGCCTCCTGGGTTCACGCCATTCTCCTGCCTCAGCCTCCCGAGTAGCTGGGACTATAGGCACCCGCCACCACGCCCGGCTAATTTTTTGTATTTTTAGTAGAGACGGGGTTTCATCAAGTTAGCCAGGATGGTCTCGATCTCCTGACCTCGTGATCTGCCCGCCTCGGCCTCCAAAAGTGCTGGGATTACAGGCGTGAGCCACCACGCCTGGCCTAGTTTTCTTACCCCTCTAAACTGAAGGGTTAAGAGTTGTGTCTGTTTCTGCTCTTCATATTAATGGAATCATCCAGTATGTTTTCTTTTGTTTCTTGCTCTTTTTGCTCCGTGTCACCTTCTCTGGGAATCATCCGTGTTGCTGTGTGTGGCTGTAGTTTGCTCTTTTTGTTGCTGAGTAGCACTCTGTTGTCTGAAGGGACCACAGCTTATTTCTCCATTTTACTGAGGATTGGACATTGGGGTTGTTTTCTGTTTTCTGCTCTTATGAATGTTTCCCGTGTGGATTTCTTTAGGTGACATAAGGTTTGTTTAGGGTATTTAAGAGTAGTGTGTTCTTTCTTGACTGCTCTACCGGAAAAAAAGAAAAGGGAAAAAAGAGTAGTATGCCAGGTCATAGGAAAGGTGGCTACAAGTTATTCATACAGGATGTTTGAGAGTCGAAGAAGGCACTGTGACCACTTGCTGTGTAACATTCAGAGCTGGGACTGTCCTGGGCACGTTGCCGTAAAGTCTGCACATTCACACGATCCCAGACTGTTTGTGCAGAACGGTTCTGCCCACTTGCGCTCCCACCAGCACAGCGTGAGTTCATGTCAGCCTACATCTTTGCCACAACTTGGCGTTGGCTGACTTTAGTTGTTGCCAGTCTGGTGAGCACATCATGGTGTCTTGTGCAGGGCTAGCTTTTCCCCCATTTCTCCATCAGATAAGAAAGCAGAGATTGACATCCTGGCTGCAGAGTACATCTCCACGGTGAAGACGCTGTCTCCAGACCAGCGCGTGGAGCGCCTGCAGAAGATCCAGAACGCCTACAGCAAGTGCAAGGAATACAGTGACGACAAAGTGCAGCTGGCCATGCAGACCTACGAGATGGTGAGGGCGGGGCGGGGGCCATGGCTCTTCCTCTGACCTCTACTCCTGCCTCTCATGCAACAAAATGTAAAAACTGCCCGGAAATGGGCATAGCCAAGTGGAAGGCTGGCTTTGGTAGCTGACGCTGCTGGAGGAAGTGCAGACGGAATACACTTCATGTAGGACCATCCCTGTTTTTTTTTTTTTTTTTTCTGGGCCCTTTTTGTTTGTGTATCTGCTCGGAGGAACCATTTGGGTTTTTTTTGAGACAGTCTCACTTTGTCGTCCACGGTGGAGTACAGTGGTGTGATTTCAGCTCAGTGCAACCTCCGCCTCCTAGGCTCAAGTGATTCTTGTGCCTTAGCCTCCCTAGTAGCTGTGATTACAGGCATGCAGCACCACACCCAGCTAATTTTTATATTTTTAGAAGAGACGGGGTTTCACCCTGTTGGCCATGCTGGTCTCGAACTCCTGACTTCAAGTGATCCACTCGCCTCAGCCTCCCAAAATACTGAGATTACAGGCATGAGCCACCGTGCCCGACCTCCAGGTGGCCATATTTTATTTTATTTATTTATTTTATTTATTTATTTATTTTTGAGACAGAGTCTTGCTCTGTCGCCCAGGCTGGAGTGCAGTGGTGTGATCACGGCTCACTGCAACCTCCACCTCCTGGGTTTAAGCGATTCTCCTGCCTCAGTCTCCCGAGTAGCTGAGATTACAGGCATGCAGTAGCCATACTTTATTATTATTATTATTTTTGAGATGGACTTTTGCTCTTGTTGCCCAGGCTGGAGTGCAATGGTGCTATCTCGGCTCACTGCAACCTGTGCCTCGCAGGTTCAAGCAATTCTCCTGCCTCAGCCTCCTGAGTAGCTAGGATTACAGTCACCCACCACGAAGCCTGGCTAATTTTTGTAGTTTTATTTTTTTATTTTTGTATTATTTATTTAGTTTTTGAGACAGGGCCTCACTGTGTCGCCCAGACTAGGGTGCAGTGGCATGGCTGCAGTTCAGTGCAACCTCCACTTCCCAGGCTCAAGCGATTCTCCTGCCTCAGCCTCCTAAGTAGCTGGGATTACAGGTGTGCACCACTACCAACAGGCTAATTTTTGTTTTTGGTTTTTGGTTTTTTTTTTTGAGACAGAGCTTCGCTCTTGTTGCTCAGGCTGGAGTGCAATGCCACGATCTTGGCTCACTGCAACCTCTGCCTCCTGGGTTCAAGCGATTCTCCGGCTTCAGCCTCCTGAGTAGCTGGGATTACAGGCATGCGCCACCAAGCCCGGCTAATTTTGTATTTTTGGTAGAGATGGGGTTGCTCCATGTTGGTCAGGCTGGTCCTGAACTCCCGACCTCAGGTGATTGACCTGCCTCAGCCTCCCAAAGTGCTGGGATTACAGGTATGAGCCACCGTGCCTGGCCTGTATTTTTAATAGAGATGGGGTTTTGCCATGTTGGCCAGGCTGGTCTTGAATTCCTGACCTCAAATGATCCACCTGCCTCGGTCTCCCAGAGTGCTGGGACTACAGGCGTGAGCCACCGCGCCTGCCCTAATTTTTGTATTTATTTTAGAGATGGGATTTTACCATGTTGGTCAGGCTGGTTTTGAACTCCTGACCTCAGGTGATCAGACTGCCTCGACCTCCCAAAGTGCTGGGATTACAGGTGTGAGCCGCTGCACCTGGCCTCCAGGTAGCCATATTTTAAAGTAGGGTTCAGCGTCAGATATCCCAGGCCTTGTTCACTGCATTTCACAACTCTGCTTCTCATTATTGCCCACACTCATGTCTTTTCCCTAAATGGGATTTATTCCATTGCAATGTCAAAATATGCAGAAAAAGCACAAGACCCTTGCATGGACTTTGAAATAGTGGGCCTTGTTTTAGCAGAGGTTTGTTCATTGGAGACTCAATTAAAGGGCAAGAAGGTGTTTCCTGGTGGATACTTTTGTACATTCGTGATTCTGAGGTGTTTTGGTTTTACTTTAAAATAAGACTTTGGGTATCCTTTTGTAGGTGGATAAACACATTCGAAGGCTTGATGCAGACCTGGCGCGCTTTGAAGCAGATCTGAAGGACAAGATGGAGGGCAGTGATTTTGAAAGCTCCGGAGGGCGAGGGTTAAAAAGCAAGTCTGTTAATTTTTTTTCTTTATTTTATTACTGTTAACTATGGAGTTTTGAAGAGTTTTGTCACGGTAAATCATTAAAGTATGATCACTAGGGTAAGTATCATATTTGGGTAAACCTTGTCTTGCAGGCTGGGTGTGGTGGCTTACGCCTGTAACCCCAGCACTTTGGGAGGCTGAGGCAGGAGGATCACTTGAGGCTAGGAGTTTGAGACCAACCTGGGCAACATAGCGAGACCTCATCTCAACAAAAAATTTAAAAATTAGCCAGGTGTGGTGGTGCACACCTGTGGTCCCAGCTACTCGGGAGGCTGAGGTGGGTGGATTGCTTGAGCCCGGGAGGTCAAGGCTGCGGTGAGCTATGATTGCTCCGCTGCACTCCAGCCAGCCTGGGAGACAGAGCGAGACCCCTTTTTAAAAACAAAACACAAAACTTGCCTTGCTTTAGAGAATTCTATAAAAATAATTTGCATCTTGATTATTTTTCAGAAGGCCGGGGTCAGAAAGAAAAAAGAGGGTCCCGGGGCCGAGGCAGGAGGACATCAGAGGAAGACACACCAAAGAAAAAGAAGCACAAAGGAGGGTAAGAGGCTTTCCCCTCTTTTTCCCAAAAGAACGAATACCCATAGCCTGTATCCCGGATGTAGGAACACTGATGGAAGCTGACCCGAGTGAAGTGCACCCCGTGTGCCGGGTGGTATTCTGATTCTTACGCTGCGCGCCTGTCGTCAGCCTGTCCTCACCGCAGCCTTTGAGGGGGTGCCGTTGTCAGGGGCATTTTCAGTGTCGCAGGGACCTGCCCAGGCTTTAGGGCTGCTGTGGTGCGGCTGGGCTGCACCTGGAGTCTGACTCCAGTGCCTGTCCTCTTAGCCACAGTGTGTGCTGCCCCACTAGGGACAGGAGGATGGTGAGCAACGTGTTGTTGACAGAGGCCAATGTAGACCACTCTTTAAGTAGCTAGATTTCTGTATATCTGTCAGTTATTTTATGTGTCAACATATAGTGTGCATATATTCATTGTTAATTATGTGGCCACATTTATTAAATAGACATGTCATTTAACTTGAAGTTTTTTGAGATACTTTATTTAAAGCATTCTCCCACTGACACCCTCCCTGCCAAAGGTGTTGTATACCCTCCAAAGAGATCGTAGCATTACCTCAGAGGAGTGACATTTAGACTAAAGAGAAAATGCTGAAATGCCACGAAGCCTCTGTGGAGATGATCTCACAGAGGGAGGGTCAAAGAGTGTAAGTTTTGGGCACGGTAGCTCATGCCTATAATTCCCGCACTTTGGGAGGCCAAGGCGGGAGGATCACTTGAGCCCAGGAATCTGAGACCAGTCTGGGCAACCAAGTGAGTCCCCCATCTCTACAAAAAATAGAAAAAATTAGCTGAGGGTGGTGGTGTGGGCTGTAGTCCCAGCTACTAGGGAAAGCTGAGCTGGGAGGATCATGAGCCACGATCGCACCACTACATTCCAGCCTGGGCCACAGCATGAGACTCTGTCTCAAAAAAAAAAAATAAAGAGAAAAAAAGAGTTCTTCTTGACAAAAAAGGGACAATTTTCTTTTTTTTTTTTTTTGAGATGGGGTTTCGCTCTTGTTGCCCAAGCTGGAGTGCAATGGCGCCATCTCGGCTCACTGCAACCTCTGCCTCCCAGGTTCAAGCGATTCTCCTGCCTCACCCTCCTGGATAGCTGCAACTACAAGTGCGCACCACCATGCCCGGCTAAGTTTTTGTATTTTTAGTAGAGATGGGATTTCACCATGTTAGCCAGGCTGGTCTCGAACTCCTGACCTCAGGTGATCCACCTGCCTCGGCCTCCCAAAGTGCTGGGATTACAGGCATGAGCCATCACACCCGACCCAATTTTCAGTTTTTTTTTTTTTTTTTTTTTGAGATGGAGTCTTGCTCTGTCCCTCAGGCTGGAGTGTGGTGGCGCGATCTCAGCTCACTGCAACCTCTGCCTCCCAGGTTCAAGCAGTTCTCCTGCCTGAGCCTCCCAAGTAGCTGGGACTACAGGTGCATGCCACCACACCCAGCCAATTTTTTTTTATTTTTTGTAGAGATGAGGTTTCACCTTGTTAGTCAGGATAGTCTTGATCTCCTGACCTCGTGATCCACCTGCCTTGGCCTCCCAAAGTGCTGGGATTACAGGCGTGAGCCACTGTGCCCAGCCCCAATTTTCAGTTTTTTAGCTAGTGCTTAGCCTTTTGGCCGGGCGAGGTGGCTCATGCCTGTAATCGCAGCACTTTGGGAGGCCAAGGCAGGTTAATCACCTGAGGTCAGGAGTTCAAGACCAGCCTGACCAATATGGTGAAACCCCGTCTCTACCAAAAATGCAAAATACTTAGCTGAGTAGTTGGCAGCTGCCTGTAATCCCAGCTACTCGGGAGGCTGACGCAGGGAGATTGTTTGAACCCGGGAAGTGGAGGTTGCAGTGAGTCAAGATCACACCACTGCACCCCAGCCTGGGTGACAGAGCAAAACTCCGTCTCAAAAAAAAAAAAAAAATCCCAACATTCTCGTATTGTAAAGTAGTGCACAGATACAGAAAACCGCACAGAACAAACATGGTTTAATTAATTTCCGTAAAGTGAAGATCTTTGTAAGTAGCACCTAGTCAGTGATTAACTGCTGCTGGAAGGCCTTCCATATGCCCTGTTAAAATCATAAACTCCTCCTGCCCCCAAATAAACATGATCCAGATTTCTATAGTGTTTATTTCCTTGTTTCTTTAATAGTTTTATAGTGCATTCCTAGACACTATACATTATAGTTTAGTCCTGTTGTTTTTCTAACCTTTTAAATTAACTTTATTAAGGAATAATTTACATACAATAAAATGTTATTCTAAGTGTACAGTTTGATGTTGCATTCAGTTCCTTTAAAGTTATGGAAGTATTCAGGCTTTCTATTTCTTCTCGAGTCAGTTTTGGAAAAAATCTGTGTCTTTCAAGAAATTTGTTTCATGTAAGTTGTCAGATTTTTTTGACATCAGGTTGTTAATAATTTTGCATTATTATGGTTCTGATGTGTCTGTTATGATGACCCCTCTTTCAGTCCTGATACTGGTAATTTATGTTTCTCTCATTTTGTCTTGATCCTTTTTTTTTTTTCCCTGAGGGCAGGGTCTAGCTGTGTCACCTAGGCTGGAGTGCAGTGGCATGCACATGGCTCACTGCAGCCTCCACCTCCCTGTCCCCAGGCTCAAGTGATTCTCCCACCTCAGCTCCCGAGTAGCTGGGACCACAGACATGCGCCACTATGCCTGGCTAATTTTTTGTAGAGACAGGGTTTCATCATGTTGCCCAGGCTGGTCTCAAACATCTGGGCTCAAGCAGTCCGCCTGCCTCAACCTCTCCGTGTGTTGAGATTACAGGCGTGAGCCACTGCGTCTGGCCGTCTTGATCTTTTTAGAGAACTAGCTTTTAGTTTCATTATTTTTATTGTTTTCTCTATTTTTTTGTTTGCTATTGCATTTGTTTCTACTCTCTATTTCCTGTTTTCTACTCAGGTTTACTTTGCCTATACTATTCTAGCTTTTTAAGGTGGAAGTAGCTTGCATAATTGATTTTTATATCTTCCTTGTTCTAATTATTATCTTTGTTGCACTCCACAAATTTTGATATATTATGATTTTGATATAATTTTGATATTGTTTTAAATTTTTATTTCGTTTACCTATTTAAAATATTTTAGAATGTTTTTCTTGTTTTTTGAGATGAGGTCTCACTCTGTCACCCAGGCTGGAGTGTAGTGGCATGATCCTGGCTCACTGCAGCCTCCACCTCCTGGGCTCAAGAGATCCTCCCACTTCGGCCTCCCAAGTAGCTGGGACCACAAGTGCATGCCACCATGCCTGGCTAATTTTTTATATTTTTGGTAGAGATGGAGTTTCACCATGTTGCCCAGGGTGGTCTTAAACTCCTGAGCTCAAGTGATCCACCCACGTTGGCCTCCCAAAGTGCTGGAATAGAATTTTTTTTTTTTTTTTTTTTTTTTTGGTGAGACGGAGCCTCACTCTGTTGCCCAGGCTTGAGTGCAGTGGTGTGATCTTGGCTCACTGCAACCTCCACCTCCCAGGTTCAAGCAATTCTCTTGCCTCAGCCTCCTGGGTAGCTGGGATTACAGGCACGTATCACCATGCCTGGCTAATTTTTTTTTGTATTTTTAGTAGAGACAGGGTTTCACCATGTTGGCCAGGCTGGTCTTGAACTCCTGACCTCAGGTGATCTGCCTGCCTTGGCCTCCCAACATACTGGGATTACAGGCGTGAGCCACCGCACCTGACCTAGAATTTTTTTTTTCATGCTACTTCTTTGCCCTATAACTTATGTAGAAGTATGTGTCTCAATTTCCAAATAATTTGGGATTTTTCAGATACCTTTCTAATTTTAATTTTTTAGTTGACTTCTGTTGTGGTCAAAGAACATTACATAATTGAAATCCTTTGAAAGCCAGCTAATTTTTGTATTTTTAACAGAGACAGGATTTCACCATGCTGGGCAGGCTGGTCTCGAACTCCTGACCTCAAATGATCTGCCCACCTTGGCCTCCCCTCCCTGTAAAGTGCTGGGATTACAGGCATGAGCCACCGCACCCGGCCTTCATTGCAATATTTGGTCTGTTCATATTTAACATAATTAATGATATGGTGGGATTTAGGTTCACCATCTTGCTATTAGTTTTCTGTTTGTTCCTTCTGCTCCTTTGCTGTCTTCTTTTGGACTAATCAGGTATTTTTTAGTATTCCGTTTTTTTCCCCACTCTTGTCTTATTAGCCATGCTTTTTTTTTTTTTTTTTTTTTTGAGACGGAGTCTTGCACTGTTGCCCAGGCTGGAGTACAATTTGCAATGGCATGATCTTGGCTCACTACAACCTCTGCTTCCCAGGTTCAAGCGATTCTCATGCCTCAGCCTCCGCAGTAGCTGGGATTATAGGTGTGCGCCACCACACCCGGCTAATGTTTTTGTATTTTTAGTAGAGACAGGTTTTCACCATTTTGGCCAGGCTGGTCTCGAACCCCTGACCCCAAGTGATCCACCCACCTCGGCCTCCCAAAGTGCTAGGATTACAGGCGTGAGCCACTGCCCCGGCCCCTGTATTTTAAGGATTGTTCTAGTGTGTGCACTCAGTTTCCTTAAGTTATCACAGTGAGCTTCAGATATTACACTATTTGATGTTTAACGTGTGGCTCCACACAAGTGTTCTTCCATTTCCTGCCTTTGTGCTGTTGTCCTTCACTTTGCCTGTGATCTGAGCTTCCCAGCACGTTATTACCTTAGATGCAAACCACTGATGACGTGAAACACGCCTTAAAATATATGTGGAATGTAAAGATGTTGAACTCACAGAAGTAGAGAGTAGAATGGTGGTCAGGCGCTGGGGTGGTCAGGGGAGACGTTGGATACAGAATTTCATTTAGATAGGAGGAATAAGTTCAAAAGATCCGTTTTACAACATGGTGACTACAGTTAATAACAATATAGTCTCAAAAAAATGTGTAGATTTTAAGTGTTCTCACCACAAAAGTCACCCCATATATAGTTACCTCATATAGTTGCCATTTCTGGTAACCTTCATTTTTTTTTTTTTTTGAGACAGAGTCTTGCTCTGTGTCCCAGGCTGGAGTGCAGTGGTGCGATCTCAGCTCACGGCAACCTCTGCCTCCCAGGTTCAAGTGATTCTTGTGCCTCAGCCTCCTGAGTAGCTGAGATTACACCCACCTACTCACCTGGTTAATTTTTGTATTTTTAGTAGAGATGGGGTTTTGCCATGTTGGCCAGGCTGGTCTCGAACTCCTGGCCTCCAGTGACCCTCTCGCCTCAGCCTCCCAAAGTGGCAGGATGACAGGCATGAGCCACCGCGCCTGGCCCAACTATTATTTCTTAATATTTATTTTCTTTCTTTAAAAATTTTTTTTCCATACATATTCTGCTTACGTATATTTCTTTATGTGGATGCAAATTTCTGTCTTGTCATTTCTCCTCTACTGAAGAACTTTAACATTTTTTGCAGTACATGTATGCTGATGGTGATGAATTCTCTGTTTTTGTTTCTCTGAAAATGCTTTTATTTCACTGCGTATAGAATTTTAGGTTGACCTTTTTTCTTTTATCGCTAAAGATGTTCTCTCATTTTCTTCTGTCTTTCATTGATTCTGATGATAAATTACTGATAATAATTATTTTTGGTGGTTTCTTTTTTTTTTTTTGCTTTTAAGATTTCTCATTGTCACTGGCTCTTAACAGTTTGGTTATGATGTGTATTGGTGTGATTTTTTTGTGTATATTTTGCGTGGAACTTGTTGAGCATCTTTGAACTGTTGGTTTATACTTTGCATCGAATTTGGAAAATTTTCAGACAGTTCTTCCAGTATTTTTGTGCTCTCCTTTCTCCTCTTCCTGCTGTCCAGCTCCCTGTGCGTTCCTTAGCTTAGATTTTCTCACAGCTCACCGAGGCTCTGCTTACTTTCTGCAAGCTTTTTTCTTTCTGTACTTCAGTTTGATTTGTTTCTATTACTTTATTTATTTATGAGACAGGTTCAGGCTCTGTGGCCCAGGCTGGAGTGCGGTGGCGCAATCTCCGCTCACCGCAGCCTCTGCCTCCCGGGTTCAAGCCATTCTCCCGCCTCAGCCTTCCAAGTAGCTGGGATTACAGGTGAGCGTCACCACACCCGGCTAAGTTTTGTATTTTTAGTAGAGTCGGGGTTTCAGCCTGTTGGCCAGGCTGGTTTCAAACTCCTGGCCTCAAGTGATCCGCCCAGCTCAGCCTCTCACCTTCCCTTTCCTTCTTTCTTTCCTTCCTTCCTTTCTTCTTTCCTCCCTTCCTCCCTCCCTCCCTCACTTCCTTCCTCCTTCCCTCCCTCCCTCCCTTCCTCCCTCCCTCCCTTCCTTCCTTCCTTCCTTCTTTTCTCTTTCTGTCTTTTTTTTTTTTTTTTTGAGACGGTCTTGCTTGGTCACCCAGGCTGGAGTGCACTGGTACAATCTTGGCTCACTGCAAGCTCCGCCTCCCAAGTTCAAGCGATTCTCTGCCTCAGCCTCCCAAGTAGCTGGAATTACAGGCACGTGCCACCATGACTGGCTAATTTTGTATTTTTAGTATAGACAGGGTTTCACCGTGTTATGCAGGCTGGTCTCGAACTCCTGGCCTCAGGTGGATCTGCCTGTTTTTGGCCTCCCGATGTGCTGGGATTACAGGCGTGAGCTGCTGTGCCCGGCCCTAAGTTAGTTTTAATCTCCTTTAATACATTTTTCATTTAAGAGATTGTAGGGCTGGGTGCTTTGGCTCATGCCTGTAATCTCAGCACTTTGGAAGGCTGAGGTGGGAGGGTCACTTGAGTAGCCGGGATCACAGGCATGTGCCACCATTCCTTGGTAACCAGCTTTTAAAAAAACATAATCAGTCCTATTTCCCTGCTGAGGGTACATGTCTCATGATTTATTAGCTGTCTGACTTTAGATATAAAGGAAGCGTGGAGAGGGAAATTTCTGTTCTCCCCAGGAGGTGTTCGTTCTGTTTTAGTCCAGGCCAATAGGGCTGGGGGCCTGGGGCGGGGCAGGGTCTCAGCTTCAGCTCCACCGAGGCCCCTTGAGGACCTTGAGGTTTCCTCTCTCGCCTCCTGCCCCAGCGGCTTCCACAGTTGGTAGAAGTGCGGGGGAGGAGACCAGCGGTGCCCGAGCAGACCCCTTGCTCGAGAACTCCGAGGTTGCAGGGATTTTCCCTCTGCTTTTAGTTGCTCTGTGCAGCCTCTGGACTATAAATGTCGGTGGGGACGCGGCCGCCATGTGTGGCTGTGTGGGCTCAGCGTGGCCCAGTGGCCAGCCCAGCCCTCACTCAGTGCATGAGGCAGGCGGACGCCGCCCCCAACCCCCCAACACCCCCCACTCTGGCTGCAGGTCATCTAGCTCTTGTTGCTCCACAGCTCCCCGACATCTTTGAGAATGTGGTTTTTGTGACTTGCTGGGTTTTGTGTTTTCTAACTCAGTGGCAACAGCGTTCTGAGTCTTCCTGCTCCTTCCTGCTCGGAACCTGAAGGCCCTGTCCCGACCGTGCCTTTTCTGCGTGAAAGTGGGACTCCTCCTGGTCTCTTCCTCACCCAGTGCTGTTTCTCAAGGGTATGCTAGGCATAAGGAATGCAGGCACTGGGGGTCCTCGTGGGGGTGAAGGAGACTCCAGCTCCCTGTTGGGGTCGGGGCTTCCTCCCTGAGGGCTCTGCCCAGCTTCAGAGACCTCAGGAACAGCCAGCACCTCTGCAAACACAGGAAGATCCACTGTGGCCTCATGGCTTTTCCTGTCCTGACAGTGCGCTGACCAGCACTGTTTAGTAGCAATGCGGAGCCTGGGAGCTCAGCGCTGCCTGCCGTGCAGGTCCCAGTAGTGACAGATGAGAAGGGTGATCACCGATGGCGACAGTTGCGGGGCCCTGCGGCTCTGGATCTAGCTTGTGTGTGAATCTCTTTCTTCTCTGTGCCCCCAAGTGGCAGTGCTGCTCCTGTCCCATTGCAAGACGTCGAGACAGGCTGGTAAGGCCAGCTCTGAAGCTGGGCTCTGACGTCCAAGGCGCCAAGGAGGCCCCTTCCAGAGGGACAGGAGGATGGTGCAGGTGGGCAGACGGGTCATCCTGAGGACCAGTCGGTTGGACCCAAAGCCTGGCCTGCCGGGGCGGGAGTGTGCACTCGGGTGCCTCCAAGGGCATCATCCTGGGTGTGTGCAGGAGCCCGCCTGCCCCTGGGCTCTGGAGTTCTGTGGTGCGCGTCCCTGACCCATCAGCACAGTGGGTATTCACGCCCCTCGTGGTCACGCTGTGGTGCCAGGCCGCTCTGCCTCAAGGCAGGTCCTGTTCCCTGCTGGGGACCCAGGCGCACGCACCATCCTGTCCCTGTGGACTGCCCTCTTCAGGCCTGTTCCCCACGTGCCCGGGGCTCTTCCTGGAATGCAGTGTTCCTAGACTGCACAGATGCTCCGTGTCTCGTCTGAGATCCCGTGACCTGAGGCTGCCCCCTGCACTGTTGCTGCCCTGTGGCCTTGCTCTGGCGAGGCAGAACCTGTGTGTGTGGATGAAGGGCAGTGTCACCTGTAGCACCTGGAATCCCGGGGCTTGGACAGGCAGCCAGCCCCCTGCTAGGAGCCACGTGGAGTGCTGGGAAGCCATCGGGGCCGGGCGCGGAAGGGCTCGCTGGCACCGTCTGGCGAGGGGTGCCTGCCACACCCTGGGGAGTTAGCACAGAGGGTGCCTCTTGTGGCAGTGGTGCTGAAGGGAGTCAGCAGCCGCTGACAGTTGGGGTCACCCTGGCCTGTGCAAGGGACAGGGCTCCCCATGGCCTCCTGGTTGCCTCCCTCAGGGCTGATAGCAGCACTCCCTGGCCACACGCCATGGCGCTCCCTCAGGCGAGACTGAGAGGCCAGTGAGGCCTGCACGGTGGCCTCAGCTTCTGGGGTGCCCTTGCTGGGCGGTCCCCTCAGGCCCCCGGCCCTCTCCCACAGCCATCAAATCTGGCCAGCGCCCTCGAACCTGGTGATGCTGAGACACAGGTCAAGTGGCAGCTCAAGATGTCAGGTCGGGCTTTGTGGACAGAATTGGACTCGGCGCAGAAGAGGAGGGCGTCAGCGTTTCGGGGACGGTTGGCAGCAGAGGGTGCTGCCCTGCTCTCCGCGGGTGAGAGGTGACTCGAGGAGACCGCAGGAGCCCCTTGGAGGTGAAGCCACAGGTGGCATCCCGGAATCGGCAGGAGGCTGAGACGTAGACCCTTGCGTGCTGCTGTCAGAGGAGAGACCCGAAGACTACTTGAGACTGTTGCTTGAAAGCAGTGTCGGCAGCACCTGGACCTGGACTTGTGACGCTGATGGATTTCAGCTCTAAAGAGAAACCCCTGTCTATTCCCAGACAGAGAGAAAGAGCAGAAGAGCAGATTACCTGCAAAGGACAGACTTAGGTGGGCGCCCCTGTGCCAGAGGGCAGCGGGGAGGCCGGGTGCATGCTGAGCCCGAGTGTGTGTGTATGTGTACAGGCAATTGCAAAGGCGTAGAAAAGCTTTAGACAGGTATCCAAGGAAAAGCTGAGTGTTGATTCCCTCTGGGACCCAGACTTCTGCTCCTTGGCTTTCCCTGATCGTGACTGTTTTTCTCACGGCCACGTTCCTCCTGCTAACCTGCTGTGTTTACATACCAACTAGATATTCGTGGGTTGGAGGGTGGGATAGGGAAGATACTTTTTCTTTCTGTACTAATGGGAATACACTGTCTATAGTACCTGCAGCTTGTAAGTTTATTTGAAAAATACTGAAATATAAAAGCGTAAATTTCCCCCTAAGTGCATCCCTTTCAAACAGGAAAGTCTCCACCTGAGGTCTGTGGTCCTGGTGGGACGGCCATGGTGCTACAGGTGGCAGGCTTGGAGGGAGGCATAGACGGGGTGGAACACCTGCCAGGCTGCTGTGTAGAAACCCACGTGGGAGCTGATGGGGATGAAGGAGTGACAAGGATGGTGTGTGGTCGGAAGGGGCCCTGTGCCAGGTGGACAGCTGGGTGGGTGGTGGGCGGTCCAGGGAGTGTGTGGGGAGCTGCTGGTTGAGTCAGTATTGGGGCAGAGGTGCCTGAGTAGGTGCGTGGAGGGCCCGGGCGCAGGACGCATGGCTGTTCTCTTGGGAGGAGGTCACAGTTACGGGAGAGCTGTTGACTGTGCGGGCTGCTCTGACACCTGTCAGTCTGGAGTGGGAGGCTGGCAGGCTTCTCTCAGGTGTCAGCCGTCTGCTGGCAGAGGTGACGTGTGCTTGTTTCCAAAGGGGCCGGGGTCTTTGGAGGGATGGCCCAGAAGTGGGTTGAGTCCAGAGGTCCCCGGGGGAGTCCTGTCTGGGAGGAGGGACCGAGATGAGAGTGGACTCGTCCCCAGAGTGGGACCAGAACCCCGGTGCTGTGGGTGAGTGCTGCGCTTCACGGCCTCCTGGGGGCCCTCTGTGCCCCCATGCCCCTGCCTGGGCCCGAAGGTGGGCGCGAGGTCTCCACCCCTCTGCTGCCAGCTGCTGCTGTTCCTGGATTTTTGTGGGTAACTGTTCTTTCTAGCATCAGCTGACAATCTGTTCGTATACTTAATGATTTTCTTGCTGCGCCTTCTTAGAACATTGCGTGTTCAGAGGGGTTATTGAGGTTTTGAAAATGTGTGCTCCAGGAAGAAAACGTCCACAAGGTGTGTATTCAGTTAGTGCATGACTGCAGTGGCTGGCCCTGGAGTCGCATTCATTTCTAAAGGACAATGGGAAAAATGGAAGCAAGCTTATTCATTATGTGTCGCTCAGAGCACGGTACCAATTTCCCCCTTGGAATGATTGTCTTCACAGTTTTGGGGTGAGGGGGCCTTAAGTCAGAGACAGAAGGGCCCGTGGTGTCCGTGCCGCCTCACTTCCCACCATGGCCTTCAGTGGTGCCTGTGCCCTGTCCCCTGCAGGTCTGAGTTCACTGACACCATCCTGTCCGTGCACCCCTCTGATGTGCTGGACATGCCCGTGGACCCAAACGAACCCACGTACTGCCTGTGCCACCAGGTCTCCTATGGGGAGATGATTGGCTGTGACAATCCAGACGTGAGTGTCGCCTGCAGGATTCGCGCCATGGGGCGGGGTCTTGTGTGGGGCAGGGCTGGCGGATGTTGGCATTTCTTGTGTTTTGCATACAGAACATGAGGCGTGTTGACTGCGGTTTCTCCCTTTACTTTGCAGTGTCCAATTGAGTGGTTTCACTTTGCCTGCGTGGACCTTACCACGAAACCCAAAGGAAAATGGTGAGTGTGGGGACGCTCGCTCTGTTTTCTCCCAGTCTGCTGGGTGTTGCGCTGCTGGCCTCCCCAGGAGAAGGTGCTCCATGGCAGAATCTTGCCGGGCTTAGCGGGACACGGTAGCCACGTAGGCATGCCCCACTGTGGCCTCAAGGAGTGTGGCTGGCTGGTGGCTGCTCTGGGTGTGGCTTTATCCCCCCTTTGCTGCTGTGCCTGTCCGAGCTGGCAGAGGGATGCCGTCACCCAGGAATGGTGGTTACCAGGTTACGTGATATTCACGTTAATGGCCCCTCCTGAAGGACAACCTTCCGGACTCTGGGAGGTAGGGATCGTCTTAAATCAGAAATGAGAGGTTCTTGTCCCCTAGGGAAATTTGGGAAATATAGCATGAGATGTGAGCCCTGAAGCCGGGGCATGGATCTGGGGCTCTGCCCCTGGCTCTGTCTAGTGGAGAAGGGTGTGTTTTCTCTACCTGACCCTTGCATCCCCTTGGCAATGGCAACTTTCTGCATTGTTGTTCCTCAGATTTCATTTAAATAAAAACCTGTAGTCTGGGCAACATCGGGAGACCCCAACTCTACAAAAAATACAAAAATTAGCTGGGCGTGGTGGTGCGTGCCTGTGGTCCCAACTACCTGGGAGGCGGAGGCGGGAGGATGGCTTGAGCCTGGAAGTCCGAGGCTTCAGTGAGCTGAGATCGCGCCACTGCACTCCAGCCTGGGCGAGAGAGCAAGACCCTGTCTCAAATAAATAAATAAAAAGATAAAAACCTGGCTTTGTTTGCCTGTGCTGAAAATCTAAAAATGGATATCTATGTTCTGAAAATGAAATCGGAATGTGCTCTTCTGTGTGGCACTCAGAGGTCATCGTGGCAGCGTGTTTGAAACTCCGGCAGACTCGCCCGAGTTGGTAAGAGCCAGTTATCCTTGGTGTTCGGTGTGAGGACACAGGGAAAGGATGCCGTGTCTCGGAGGCTGGCCGAGCTCACGGTGTCATGTGGCGTCAACACAGGCTGTCCTGTCACAGGGACACATGGCACTGTGGTGCCCCACGCCGTGCGGCTGGGGGATGGTGCACCGAGGGTTTTGAGAAGGGGTACGGAGGCTGTTAGGGCGGAGGGCCCTGGGCAGGCTTGGGCCTGGGCCAGGCGGTGGTTGACGGTTGCCGTCATGCGAGTCGGCTGCCTCCTGCGTGGGGAACCTATGGAATGTCCTCTGTGGTCAGCAGCTGCCTCTGTTCAGGAGCCCCTTGTGCGTGCAGCTCCAGAACTTGCTCAGAGTCACCAGGGAGCACTTGTGAGACGGCAGCTTCCAGGGCCAGTGCAGGGTGCCTGGCTGGGTTTCCGTGGGCCTGAGGGGCTGCCATGCTCTCAACGCGTGCTTGGTACCTGCAGCCCCCACAGACTGCAGACAGAGGGCACCAGCGACCCTGCCATCGGCCGGGGAAGAAGGACCCACCTGTTAAGGAGGAACGCCTGGGTGTCAAATCGGTTTTGCTCATTGATGGTGTATCTGTCAGCTTCAGAACCGGCGTCCTGCATAGAGCCGCACGTGCATCGGCGCATTTTCCCTGCGGGAGGGCCGCGGCCCCACTGCGTGTGCCTCTCCTGGTGCCCTCCTGCCGGCGTCCAGCAGCCCTGGGAGACATGGGGAGGCGGGCCCTGGGCACCCTGCGCGCTGGCGGAAATGGCGCCCAGGGCCTCACTGCGCCTTTCTTGTCACAGGTTCTGTCCACGGTGTGTCCAGGAAAAGAGGAAGAAGAAGTAGGAGGAGCTGTGTGCCCGGATCCGAGGAGCAAGTTAATCTGTCCCTTCATTCGTGTCGCAATATTTCCCTTCCTTTTAAAACTACCTTGTTCGGTTGATACTTAGTAACTCCGTGGCCAGTTGAAGCGCTGGATGTTTCCTAGAACAAGAACCACCAAAGCCTGTTCGCACAGAAGGGCGACCTTGCAGGGACTCGCCGCCGCGACCTCAGTGTGGCTTTTACAGGACTCCCCCCGAGCATCAGCAGGGACCCCGGCGGACGTGGGCGGGCGCGCGTGAGCTCGGGCTGCCCGGCCGGGCGTGCGGGCGGGGACATGGTAACCTGGTCCACGGAGGGCGGCCGCCACCCTCGCGTAGCTTTCCTGTGGTTTTCCAGGACTGTCCGGTACAGCCCGGGCTCCGCGTGCCCCGCCCGCTGGAGCACCTGCCACCGAGGCGCGCGTGGGGCCACTGCCGTGGCGGCGGCTGCCCTCCTCACACTCGGCTCCGCGCCGCCTCCGGCCACCGTGCGCTCCCGCGTGGGGCGCCTCGGATGGGCCCGGGAGGGCTGGGGGCTCTTCCCTGGAGGAAGCGGCCTCCGCTTCGCTGGCGCCGCCTTTTTAGCTTGGACTTCAGTCCTCCCTCGGGGACTCACCTCCGGAGTAAACGGCTCTTCATTAGCTTGGAGTGGCCGCAGGTCCCGTGACCAGCACCCGCGAGACCCTGTGCGACAGCTGGGCTGATGCTCCGTTTCTCTGGGAATTGGTGATTTTTTACTGTGAAGATGAAATTACCCTAATAGCATGAAGATCGTGGGTCTGTGTGTCCGTGAAGTGAGTCCCGTCTGCCAGGAGCTGACGAACCACGAATGCTTCTGCCTGTGCTGTGCATTCCCAGGCCCGCAGCTCCCGGTCGAGGGGACTCCGATGTGAATTTGTTGTGAATTTGTTGTGCCACAATAGCAGTTCTGGAATGAAGCTAGGAAACTCGAGTGTGCTTTTTGTTTAATGAGCGTTCACCAAGCTGAGCCGGAGCCATCCTTTCGGTGGTAGTTGGGGAAGGCTATGCAGATTTGCTCTGTTGTGACGCGTTGGTGACGGTGCCCAGCCTGCGGTTCCCCACAGCATCGCAGGCGCTCGGAAATCCTCTCCCGTGCCTTTAGAGGAAGGAGAGGATTGCTGAGGAATGCAGGGACGCCTGTTTCTGTCCTCACACCACAGAAAGAAACCTGAGGGAAAACTGAGACGTGAGGTTCCTGATTTAAGAAGCCTGGGTTTCTTCATGGTGGGGGGCCATTTGGAATGACAGCCTCACTTCCTTCTGATGGCTACATCTGTATCTTTTCCTCCTGTGTTTAATGTTTCACTAGGGAGAGGAAATAAAGCAGAAGGAACGTGTGAAGCTCTGTGTCTCAGACGGGGCCCTCCCGTCGAGAAGCTGGTAGTCAGTGAGTGAGAACAAGAGAACAAGAACACCCTGAACAGTCCTGGTTGGGATGGTGTCCACATTCATGTTCTGCGGTTCTTGAACACACGGATGCCTCTGGGCCACCTGTCCTTTTCCGAGGGTGTGGGTGGGAGTGGATCCTCCGGGCGCAGGTGCCAGGCAGGTGCAGGCGGGCGGTCGGCCACTGCTGCTGCTCGTCCCTGCCAGTGTCTGGGCCTGAAGGGGCTCCCTCCAAGCGGTGCCTTCCTGCGGCTTAGAAGGGAAAGCGCCAGAGAGGGCAGGCTACAGTGCTTCACACCCTTCGCCACGGCTGTGAAACTGGAGATGGGTGGGTTTTGTATGTTAATTTTTTTTTTTGAGACGGAGTCTTGCTCTGTCACCCAGGCTGGAGAGCAGTGGCGTGATCTCGGCTCACTGCAAGCTCCGCCTCCCGGGTTCACGCCATTCTCCTGCCTCAGCCCCCCCGAGTAGCTGGGACTACAGGCGCCCGCCACCACGCCTGGCTAATTTTTTATATTTTTAGTAGAGACAGGGTTTCACCATGTTAACCAGGATGGTCTCGATCTCCTGACCTCACGATTTGCCCGCCTCGGCTTCCCAGAGTGCTGGGATTACAGGCGTGAGCCACCGCGCCTGGCCACCCAGCTAAGTTTGTATTTTTGTTGGAGACGGGGTTTCACCATATTGGCCAGACTGGTCTCAAACTCCTGGGGTCAAATGATCCGCCTGCGTCGGCTTCCCAGAGTGCTGGGATTACAGGTGTCAGCCACTGCGCTCAGCTGGGAGATGAATTTTCATTTAATGACTTAACTTTTTGTTAGCACAGGTTTTGTGTGTGTGTGTGTGTGTGTGTTTTGTTTTTTGTTTTGTGTTTTTGAAACGGAGTTTTGCTCTGTCACCCAGGCTGGAATGCAATGGCACCATCTTGGCTCACTGCAACCTCTGCTTCCTGGGTTCAAGTGATTCTCTTGCCTTAGCCTCCCGAGCAGCTGGGATTATAGGCGTCCACCACCACGCCCAGCTAATTTTTGTATTTTTAGTAGAAATGGGGTTTCACCATGTGTGGCCAGGCTGGTCTCGAACTCCTGACCTGAAGTGATCCACCCGCCTCGACCTCCCAAAGTGCTGGGATGACAGGCATGAGCCACCGCACCCGGCCAACACAGATGTTTATTGATCGTGGAGGATACATTGTGGAAAATGTTTTTCTCTCTTTTACCATTTTTGGGAAGAGGGATAGGTAAGTGCAGGGAGTTTGTGCTGAAACAGCGCCTGGCAATTTTTCAGAAATGAATTTGATATTGCGCTCCACCTTTGAGCTGTTCACACCTGTGGCTACCCCTGGAAAGCGCTGGGGTTGTTGATGCTTTTGGCTGCCCGGCTTCCTGAGGTCTCGCTGCTTTTTGGGGAAAGATGACTGGCTTCCCTGTGGGACGCTTTTGTCTGACACGTGATGATGTGGTCCTGCCTGCCACTGTGCACCATCCCAGGTATTGAATTTTGACCTTTTCTTTTCAAGTTTCTGTGCTTAGTGTTTTTAATGTTTACTTTTGCCACTTACAATAATATCACCAAAATAATATGCATAGAGTTTTGGAAGAAACATAGAAAACATGAGCAGAATGAGACAATTCCTTGGGCTGTAGTTTGGACCCAACTGAATCCTGAGTGCTCTGTGGCTGACGCTGTCTACCCGTGGGAGAGACACACTCAGGAGTGGCCGTTTGGCCAGAAAAGAAGGTCATGGCCCCTGGCCTGGCCCCCGCCCTGCAGGGACACAGAAGCCACACCATTTGCACCATCCACGCCTTGCTCCAGAAGGCCTGGCCGCCTTCTCCCTGGGGGTGATTCAAGGATTTGGTCTCGGACCAGACCCCCCTCCACAGCTGCCCGGCCCCAGACCCATCTCTTGGATTGAGGGTGTGTGGGCTGGAACCAGTGGGTCACTGTGGCAGCTTCATCTGAGCCGAAGGTGTGGGTCCTCTGTGGCTGTGCGATTGACCTCGATGGGAAGGAGCGTTCTACCCATTTTCCTTGTTTTCAGTGCTGCGGTATCAGTCAGTGATCTGAGGAAATCCTGTAGGGGAAGGCAGGCTGCAGTGAAAACAGGAGCTGGTGAAACCGAGCCCTCTGCATCTGCGAATGTGCCCTAGGTGCTGCTGCTGGGGACATGGATGCCAAGCGGAGGCCTGCGTGGCCTCCTGAGCAGCAGCTGACCGCCCGTCTCATGCTGGACGGGACCCCTGGGCGGGTGGACATGAGACCACTGTTGGCCAGGGACGCCGTGCGGAGGCCTACGTGGCTGCCTGAGCAGCAGCTGACCGCCCGTCTCACTGTTGGCCAGGGCTTTGTGGCGTGGGTGTTTTCCAGTCTGCCTGGAGCAGCGAGAAGCAGCTGTGCAGACTGGTGGCGGTGGGAGGGTTTGCTGGGACTGATGGGGACACCGGCCAGCTTGTCTGGTGTCCAGCAGCCCTGCCGGACTTGGCCTCCTGTCCTGTCGTTGGGAGCCCTGGCTGGGGCTGCTTTGAGCAATGACGCTGGCCCAGAGCAGCTTCCCACATGACCCCAGAGCCGAGGGTCTGCCCTGTCCTAGGTTAGGTCTTCATGGTTTAGAGTAAAACCGTGAGGGATGTTAATTATGGGCATTGAAGACTTAAGGTTTTCTTAAATTTTTAGTGAGCAGTGATTGGCCTTCAATACTTGTGCTGAGAGGAATTTTAAGCCAGGGGAAGTGTAAGAAAATGTTCCCATTCAGGAGAGATTGTGTTGGAGTTTCTTTCTTCCTCTGTATGTATTTTGTGGTGTCCACCTTTAACCACGTTTCATCCAAAACGATGATGCAGCTTTAACATGAATGTTACATTTTTATTTTCAAGGAATTATTATCTATGTTCCCTTTGTAAAGGAAAGATAATGTTGTAAATCTTTTTATTAGATAATGTAAAGATGTATATCAGTATTTTTGGATCATGTTATAGATTATGGATATATTGTTTAATAAATAAAGTATTTTTTGGAACAAACAATTGAAAGTGCATCTGTATTAGCCCGTTTTCACGCTGCTGATAAAGACATACCCGAGATTGGGTAATTTGTAAAGAAAAAGAGGTTTTTTTTAAAAAAAATTTTCTTTTCTCTTTTTTTGAGACGGAGTCTTGCTCTGTCACCCAGGCTGGAGTGCAATGGCACTGCATGATTTCGGCTCACTGTAACATCTGCCTCCCGGGTTCAGGTGATTCTCCTGCCTCAGCCTCCTGAGTAGCTGGGACTACAGGCACGTGCCACCACGCCCTGCTAATTTTTGTATTTTTAGTAGAGATGGGGTTTTGCCATGTTGGCCAAGCTGGTCTTGAACTCCTGACCTCAGGTGATCTGCCTGCCTCAGCCTCCCAAAGTGTTGGGATTACAGGCGTGAGCCACCGCACCTGACAGAAAAAGAGGTCTGGTGGACCCTCAGTTCCACATGGCTGGGGAGGCCTCACAATCATGGCGGGAGACGAAAGGCTTATCTTACATGGCAGCAGACAATAGAAAATGAGAGCCAAGTGAAAGGGGTTTCCCCTTAAAAAAACCATCAGATCTCGTGAGACTTATTCACTACCACGAGAAAAGTATGGGGGAACCACCCCCAAGACTCAGCATCATTTTGGGAAACAGGTGTAAAATGTCAGTGTTGTGCCCAGAGACAGGTGTGTGAAATTGAATTCTGAAGGGGTATGCAGTGATTGGAGAGTGGTTTGCGGAGCTTGCTGGCTGGGGGTCTGGGGAGGACCCTGTGCCTTACCTTGGGTGGTTGCTCAGGAAGCTCAGTGGCCAGTGCTGGGGCTCAAGTTGACTTCCAAGGAAGACGTGTGAGAATGCTGCAGTTGCTTTCTTTTTTTTTTGTTTGAGACGGAGTCTCACTCTGTTGCCCAGGCTGGAGTGCAGTGGTGCAATCTCTGCTCACTGCAAGCTCCGCCTCCCAGGTTCACGCCATTCTCCTGCCTGTGTCCCGAGTAGCTGGGACTACAGGCGCCCACCACCATGCCCGGCTAATTGTTTGTATTTTTAGTAGTGACAGGGTTTCACCGTGTTAGCCAGGATGGTCTCGATCTCCTGACCTCGTGATCCGCCTGCCTCGGCCTCCCAAAGTGCTGGGATTACAGGCGTGAGCCACCACGCCCGGCCGCTGCAGTTGCTTTCTAAAGGAGTACTGTGCTTGCTCTGGAAGGGCAAGACTTACCGTGTTGCACTTGCCTTTTGGAAGCTGCTGGAGTCAGCTTAGGCTCTGTATTAGTCCATTCTTGTATTGCTATAAAGAACGACCTGAGACTGTGTAATTTATAAAGAAATGAGGTTTAATTGACTCACAGTTCTGCAGGCTGTACAGGAAGCGTGGTGCGGAGGCCTCAGGAAACTTACATCATGGCAGAAGGCGGAGGGGAAGCAAGCACGTTTTACCACGGCAGACCAGGAGAGAAAGGGAGCAAAGGGGAAAGGTGCCACACTTTTAAACAAGCAGGTCTCCTGAGAGTTCACTTACCTCCACAAGAACAGCAAGGGGAAATCTGCGCCCATGAGCCAGTCACCTCCTACCAGGCCCCTCCCCCAACATTGGGGATTATGGGCGGGGACACAAATCCAAACCATATCAGGCTGTTATCACAATACCACAGACTGGGAGGCTTAAGAAAAATGTCTTATATTTCTGGAGATTGGAAGTCCAAGATTAAGGCGCTGGGGTTGTCTGGTGCCTGTCCAGGGCTCTTCCCTTGGGTTGTGAACACTGCCTTCTCATGTGTGCCTACGAAACTGACTGGGAGAGGGAGCTCTCTGGTGTCTCTTATTTTACGGATGCCTGTCCTGTCGGATCAGGACCCCACCCTTGTGACTGACTTTAACCTTAATTACTTCTTCAGAAGTTCCATCTCCAAATACGGCCATATTGGGGGTTACAGCTTCTGCATACGAATTCTGGGGGACACAAACATAACAGGAGCTGATGGGTCTCAAGATGTTGCCTTGAGGAGTGCATTAACAGAACCCGGGAAGAGCTTGGTCATCACGAGGTACAGTCGGCCTCTCACCCACCGTCCAGGTGAAAACCAATCCGTAGACTGGAGTCCTCGCTGGAAGAGGAGGCTGAGATGCTGGGGGAAGGCCCCACAACGCCGAAACCAGCACCTGCCATCTCGCTGGAAGAGGAGGCTGAGATGCTGGGGGAAGGCCTCACAATGCGGAAACCAGCACCTGCCATCTCGCTGGAAGAGGAGGCTGAGATGCTGGGTGAGGGCCCCACAACGCTGAAACCAGCACATGCCGTATTTTCCTCCAAGCATTCTCTGAGGGTACATGTGGGCTTTGCTAGGGTGACTATGCCCTGGGAAAAAGAAAAATCAGTTGTTATTATTTTCTGAGACAGTTTTTTTTTTTTTTTTTTGAGACAGAATCTCACTCTGTCGCCAGGCTGGAGTGCAGTGGCGTGATCTCAGCTTACTGCAACCTCTGCCTCCCAGGTTCAAGCCATTCTCTTGCCTCAGTCTCCCAAGTAGCTGGGATTATAGGCACCGACCACCATGCCCAGCTAATTTTTGTATTGTTGGTAGAGACAGGGTTTCACCATGTTGGCCAGGTTGGTGTAGGGACCAGCCCCACAGGGTCGGTGGGTCTCTCCCCATGTGCGGAGACGAGAGAGTACAGAAATAAAGACACAAGACAGAGATAAAAGAAAAGGCAGCTGGGCCTGGGGGACCACTACCATTAAGTTGCGGAGACCGGTAGTGGCCCCGAATGCCAGGCTGCACTGATATTTATTGGATACAAGACAAAGGGTCAGGATAAGGAGAGTGAGCCATCTCCAATGATAGGTAAGGTCATGTGGGTCACGTGTCCACTGGACAGGGGCCCTTCCCTGCCTGGCAGCCGAGGCAGAGAGAGAGAGGAGACAGAGAGACAGCTTACGCCATTATTTCTGCTTATTAGAGACTTTTAGTACTTTCACTAATTTTGCTACTGCTATCTAGAAGGCAGAGCCAGGTGTACAGGATGGAACATGAAGGCGGACTAGGAGCGTGACCACTGAAGCACAGCATCACGGGGAGACGGTTAGGCCTCCGGATAACTGCGGGCGAGCCTGACTGATGTCAGGTCCTCCACAAGAGGTGGAGGAGTACAGTCGTCTCTAAACTCCCCCGGGGAAAGGGAGACTCCCTTTTCCGGTCTGCTAAGTAGCGGGTGGTGTTTCTTGACACTTTTCGCTACCGCTAGACCACGGTCCGCTAGGTAACGGGTGTCTTCCCAGACGCTGGCGTCACCGCTAGACCAAGGAGCCCTCTGGTGGCCCTGTCTGGGCATAACAGAAGGCTCGCACTCTTCTGGTCACTCCTCACTATGTCCCCTCAGCTCCTATCTCTGTATGGCCTGGTTTTTCCTAGGTTATGATTGTAGAGCGAGGATTATTATAATATTGGAATAAAGAGTAATTGCTACCAACTAATGATTAATGATATTCATATATAATCATATCTAAGATCTATATCTGGTATAACTATTCTTATTTTATTATACTGGAACAGCTCGTGTCTTCGGTCTCTTGCCTCGGCACCTGGGTGGCTTGCCGCCCACAGTTGGTATCGAACTCCTGACCTCAGGTGATCCACCTGCCTCAGCCTCCCAAAGTGCTGGTATTATGGGCGTGAGCCACCGTGCCTGGTCAGAAAAATCAGTTATTTTAGGGGATGGTATGGGTGGTAATCTTTATGGGTTTTGAATCATTCCTAATCCCAGGGGTCCAAGATGCCACTGGCCTGCTAGTCAAAGGGAGGGCGTGTGGAGGTCAGGTGGTAAGGGGGTCCACAGACCTCATCTGTGGTCGTCTTTCCAGTTCCTGAATGTGTAATTGCAACAGTTACCCTTGACAATGGGCAAACTCCCACACTCATCTGCAGAGCAAGGGCCAGCCAGGTAGGAAGGGCCAGGTGGATGTCTCCTTTCCAGGGTTGTATGAATGATTCACCTGGGAAGAAGGTGAGTGGCCTCTGGGGATGTGGTTAAGGAGGACAGGAATGACTCCTTGCAACTGCTGCTCCAGAGCCTCATCACCAGGACAAATCCAGCTCGCCGGTTTTCTGTGTGACTACCAGGACCCATCTGCTGTCACGGGCGTAGCCTCCACCTCTTGCACAGCTCCGCAGTCCTGCCTCGGGCCAAGTGTGGTCTCCTGCTCTCTGCCCTCATCTGCTCAGAGATTGGCATCCTCTGCACCCGCTAGGGTTCTATGGAATTGGGTGAGCTGAAGTAACAAGTGCTTTGGGAGGCCGACGCGGGCGGATCGCTTGAGTCCAGGAGTTCGAGACCAGCCTGGGCAGCACATGAGACCTCATCTCTACAAAAATACAACAACAACAAAAAATTAGCCGGGTGTGGTGGTGCACGCCCGTAGTCCCAGCTACTTGGGTGGCCGAGGTGGGAGGATGGTTTGAGCTCGGGAGGCAGAGGTTGCAGTGAGCTGAGATCAACCCCAGAACTCCAGCCTGGGCAACAGAGCTAGACCCTGTCTCAAAAAAACACAAAACAAGTGCTGGCGATGCCTCAGGCAGGGGATCCCAGGCCGGGAGGCTCCTCGGGACAGCAGTTACTGCGTCAGGAGGGCAGGAGCTCCCCAGGTGTGCAAAGGGTTTGAGGGCACGGAGGGCTGAACAGGCAGAAGGGACAGGGAGGCAAGAAAACACCTGCAGGAGGCAGCTGCCCCCTAAGCTAAGGCTGGGGACCCAGGAGGGGTGGTCCGTGCAGGAGCTGGGGAGGCCGCTGGGGAAAGGGGCGCCCCCTGGGCTCGGCCTCGGAGGAGCGGGCCGGCCCCCAGGTCCCTCGGCCGAGCCCACGTCCCGGGCCTCGTTCTGGAGAACCCTCCAGCTGCTGCTTGGGCGTCTTGGGCTGCGCTCAGCCTAGTCCCTTCTCTACCTGGAGGGATGCGCCCGACAGCCGGCGCGCCGGAGGCCCTCAGGAAACGCAGGACGAGGCGGTGGCCGTCGAGCCTCCGGTGCCAGTCGGGGCGGGGCTTGGACGGCGGGGCGGGGACTGTAGGCGCGCAGGGCTGGGCCTGGAGGGCAGGCGGGGCGGGGCCCGTTAGGCGCGCGGGGCGGGGCTTCGGCCGCTGGGCGGAGCCGTCAATGCGCAGGCGCGGCGTCGCCCCGCCCACTCCGGCTCGGCGGCTCTGGGCCTGCGGCGGGCGCTGCGGGTTGGAGCTCGGGACGTGATCGTGGGTGCGTGCGCGCGGCCGCGCGGAGCGCTGGGCTGAGGGTCCCGGTCTGCGGTTCAGCCGCGGGTCGGGGTGGCGGGGCGCGATCTCGGGCGCCGTCAGCCAGTCGGTGCCTGTGGGGGGAGGGGGACGGCGCTGCAGCTCGTCACGTGACCGCGTGGAACACGCGCGCGCGTCCGCGGGATCCCCTCGGGGGGCGAGCTCGGAGGAACGGGGTCCTGGGCAAGGTCCCGGCGAGGCCGCCCCGAGCCTGCGCGTCGCTAAGTCCAGGCCTGCTGCGTGGGGCTTCGCGCGCTCGCGGGGTTGCGGCCCGGGCAGGGGGAGGGCCCGGGTGCTCGGAGCCTTCCCTTCGCTGCCCTCCTGCCCCCTCCCTGCTTCTGCAAGCGTGTTTCAATTTGTACAACGTGCATAAAACATGAAATTACCCTTGGCCACTTCCAGGCGCGCAGCCAGCGGCTCCCTGCCCTTCCCCTCCGGGCCCTGAGTACCGGCCCCCCACCAAGGAGGAGCCCGAGGTCTCCGTCCCGGCGGCGATGCTGCCCCGTCGGCCTCTGGCGTGGCCCGCGTGGCTGTTGCGGGGTGCTCCGGGAGCCGCGGGTTCTTGGGGTCGGCCGGTTGGCCCCCTGGCCCGCAGAGGCTGCTGCTCCGCCCCGGGGACCCCCGAGGTGCCGCTGACCCGGGAGCGCTACCCCGTGCGGCGCTTGCCGTTCTCCACGGTGTCTAAGCAGGACCTGGCCGCCTTTGAGCGCATCGTGCCCGGCGGGGTCGTCACGGACCCGGAAGCGCTGCAGGCTCCCAACGTGGACTGGTTGCGGACGCTGCGAGGTGGGTGAGGCTTGGGAAGCTGCGGCGTTTCCGCGTCCCTGCTCCGCTGCGCCTTCCCGTGGAGGCTTCAAAGCGGGCTGAGAACAACCTGGATGGGGGTGCCAGCCCCTGGCTGCGCTGAGAGGGGCGTGTGCACCGCCACAGGCTGCTGGAATGAATGACCACGAACGAGTCGCTTAGAACAACCCAAGTTTTGTTGTTGTTGTTGTTTTGTTTTTTCTTTTTTTTAAGACGGAGTCTCACTCTGTCGCCAGGCTGGAGTGCAGTCACGGAGTTTCACTCTGTCGCCAGGCCGGAGTGCAGTGGCGCGACGTCGGCTCACTGCCACCTCTGCCTCCCGGGTTCAAGCGATTTGCCTGCCTCAGCCTCCCTAGTAGCTGCGACTACAGGCGCCCGCCACCACGTTCCGCTAATTTTTGTATTTTTAGTAGAGACAGGGTTTCACCATGTTGGCCAGGATGGTCTCGATCTCTTGACCTCGTGATCCGTCCGCCTCGGCTTCCCAAATTGCTGGGATTACAGGCGTGAGCCACCCCGCCCTGCCAACAACCCAAGTTTGCCTGGCGCAGTGGCTCTGCCTGTAATCTCAGCTGCCCTGGAGGCTGAAGCCAGGAGTTCAAGACCAGCCTGGGCAACATAGCCAGAACCCCCGCCCCACTCACCTCTAAAAATAAAAATAAATAAATAAAAGTAGCCGGCCCAGGATTGAAAAAACAAAAAGTAAAAAAGTTACTCCAGCCCAGGAGTTCCAGTTTTAGTGGACTATGATCTCACCACTGCATTCCAGCCTGGGCAACAGAGCAAGACTACATCTCTAAAACAAAACAGAATTCCCCTCCCCACCAAACCCCACAAGTTTGTTCTCTAAGCTCTGGAGGCCAAAAGTGTGAAATCAGGGTATCACAGGGCTGCGCTCCCTCCAAAGCCTCCAGAGGAGGCTCCTTCCTGCCTCTTGTAGCTCTAGCTCCTGGTGGCCCCAGGTACCAAATTACTCCAGTCTCTGCCTCTGTTTTTCATACAGGTTTTTCTTCTCTGTGACTCTTCTCCAGTTGTCTTATAAAGACACTTCTCATTGGATTGAGGGCCCACCCTAATCCAGGATGATCGTATCTCAGTACTGTCAACTTAATTACATCTGCAAAGACCGTTTATCCGTTTTTTTTTTTTTTGGAGATGAAGTCTCACTCTTTTTGCCCAGGCTGGAGTGCAATGGTGCAATCTTGGCTCACTGCGACCTTCCCCTCCTGGGTGTAAGCAATTCAGCCTCCCAAGTAACTGGGATTACAGGTGCCCGCCACCATGCCCGGCTAATTTTTGTATTTTTAGTAGAGACGGGGTTTCACCATGTTGACCACGCTGGTCTCGAACTCCTGACTTCGGGTGATCCACTCACATTGGCCTCCCAAAGTGCTGAGATGACAGGCATGAGCCACTGCACTTAGCTGGACCGTTTTTTCTTTTTGTTTTTTTGAGACGGAGTCTCGCTCTGTTGCCCAGGCTGGAGTGCAGTGGCGTGATCTCGGCTTACTGCAAGCTCCGCCTCCTGGCTTCACGCCATTCTCCTGCCTCCGCCTCCCGAGTAGCTGGGACTACAGGCGCCCGCCACCACGCCCGGCTCATTCTTTTTGTATTTTTAGTAGAGACAGGGTTTTATCGTGTTAGCCAGGATGGTCTCAATCTCCTGACATCGTGATCCGCCTGCCTCGGCCTCCCAAAGTGCTGGGATTACAGGCATGAGCCACCATGCCCAGCCCCATTTTTTCAAATAAGGTCCCATTCACAGGTCTTGGGGCATTGGGAAGCAGACGTATCTTTTTGGAGCCCATTAGGTAAGATGCAGGGCTCCTGGCCAACAATGCCTGCTCCTCTCCTCCCACTGCACTTCTGCCCAGTGGCATACAAGTCTGTGCACGAATGAGGGACTTCTCAGCCTCTGGGGCTGGCACTTCCTTTTGGTAACAGTGCCCAGTTTTCTCTTTTTTTATTTTTTTGAGATGGAGTCTTGCCCTGTCACTCAGGGTGGAGTGCAGTGGCACGATCTCCCCTTACTGCAACCTCCACTTCCTGGGGTCAAGCGATTTTCCTGTCTCAGCCTCCTGAGTAGCTGGGACTACAGCTGGGTTACACGCCTGTAACCCAGTTCTGTGGGAGATCGCTTGAGCCCAGGAGTTCAAGACCAGCCTGAGCAACATGGTGAAACTCTATCTCTACAGAAAATTAAAAATTAGCCGGGTATGGTGGCATGTGTCTGTGTGCTAAAATAGTAAAGCGAGGTAGAAGAGAATTGGTTGACTCTTAATTTACAACAAAATGATATATTTAAACCTGTGGAACTGGCACCAGGTCCTGGGGCTGAACATAGGGTGTGCTGTCATTGGGAAGATCTGGAATTGTTTTTATCTTTTTTTTGTTGGCCCTTGTAGAAGATTGAAATTATTAAGAACACTCAGAAAGTTTCCAGACCGTGTAATCTGGGAGTGCAGCGTATGTTAAAACAGTTCAGAAAGTTAGCAAGTTGAACTGGGGTCTAGGCTCAGATAATGGAAGCAGCTCTTTCCCTGCAGAAAGGCTGGGAGTCACTGGAAATCGCTGGACCAATGGTCACTGTGTAGGAGCTCTCTTGAGTGGAAGGGCCCCCACCCTCACCCTGCTCCCGAAGTAAGGACCCCTCTGGGGCGATCTCAAGCTGCTGCCCTGAGTGCACACCATGGCCCAGGGCCTGTGGGCTCACGAATGTTGTCCCCGGAGGCAGGTGAGGATGGACGCCCACCCTGGGCTTGGCTAAGTCGGGCCCCAGTCCTGGCTCAGCACTGCTGTCTGGGTGGCCCTAGGCAGATGACCCTCAGTGCCTGCCCTACAAAATGGGACTTGGAGCCACTGCCTCAGGAACACCGTGCGGGTAAGTGGGGCAGGAACCTAGCGTGAGCCTTGAGCACAATGCTTGGGTTCCCGTGCTCCCAGCCTGCTCGGAGGCCAGCACCCTGGGCTATGCCGCTGCTGCCCTCATGGGCAAGGGACCTCCCCGGGGCATGCAGGAGCGGGGAGGAAGCTGTAACTGAGATTGAGGGGTGACCACGCTCTTCCTCTCCTCTGCCTTGCCTGAGCCTGACTGGGCAAGAACTGGCTGTCCCCCTGGGTCCCCGCTCTCTGGTCAGCACCTTTTTGGGAATCCGTGGCCATGGACACCCTGTCCTGCTGCAGGGCCGCCCCTCGGTGTCTGTGTGTGCCTGTGGGAGGGCGCCTTCCTCTGCGTCCTGCTGCCCCGAGTTTGGTGAGGGCGAGGCTGAATTTCACTCATGTTTGAGTCCACAGGTTTGGTCCTGAATGTCTGCTCAGTAGGTGTTTGCTGATGTGAGGCTTAGTTGTTGAATTTTAGGTGAATTATCCCTTCATGTGGCTTGCTTTTGGAGAGAGAGCTTGTCTAGACTTCTGAAAACTCATTAAGCATCATATTCAAAAATCTAGACCATTTGCTCAGGATGGATGCTGCAGACGTTTAGTGAGCACGCCTGCACTGGCAGGAAGGTGGGAGCTTCGCGGTGTGAAAACAGGCTGGGCCCCTGTGTCACCTCTGGCGGCCTTGCCCCCATGGCCCCCTCCGTCTTTGTGGGGCTCCCATCGTTAACACTGGACCACCGGGAGGGAGCCCTCCTTTTCATCTTTCCCGTTAGAAGGTAAACATCACAGGAGTGGGAAATTCTGTGCTCATTCTGTGTCTGGAACGCGGCCTGGCCTGCATTCTTGGGGGGTACTCATGTTTGTGTTGAGAACCCTGCCACAGGCGCGTCACAAGTGTGTCCGAGTCGAAAGCTTTGCCATGAGTCCTGGGGCTCCTGAGCCCACTCGGGACAGGGACGCAGTGAGCGCAGGTGCCAGGGTTCCCTCAGGTGCCGCACTGAAGTGTCGGGCCGAGGCCCAGGTGCCCAGCAGGCCCCTCTGCAAAAATTGCTCATTTGATGAAAGAGACATAAGTGGCTTTCTGATCAGAAAAGCAAGGTGGACACCACAGCCTGGTTCTCAGAGCTCCACGAAGAGGTGACAGGCTCCCGTGACTGCACCTGCTGCCTCTCTGCAGCCCCCATCACCTGGGAAAGTCGTCTCAAGGAAACCCAAAGGCAGAAAGACGCCTGCTCACTTGGGGCAGCAGTGGTTAGCAACACCGGCGAACTAGCTCAGAGGGCTCCCACTGGTCACATCCAGGCATTCAGCAAATAAGGCGGCCAAGACTTATAGCCCAGTGAATAAAGTGAGAAGCCGAGAGCCCACATCACTGTGAATAAGCAGCTACATAAACACGTCAGTGAGAGCGAAGGGAAAGCCCTCCCTCGTGGCAGAGTCAGCTAAGAGGCCGGGCGCGGCGACTCATGCCTGTAACCACAGCCCTTAGGGAGGCTGAGGTGGGTGGATTGCTTGAGGCCATGAGTTCAAGATCAGACTGGGGAACATGGTGAAACCCTGTTTCTACTAAAAATATCAAAATTAGCCGGGCATGGTGGCAGGCACCTGTAGTCCCAGCTGCTTGGGAGGCTGAAGCAGGAGGATCGCTTGAGCTCAGGAGGTTGAGGCTGCAGTGAGCTGTGATTGTGTCACTGTACTCCAGACTGGGTGACGGAGTGAGACCCTGTTTCAAAAGAAATAAAAGGAAGTGTAGGTGGACAGATGGATTTAGGAAAATCACCAGTTGGCAACCATCCTAGTAACTGATTTGGTCTAGGATAATCAAAGATGTTAATGGGTGAAGCTTGAGGAGCAACAGGATGTCCACATAGTCTCAAGCGTCTGCTTGTGAGGTGCACACACATCACGAAAGGAAGTGTGGTGGCGTGGCAGGAGGGAAGCCTGCAGACATCCCGTTACCGTGGGACCGAGCCGACCTCACCACAAGTGGGTGGGCAACCTTGGAGCTGCCAATGCCTGGCCTGTGGGACTCTCATCCATGGGCCCAGCCTTACCCACTTCTGCACACTGTGCCCAGTGCCCGGCCCACCACCTCCCATGTGGGACCTAGTTTTGGTTTTTTTGAGATGGCTTCTTGCTCTGTCACCCAGGCTGGAGTGCAGTGTTGCGATCATAGCTCACTGCAGCCTTGACCTCCTGGACTCAGATGATTCTCCCTCCTCAGCTTCCCAAATAAGATCACTCTCTGGGGGCTGGGCATGGTGGCTCATGCCTGTAATCCCAGCACTTTGGGAGGCCGCAGTGGGCGGATCACGAGGTCAGGAGTTCGAGACCAGCCTGGCCAATGTGGTGAAACCCTGTCTCTACTAAAAATACAAAAATTAGCCAGGTGTGGTGGCGGGTGCCTATAATCCCAGCTACTTGGGAGGCTGAGGCAGGAGAATCGCTTGAACCTGGGAGGGAGAGGTTGCAGTGAGCCAGGATCGTGGCACTTCAGCCTGGGCAACAGAGTGAGAGTCCGTCTCCAAAAAAAAAAACTCGCTCTCTGGGGCGAGTGACCACTTGCCTCATCTGCAGCTCCCCCCACGCTGTCTCATAGGATCTTCTTCCTGTCACAGGCTGTAGCAAGGTGCTGCTGAGGCCACGGACGTCGGAGGAGGTGTCCCACATCCTCAGGTGAGGTGGTGGCTCCCGGCTCCCCCAGCCTTCCCTGTTGCCTGTGGGTCATTTCCTCATGGAGCCTGTGGGCAGCTGGGGTGACGCGGTGCGAAGCCAGCCGATGACATCTTGGTTTGTGTGTCTCAGTGTTTGTTCTGTGGTTTTTCGGTGCTATCTCAATGCATCTGTGGTGTGTAATCATTTCCCCCCATTTGGCAATGCCCATGCCCATTTCTTGGCACTGTCTGTAACAGCAAAGCTCCTCCCCCATGAACACACTACAGGGTGGCACTGGTCTCCGGGTGTCCATGACTGTGGACAGTGCTTTAGATCATCCTCAGCAGGTGCTTTGGGGCAACGTGCACTTACTCTGTTAAACTCCATCCCTGGGACTTGCTGTCTCCAGGGTTTATTTCATGTGTGGGGCTTGCTGTCTCCAGGGTTTATTTCATGTGTGGGGCTTGCTGCCTCCAGGGTTTATTTCATGTGTGGGGCTTGCTGTCTCCAGGGTTTATTTCATGTGTGGGACTTGCTGTCTCCAGGGTTTATTTCATGTATGGGGCTTGCTGTCTCCAGGGTTTATTTCATGTGTGGGGCTTGCTGTCTCCAGGGTTTATTTCATGTATGGGGCTTGCTGTCTCCAGGGTTTATTTCATGTATGGGGCTTGCTGTCTCCAGGGTTTATTTCATGTGTGGGACTTGCTGTCTCCAGGGTTTATTTCATGTGTGGGGCTTGCTGCCTCCAGGGTTTATTTCATGTGTGGGGCTTGCTGTCTCCAGGGTTTATTTCATGTGTGGGGCTTGCTGTCTCCAGGGTTTATTTCATGTACATGGGCAGATTCCTTTTCCCAGAGCACGGAACTTTGGTTTCTCCAAACCCCTAGCCACTGGGTGTGCTCTAGGCTTTGGGGCTTTGCAAAGGTGCAGGCTGGTTGGGAGGGAGGTATCCTTGGGCACACGTCTGGGGGATAATGGGCCGAGGGTGGGGAGATGCAGGCAGAGGGTGGAAGGCAGTGGGGGCAGTGCGGTCGAGGAACCCTGAGCTGGACCCTCTGTGAGCATGGTGTGAACGGGAAGGATGGGAGCCGGGCGTGTAGGACGTTCTGTCCTTTGAGGGAAGCCTTGTAGGACGTCAGAATCGGGGCCTCCACTTCCGTCTCCCTGTGCACAGCTTTCGGATTGGCCTCTGTCCTTCCTCAGAATCCCTCACATGCGTGGGCTGGGGAGGAGCCCCCGCTGAGGCTGCAGGCAGGGCAGGGTAATCAGGATTTGGAGTCAGGCACTGGTCCTGCGGCGTGTCCTTGGGGATGGTGGCGTAGGGGTGGGGACAGAGCCCCAACGTCCCTCCTGTCCTCATCCCAGGCACTGCCACGAGAGGAACCTGGCCGTGAACCCACAGGGGGGCAACACAGGCATGGTGGGTGGCAGCGTCCCCGTCTTTGACGAGATCATCCTCTCCACTGCCCGCATGAACCGGGTCCTCAGCTTCCACAGCGTGTCTGGTAAGCCTGTGCCACCCGTCGGGGCCCAGGAGTCCCTCCTGGTGCTGGTGGAGTTCTTCCTTGCCAGCGTCTGCAACTGTGGGGTGCTTGGGTGGGTGAATGAGTTAGGGCCGGCGCTGGGGAAAGAACCAGCGTCTGTAGCCTGGCCGCCTAGCCCCACCTCGCCCGGCCCCTCCAGACATGCGTGCTGGTGAGGGCTTGTCATTCTGGTCCCTTCCGACTCCATCCCGCTCTAGAGGTGTGTGAGGTGCAGAGTGGCATGTGTGAGGGGATCCTGACCCAGGGTGCCAGGGCGTGGCAGGCATGAGGGGATCCTGACCCAGGGCGCCAGGGCGTGGCAGGCGTGAGGGGATCCTGACCCAGGGCGCCAGGGCGTGGCAGGCGTGAGGGGATCCTGACCCAGGGCGCCAGAGCGTGGCAGGCATGAGGGGATCCTGACCCAGGGCGCCAGGGCGTGGCAGGCGTGAGGGGATCCTGACCCAGGGCGCCAGGGCGTGGCAGGCGTGAGGGGATCCTGACCCAGGGTGCCAGGGCGTGGCAGGCATGAGGGGATCCTGACCCAGGGCGCCAGGGTCCTGCTCTGGAGCTGGGCCTCTCCCCGCAAGGCCGGGCTCCAGGCCCCGGTCACTCTGTGGTCGGGCGCCTGCACTGTTGGGTGTTGAGCAGCATCCTTGGCCTCCGCCTACAAGGTGCCCATGGCACCCCCAACCCAGGCATTGTCCCACATGCCCAGGGCAGGATCAGCCCCAGCTGAGAATCTTCCCTCTTCTACTCCTTTCCACGAGTGTGTGTGGGGGTGGGAAGTTTTTTCCTCTCTTTTCATGTTACTCATTTTTTTTTTGTGTCACCATAATTATAAAGGTCCTGTGAGGCCCAGATGTTTTCGTCCTTGGGCCAGCGATGTGGGGGTGCCTCTTCTCCTCAGCCCTGGCGCTGAGGCTGATGTTCCTTCTGGGTGGCTTGCCTGTGCAAGATGGGGGTTGGGACTCACCAGCCCGGGGGCCCACTGGAAGCCAAGTGCTGCGGCAGCCTGGTCACTCTCTGCAGGAATTCTGGTTTGCCAGGCGGGCTGCGTCCTGGAGGAGCTGAGCCGGTATGTGGAGGAACGGGACTTCATCATGCCGCTGGACTTAGGAGCCAAGGGCAGCTGCCACATCGGGGGAAACGTGGCAACCAACGCTGGAGGCCTGCGGTTTCTTCGATATGGCTCACTGCATGGGACTGTCCTGGGCCTGGAAGTGGTGAGCTGGGGCAGCTGCTTGGTGCAGAGGTCGCCACGGGGTGTCCTCTCACGGCTCTCATGGGCCCACGTGGTGGCACAGGTGCATGGGGCCCCTCGGGGTGGGAGGTCTTGGTTCCTGGCCCTGGGCCCCTCAAGGATGTGTGGGCTACATACACCCCCATCCTGAGGGAGGCCTGGCCCTGCCCTGTCCTCCCACGAGAGGGTGATTTTGTGTCCACTGCCTCGGGGCCACACAGAGAGGATGCAGTTACAGGGGACACCGCCCCGGCAGTGGTGGGCTTCTGGGAGCCGGGTGTGAAGGAAGGCTCATCCAGGGTCAGCTTCGTGACCTTCTGCTGCCCACTGTTCCTCCAGGGCCCCTCTGTTTACCCGCACCCTCACCAGCCGAGTGTCACAGGCAGAGCTCTCTGTCCTGTTTACCCAAGTGGACGAAGCAAACACAAAACCATGCTTTGGTGCCATCCAGTAAATTATGACGCTTCAGTAGCTTTTTTTTCTGGCCAGCCACTGATTATCTTTATTGTAAATTACTTTTTTGCACTCATGAGCTGTGTAGGCCTCCGACTCACAGTACCAGCACACAGGACTCGGAGAGGCCCACAGCTCGGGAGCTTTGATGCCTTATGGCTGGTGGGTCCAGAGGTGGCTGGGTCCTGGGCTGGGCTCACGCCCTACTCCCAGGGAGCCTCCCCACTGCCCCCGACCCCGGGCGTGCCCCCTGGGCAGTGAGCTGCTGTGTGTGGAGGGTGTCACTCGTACAGGAGGAAAGTCCATCCTTCAGCCTCTTGGCATGACCTCAGGCTGCTGCAGAAGTGACACCTGGCCCCGGAGGCGACCGACGTCTTGTCAGGAGGCTGGCAGGTGGGTGAACGTGCTTCTCTTTGCCCCAAGGTGCTGGCCGACGGCACTGTCCTGGACTGCCTGACCTCCCTGAGGAAGGACAACACGGGCTATGACCTGAAGCAGCTGTTCATCGGGTCGGAGGGCACTTTGGGGATCATCACCACGGTGTCCATCTTGTGTCCACCCAAGCCCAGGGCTGTGAACGTGGCTTTCCTCGGTGGGCTTCCTCGATGTGTGCCTTGAGATGGGTGGTTGGGCTCGAGCGTCTGCTCTGATGGTGCCACTGTTGGTGTGAGGAAGGGGATGGAGGGACCCCCCGCCAAGGACAGTCGGTTCCCGTGTCTCCTGACATCTCTGCTTCCAAAGGAATCAGGAATCCAGGACCTGGCCTTCCTGGTGGTCATGGGTAAAGGTGTAGAGTGAGGCCTCTCTCTGTCTCTGGTCAGAGGACACTTCATTTCATAAGAAAACAGGCTTGTGTTGCCTCATTCACCCCATCGTGTTGGTTGAGTAGCTTGTGGAGTAAGGTTGAGGGACATGCTGTCATTTGGCATCAGTTCAGGACACCACTCTTAGTTACTGTGGGGATAAAGAATTCCCTCCTGTAATGGGGGGCTTCCCCAGTCAGCCCAGACTGGGGGTCTCAGCAGACCTGCCTGCTGCTGTGTCTCCACAGGCCTGCTTCACTCACAGCCACTTCTTCGGTTCTCCTGGGACCTGCCTGCGGCTCCTTTCTTGCTTCATTTGAATCGGGCGGGTTTATCCAGCATTTCCTCCTCAGGAGTTCAGAAGTCGCACAGCCCGGCAGTCTTCGCGCGGGAGGTGGCGGGTCTAGCTCACCAACTCCCAGTTCGGTGTCTTGAGCTGCCAGAAGCTTGGGCAGCCCTGGAGGATGCTGAGACTCCGCATGCTTGTTCCTTCAGCCACTTACATCTTCTTGTTGTGATGTGTGTTCCGTATTTTAAGCAATCTCACCAGGATTATTATTTTATGGCCACTTTCTCTGCCCTCCACTCTCTTGTGTCCGATCTTCTGTCTGGGATTATGTTGCAAACATATCCTCGTTCATTTCCTGCAGTAAAGGTCTCCTGGTGACCACTTCTTCACTTCTGGCGTGTCTGAAAATACCTTTATTTCATCCTCATTCTTGAAGGCTCTTTTCCACAGGCGCATGGCTTCAGGCTGTTGTTTGTTTTCTTTTATCCCGGTGGAAACGCTGACCCGCTGTCCTCTGGCCTCCTCGCTGTTGGGAACTTTGCTGTCGGTAGCTGCTGCTGTGAAGGGATTCTGCCTCTCTCCTGGCCCCCCTTGGGCCACTTAAAGATCATTCTTTCTGATCTTCTAAAGTTTTCAGTGTGTGGTGTGTGTGTGTACGTTCTTTTTCATCTCCTTGGAATTACTGAATTTCTTAAACCTGTGGCTTGGTATCTTTTACCAGTTCTAGAAATTCTTAGCCATTATTGCTTCAGATATTGTCTGTGTTTTCCTCTCCTTTTGGGACTGTGATTCAGGATAGAATGTCTCAGTCCGTCTTCTGTGTCTCTTAATCTCCCCTCCATATTGTCATCATCGTGTCTCTCTGTGCTGCATTCTGTGTGATTTCTTCTCATCTGTCTTCCAGTTCACGAATGCCCTCTTCTGCTGTGTTTTATTTGCTGCTGAACCCCTCCATGAGTGGTTCCCTCCGTCCATTGAGTTTTACATTTTGATTATGAAAGTTTTTATTTCTAAAAGTTTTGTTATTTTTGTCAAATCTGCAATGTTACTTTTTATAGTTTTCTATTCTAGGTATTCTCAAGCTCACCATTTGTGTCTTTAAACATAGTTTGACGTCTATAATCCCAGCACTTTGGGAGGCCAAGGCGGGTGGGTCATTTGAGGTCAGGAGTTTGAGACCAGTCTGGCCAACATGATGAAACCCTGTCTCTACTAAAAGTACAAAAATTAGGCTGGGCACAGTAGTTCACACCTGTAATCCCAGCACTTTGGGAGGCTGAGGCAGGTGGATCACGAGGTCAGGAGTTTGAGACCAGCCTGGTCAACAAGGTGAAACCCCATCTCTACTAAAAATACAAAAATTAGCCGGGCATGGTGGTGGACGCCTGTAATCCCAGCTACTTGGGAGGCTGAGGCAGGAGAATTGCTTCAGACCATAAGGCAGAGGTTACAGTGGGCTGAGATCATGCCACTGCACTCCAGCCTGGGTGACAGAGCAAGACTCCATCTCAAAAAAAAAAAAAAAAACTTTGAATAATTTTTTGTGATGTTTTATAATCAGGCAATTCCATTTTTTCAAGTCTGTGTAGTCTGTGAAAGTTTTTTTTAGAGACAAGGTCTCACTCTGTTGCCCAAGCTGAAGTGCAGTGGTGTGATCATAGCCCCTGGGTTCAAGCCATCCTCTTGAGTAGCTGGGATTACAGGTGCACACCACCATGCCTAGGTAATTAAAAAAAATTTTGTATGTAGAAACAGGGTCTCATGTAACTCCTGGGCTAAACGATCCTCCCACTGTGGCCTCCTAAAGTGCGGGGGTTATAGGTGTGAGCCTGAGCCGCTGCACCCAGCCTGTGTGGTCTGTTTTTAGTGTCTGTTGTTTCTGCTGGTTCATGCTCCTGGCTCCTTAGTTTCTTGTGTGCTTGGCTGTCTGTGGCAGTGTGCAGCTCATTATGTTTGAAGAATTATTTGTAGGGGTTCCTAGATGCCAAAGACGAGGTACCTTCCTCCAGAGAGGGTTTGCTTTTGCTTTTGCTTTTGCTAGGTGTCTTTGGGTCTGTTCAGCCTGAGAGTGACCAAGTTCACAGGATGAAATTCTGTGAAACTCCCAGGTAGCAAGTCAGTGTAGGGCTGTGTCGGGCTGATCCATGGTCATGATTTATCAGGAGAGTGTTTTTTTTTTTTTTTACATTATTCTTCTGTATTTTTTTGAGAGACAAGGTCTCACTCTGTCATCCAGGCTGGAGTGCAGTGGTGCAATCGTGGCTCACTGCAGCCTTGAACTCCTGCACTGAAGGGATCCTCCTGCCTCCCTAGTAGCTGGGACCAGGTGTGTACCACCATACCTGGCTACATTTTTAAAATTGTTTTATAGAGACAGGGTCTCCCATGATGCCCAGGCTGGTCTTGAACTCCTGAGCTCAAACAATTCTCCTGCCTTGGCCTCCCAAAGTGCTGGGGCTACAGGCATGAGCACCTGCGTCGGGCTCCATTCTGCTTTTTTCTCATTCTGTTCAGCCATTTCCCCTGCAGTCTTCGGGGCAAGTTGGTTGGGACAGGCTTGCTTCTGGCCCTGACTTCTAAGATGTGGCCCTGTGGGGGTCTCCTGGATTCCTCACTCTGGGTAGGCTGGGAAGCTTGAGGCCAAACCTGCTAGCGGGGCAAGGGCTGTCGGCCAACAGCGTTGACTTGGTGCTACTCAGCCCCCAGGTCAGGCTCTTCCCTCGCTCTTGATGCTCTTCAGCGTTTTTTTGTTTTTGTTTTTGAGACAGAGTCTCACTCTTGTCACCAAGGCTGGAGTGCAGTGGCACAATCTTGGCTCACTGAAACCTCCGCCTCCTGGTTCAAGCGATTCTCCTGCCTCAGCCTCCCAAGTAGCTGGGATTACAGGCGCCCACCATCACGCCCAGCTAATTTTTGTATTTTTAGTAGAGACAGGGTTTTGCCATGTTGGCCAGGCTGGTCTGTGACTCCTGACCTCAAGTGATCTGCCCGCCTCGGCCTCCCAAAGTGCTGGGATTACAGGTGTGAGCCACTGTGCCCGGCCTCTTCAGCGGTTTCTTTGGTGTTTTTTGGCCCAGCGTTTGTGGTGTTTTCACTGGGCACTGGGTCACGTGGCCTAGCCCATTGCTGCTGGGTGGAGGCCCCTTCTCCTGGATCTGCCCCAATCAGGCCTTGCCCGCTTCACTGGTGCCCCTCCCACCATGGCTGCCACTGTCCTCCCACAGCCAACCCAGCCATCAGTTCTCATTGCCCCTCTCGCCCATTGCCTCCGGCACAAGCCTGGCCTGTGATGCTGCCCCCACACCGCCTCCTCCCCGCCCTCCACCTTCAGCCCCTGGTGGGGCTCCTCACCACCTGACCCCGGAACGGCTGGGGCAGCCTTGACTGCTTCTGCCGACTTACTCTCTGGGCGGCAGTGCCATCTGGATCGGTGGTTCCTCTTCATCCAGGTTTTCTGTGTTCTGCTCTGATCCCACTCCAACTGCAGTCACCTGTGTGCCGCCCGCCTGTGGTCCTGGGAGCCCGAGGCCAGCCCGGCTGCCGCATCCTGCTCTTCGCACTCCAGGTCTCAGACAGGAGTCACTCGCCTCTTCGTGCCACGCCCACGTCTAAGCCGGGTGGAACAGGCCCTGTGAGGATGGTCCTGGTGTCCCTCGTGCTCGTGGGCTCGGTCCAGCTCTCCAGGGCCCCAGTCAGCCCTGGCTCCTGCTCTCCTGCAGCTGGGGCGACTTCCGACGAGGCACTCTTGTCCCACTTCCTGGGGATTCCTGCCCACTCTGAGCAAGATGCCCAGTCCCCACCGCCAGACCCTCCAACACCACCACCACCTCCCACACCCCAGCCCTCTACGCGTCTGCAGCCACACCCCGACATGGTGCTCGGGTCACAGGCCTTGAGGTGCTCCTGTGTCACCCAGTGCAGGTGTCTGCCCCCAGCCTCTGCGCCTGTGAGACCTTCTCTCTGGAAAATTCTTCTCTGATATCCACATGCCTTTGCATTGCCTCCCTGTCTCGCCCTGAAAGGTGGGCACGGGCCCCCTCCTGCTGCAGCGTCTCTGGGGCTGCCCGCCTGCAGACATCTCCACTCAGTTCCTTTCCATCTTTGCACTTGAGGGTCGGCTTCCCCAGGGCAGCGGCCTCACTGGTAGCCCCCACCAACCCTGGAGCACTAACACGCCTGTTGGATGAGGTCCTGAGTGCAGGGAAGACCTGAGTGCTGATTGTGTTAAGAGAAATGCAGCCATTCCCAAAGGCTGCCTGTTGCTGGCTCTGTGTTTGCAGAATTCCCAAGATACGCCCCCTCTGAGTCCCACTGCCGTCTCAGGTGCTGTGTGGTTCTTCGGCGCCTTCCCCTCCTGATTTGATGCTGGTGGTGACACCAGGCGTGCACCTGTCCCTCCTGATCTGATGCTGGTGACACCAGGCGTGCACCTGCCCCTCCTGGCATCTGATGCTGGTGGTGACACCAGGCGTGCCCTGCCCCTCCTGATCTGATGCTGGTGGTGACACCAGGCGTGCACCTTCTCCTGATCTGATGCTGGTGGTGACACTAGGTGTGCACCTACCCCTCCTGATCTGATGCTGGTGGTAACACCAGGCGTGCACCTGCCAGGCAAACCCTGGGCTGTTTGTTGCAGTGCCAGTCCTCGTGCTCCTCGTGGCTGCCCAGCTCACCCACCCACATGAGTCGGGCTGATGTTGCTGCTTTGAAGGGGGACTTGGGTGGGCTGGGTTTAGCTCCGTGTGGTGCTTGACATGCTGTGACCCGTTTCAGGCTGCCCAGGCTTTGCTGAGGTTCTGCAGACCTTCAGCACCTGCAAGGGGATGCTGGGTGAGATCCTGTCTGCATTCGAGTTCATGGATGCTGTGTGCATGCAGCTGGTCGGGCGCCATCTCCACCTGGCCAGCCCGGTGCAAGGTACTGACCCCCCACACAGGGGGCAGCTGGTCCTGCAGCTCCTTCTGCACGTCTGGACACATGGGACGGCTCAGAGACCCCGGGTGGGCGGGGGGTGCCCGGGCGGGCGGGTGGGGGGTCCCTGGGCGGAGCATGGAGTGGCCGTTGGGCTCATGTGTAAGAAAGCTGCTCTTAACATATTTAGGACAAAGAACAGGCTGCCCTGGTCCTGTGTAAGGTTTGTAGTTACACAGATTTCCTGATCTTCTGCAGGAAGGACGGGAAGGAACTAAGTGGCTATTTTTGGTGAGCTGGGAGACTTTCTTTCCATTTCTTCTTTTCTTTGTTTTCCCATGTTGCTTTCTGTAAGCACGTTTTTCTTTTATGCTGGGAAAAAAGCCAATAATTTTTTGTTGTTGGGGGATGGAGTTTCGCACTGTGGCCCAGGCTGGAGTGCAATGTCACGATCTTGGCTCACTGCAGCCTCCACCTCCCGGATTCAAACCATTCTCCTGCCTCAGCAGCCTCCACCTCCCGGGTTCAAACGATTCTTCTGCCTCAGCAGCTTCCACCTCCCGGGTTCAAACAATTCTCCTGCCTCAGCCTCCTGAGTAGCTGGGATTACGGGCACCTGCCACCACACTCAGCTAATTTTTGTATTTTTAGTACAGACAGGGTTTTGCCGTGTTGTCCAGGCTGGTCTCGAACTCGTGACCTCAGGTGATCCACCCACCTCAGCCTCCCAAAGTGCTGGGATTACAGGTGTGAGCCACTGTGCCCGGCCAAAGACGACTTTTTAAACCTTCTGAAAGTCAGCTTAACCAGAGAGCTGTGTGCTCCGCAGGCTGCCTGGGTCCTTCTTGGCCACGAAAGATCAGTGGTTGCTATTACAGCTGTTCTGCCCGAGCAGCCCTGATTCTTGCCCTGGCAGCCGGAGCCTCTGCTCACTCTGCCTTCCTTGCTCACTTCTAGAGAGTCCGTTTTACGTCCTCATCGAGACTTCAGGCTCCAACGCAGGCCATGACGCTGAGAAGCTGGGCCACTTCCTGGAGCACGCGCTGGGCTCCGGCCTGGTGACCGATGGGACCATGGCCACCGACCAGAGGAAAGTCAAGGTGCCCTGTGTCCTGCTTGCAGGTCCCCGCTCTCTGTCCGTCCAGTCCAGCCTTGTCTTGGGATGCCTGGAACGGTCATTGGTGCAGCCTAGACAGTGTGGGATGTGGCTGAAATGTGACTGGGTTTCATGGCTTTGAGAGAGTAGCCTCTTTGGATGGAAAATGTATTCCTGGTGTCTAGGCCATTTTCATTAATATTTAAAAAGTACTTCCTCCCCACCATGACCCTCCCCAACCCCATGCTGTGGGATGAGCAAGGGGACTGCCCCATTGCTGGTCCCCTGCAGCCTGTGGTTAAGCGGCCAGTCAGCGGCAGCTCCGCATAGAGTCGTGTGGAAGGAGTGGAGGCAGGAGGAGCCCCTGGGGCTGTGGAGGCTTAGCCTGGACCTCGGGAGTCCTAGGATGGGCAGTTTTCCTTCCCTAGGAGGAAGGGGCGTTGACTGTGTGACCAGATGATTTGGCCTTTTGAGGCCAAAGGAAGGAGGGGCAAGGCCTGGGCAGGGGGAGCCCTCGGTCACCGTCACCGGGGCCTGGGCAGGGGGAGCCCTCGGTCACCGTCACCGGGGCCTGGGCAGGGGGAGCCCTCGGTCACCGTCACCGGGGCCTGGATAGTGGGAGCCATTGGTCACTGTTACCGGGACCTGGGTGGGAGGAGCCCTCAGTTACCTTCACCGGGGCCTGGGCAGTGGGAGGCGCCCTTGGTCACCGTCACCAGGGCCTGAGCAGTGGGCGCAGGACTTTACTCCCGCTTAGTTGATTTCAGGCTCGTGTTAGCCTGGGTGTTGCCCTTGCCATCTTCCCCCCTCACCTTTGCCGCCTGACTGTCATGATTCCAGTGCTTCTGGGCAAAACGGTGTCTGCTCCCAAGGGCTGGGGTGCGGTCGGCTGGGCTCACTTGTGTGTCCTGATGCCCAGCCCAGGGGCGTCCTCTGGGCGAATGGCAGCTGTGTGGTGCCATCTCTGTTGACTGAGGCATGATCAAGTGTGCGTCCTTCCTAGGTCTCTGCCTGCCATTCCTGCATTTTTCTAAGTGGACTGTGACAGTCAGCTCCCTTACATTCTGCCGCAGTAACAAGCAATCCCCAGGCCCCAGGGACCACACGAACAGAGGCTCACCCTCCCTCGCGTTCCGTGTGGGTGATCGCTGTGGCTGCATGTGCTCCTGTGGCTTCCAGTCCAGGGGCCCGGGCTGAGGCAGCTGCCCAGCCAGTCAGTCTGTTTTCCCAGCAGAAAGAGCAGGACAGCCGCCGGGGATTCTCTCAGCTTCTGCTTGAGATGGGGCGGGAACGTGAGCCCAACTGCCCTTGGTGGTGCGGGTGGGGACCCTCATCCCGCACTGGCTGCTTTGCTGGAGTGGCAGTCAGTCATGCAGCCCCCACACCACCCCCAGGAGGGCGACCCTGGCACCCCAGCCTCCACACATCAGCCCCCATGCCCCCACAAAGGAAGGCTGCCCCCAACACCCCCAACCTCTCTACCAGCCCCCATGCCACCCCCAGGGCGGGCCGTCCTCCATGCCCCCAGCCTCTGCACATCATCCCCCACGCCACCCCCAGGGCGGACTGTCCCCAACGCCCCCAGCCTCTGCACATCAGTCCCCAGCCCCTCCACAGCCTGGTCCAGTCCTAGACCTGTGCCTTGAACATTAATGCCCAGAGCCGGGTTCATGACCAGGACAGGGCCGAATGGGGCTGGTTCTGTGTTCACAAAGTCACCTCCAGACGCTTCCTGGGACGGGTTCAGGAGACGCCTTGTGTGTCTGTCACCTCGTTCTGGCTCATGCTCGACGGGTAGGTAATCTGGCCTTTGTTTTCTGCAGATAGCAAAACGACCCTTTCTTAGGTGTGCGGCTCGATGAGTTGACCCGGATATGCGGTTGTGTGCAGTTGCTCTGAGGCTTTTCTGTGCTGTTGTCCGGTGTTGGCGAGGCTCTGGGCAGGTCCTGAGGCTTTTCTCTGCTGTTGTCCGGTGTTGGCGAGGCTCTGGGCAGGTCTGGGCAGGTCCTGAGGCTTTTCTCTGCTGTTGTCCAGCATTGGCGAGGCTCTGGGCAGGTCCTGAGGCTTTTCTCTGCTGTTGTCCGGTGTTGGCGAGGCTCTGGGCAGGTCCTGAGCCATTCTGCTTTCCACTCTGTGGTCTTTCCCTTCTGGGAGCCCTGGGTTTTTGGACATGTTGAGACAATGGGGCTTGCGCAGGTCCAGCCGCTGCCGCGGGGGCCCTGTGTTCAACGGGGGACACTCAGCCCTGCCCAGGCCCCGCTGTAGCCTCAGCCCACCCGAGTGGAAGCCACACTGGTCGCACCAGATGCCCCGGGCTCCTCTGAGTAGTGACCACGGCGGGTCTCATTGGCACTGCCTATCCACCCGTCACGTGTCATTCAGTTAGCAAACCTGCTAGGGAGATGCCTCCTGTGCCCTGTGCCTGCCGGGCGACAGCAGTGACCAGGGCGGGAGAAGCCTTGCCCCATAAACTCACGCAGCAGAAGGAACAAGCTCAGCCCATGGCCCCTCAGAGCCAGGAAGCGCCGGGGAGGAGGGCAGGGCCAGGCAGGGTCATGGGGTGTGCCGGGGAGTGCCGGGAGGGCCGGAAAGATGACCCTGAGGGGTCATTTCAGCAAAGACGGGGTGTGGGGAGCAGAACGTCTGGTGCAGGAGCACCAAGACCCTGAGGGGCGCGTGCCTGCCATGTTCTAGAACCTTCCAGAGATGGTGGGTGTGGAGCTGAGTGACTGAGGCGTGAGCAGACAAGGGTAGAGCCCATCTTGTGGCCACGGGGACACATGGGGCGGCCGGTCTGATGAGGAGGTAAGAAGGCCTCACAGGCAGCCGATGCCCGCCAGACCATGGAGGCGAAAGCCGGCCTCGCAGCCGTGCCCGTGCGGCTGTGACGAAGGGACCGTAGGAGGGGCTCTTGCTCAGGGCAGGGCGTGACCCAAGGGTCTGATCTGACCGAACTAGCTCTAGAAGTTTGTAAAAGGGGCCGGGCACGGTGGCTCATGCTGTAATCCCAGAGCTTTGGGAGGCTGAAGCAGGAGGATCACTTGAGCCCAGGAGTTTGAGACGAGCCTGGGCAACATCGGGAGACTTCAAAAAAACAAAAAATTGATGGTGGGGAAATGCGGGAATTTTGGGCGCCGGCCGGATTCCCAGTGGTGGCGAGGAGGTGGTATTTTTTTAAGTGTCAGTGTGGCATTGTGGTTGCCTCAATAAAACAGAGTCTTTTTTTGTCTTTTTTTTTTGAGACAGGGTCTCGCTCTCACCCAGGCTGGAGTGCAGTGACACAGTTGCAGCTCACTGCAGCCTCGACCTCCTGGGCTCAAGCAATCCTCCCGCCTCAGCCTCCCGAGTAGCTGAGTCTACAGGTGCCCACCACCAAACCCAGCTGATTTTTATTGTTTTTAAGAGACGGGGTCTCCCTGTGTGGCTCAGGCTGGTCTGAAACTCCTGGGCTCAAGTGATCCTCCTGCCTCAGCCTCCCAAAGCTCTGGGAATACAGGCGTGAGCCACTGCGCCCGGCCAAGTGTTTCTCTTAGAATTTCCTGAAATGATAGGGTCTCTGGAGGGGCAGGTGCTGGGCTTGAGCCCTGGGTAGGACCCTGCAGGGGAGAGGTGGTCCTGCAGCCCACAGAGGATGGCTCTGTCCTGTTCCTCATGGTGCAGATCTCCACAATGGAAGTTCGAAGCAAGCAAAAGCCACGCAAACCACAGGCCGATCTGTCTGAGCCCTAGGATTTGGCCCGGTTCTGCTTCAGCCACCAGCACCGTCTGCTCCTCCTCAGAATCCTTCCTCCCCCGTGGCCCGCCCGCCGTGTCCCTCCTCCTCCACGGCCCGCCCACCGTGTCCTTCCCTCCCCCGTGGCCCACCCACCATGTCCTTCCCTCCCCTGTGGCCCACCCGCCATGTCCCTGCCTCCCACCCGACATGCCCCTTGAGCTGCCTGGGCCCTGCTGTTGTCCCCACTGCCTGTGTGACTCTGCGCCCCCTTCCCTACCCTGCCCCACCCTGGTTCAGGGAGCGTCCAGGCCCATTCTCATCCTCAGGGCCTTCCCTGGCCCTTGCCACTCTGTGCCGTGTCATGACCTGAAGCTGCAGGTGGGCGCCTCCCCCTTCCGTCATGGCTGTCCCCCTTCTGTGAGGTGTCCCAGCCGCCTGATTGCCGGAGTCCCAGGGTGCTCGGTGCTGTCGTGGAGCCTGGGACATTCACTGTCTGGGATTGATTCCAGGGTTGGAGCCACACCTGGTCTGGGGCATTCGCTGTCCTGGGTCAGAGCCCCTCCTGGTCTGGGACATTCGCTGTCTGGGGTTGGAGCCACACCTGGTCTGGGGCATTTGCTGTCCGGGGTCGGAGCCTCACCTGGTGAAGATACAGAACATGCTGCTGCCCTAACCCCGTGTGGTGTGCCCCCTGTCCCCGGGTGTCGTTCCCATAGCCAGCCCTTGTCTCATCTCGTCTCATCCTCTAGATGCTGTGGGCCCTGAGGGAAAGGATCACAGAGGCGCTGAGCCGGGATGGCTACGTGTACAAGTACGACCTCTCCCTCCCTGTGGAGCGGCTCTACGACATCGTGACTGACCTGCGCGCCCGCCTCGGCCCGCACGCCAAGCACGTGGTGGGCTATGGCCACCTTGGTGAGCGGCGCCCCGGGGCCGCGGCCCTGTGTGTGCTGGGTGGTGGGCCCCACGGTCACCGTCACCCTGCCAGGCTTCGAGGCAGGGCAGTTTGACCATGGTCTCTGGCTTAGCATATCTCCCGTAGACACTGGCAGGACCACGGTGTCTGACAGGGAAGGGAAAATCCTAATCGTTGTCATGACTCGTTTTGAGTATTTTGGAAAAGACTGCCATCGTGCACTTGTAATGGCAGAGCGCATGGCTCAGCTTGTCAGAACGTTCTGGGATCTTCAGTGGCATGCAGGGTTGGAGGGCATCAGCCTTAACCCCGGAGTCCGGGATGCGGGTCTCAGGGGCTCCTCTCACAGGGCCCGGCCCCGAGGCCTTTGCAGTGCTTAGCCCCCAGCTGCTCTACCCCTTCAGATGGGAGGATTTCAAAACCACGTTCAGATCATCTTTTTTCTGCAGAAAAATCATGCTTTAACGTGTAAGCTATTAATTCATAGGAAGAAAATGTTTCAATCCTATCAGTTCTTTTTTTTGAGACGCAGTTTCACTCTTGTCACCCAGGCTGGAGTGCAGTGGCGCAATCTCGGCTCACTGCAACCTCCATCTTCTGGGTTCAAGCAATTCTCCTGCCCCAGCCTCCCGAGTCTCTGGGATTACAGGCGTCCACCACCAGGCCTGGCTAATTTTTGTATTTTTAGTAGAGACAGGGTTTTGCCATGTTGGCCAGGCTGGTCTTGAACTCCTGACCTCTGGTGATCTGCCCACTTCGGCCTCTCAAAGTGCTGGGATTACAGGAGTGAGCCACCGTGCCCAGCTGTTTTCCTGTCAGTTCTTTGGAGCCTTGGAGCGAGGTGTCTAAAAGGCCAGCTTATAGGGCAGGGGTGGGGGCAGTGCTGGGGGTGTGGAGCATGGCTTTGGGGCCTGACAGATATTCACTCTGGCTTCTTCCCTGGCCTGGTGGCACTGGAGTCACTGACCTGAAGCCTCCATCCATCTGCCAGTAAATGGGATTCAGGTGCCACCTCTGTGGTTACAGGAGGGTCTAGGGTTGTGTACGTGACGACAATAACACGTATTACTTACGAAGGTCCCGTGCTGTCCCAGGCATTATTCTAAGCACTTGATGTGGAGAAACTTCTCTGCACAACAGCTTTTAGGACTGGTGGTGTTGCTTCCCTTTTACACACATGTAAACAGGTTCAGAGAATTTAAGTAACTTGCCCAAAGTTGCCCAGCCTGTGGAGGGGTACATCTGGAGGATTTGACATAGGATGGATGGTAATCTTCTGTGATAGGAAGGCAGGACTCCTGAATGGGAAGGGGGTAAGGGCATGATGAGTGTGTCATCATCCAGAGAAGAGGGGTACGGGAGCCCCAGTATTTCAGAATATGGGAAGGGGGTAAGGGCATGATGAGTGTGTCATCATCCAGAGAAGAGGGGTACGGGAGCCCCAATATTTCAGAATATGGGAAGGGGTTAAGGGCATGATGAGTGTGTCATCATCCAGAGAAGAGGGGTACGGGATCCCCAATATTTCAGAATATGACCTCAAGCCAGGAGGAGGCTTCCTCCTCTCCAGGTAACTTCAGTCTCTCTTGGCCACAGATAAAGCAGACCATCTTGGTGAGAAATGGAATGAGCCCTCTGTTACTTTGTAAAAGCAAGAATGGGCCAGGCGCAGTGGTTCATGCCTGTAATCCCAGCACTTTGGGAGGCTGAGGCGGGTGGATCACCTGAGGTCAGGAGTTCGACACCAGCCCGGCCAACATGATGAAACCTCGCCTCTACTAAAAATACAAAAAATTAACTGGGCATGGTGGCAGGCACCTGTAATCCCAGCTACTCGGGAGGCTGAAGCAGGAGAATCACTTGAACCCAGGAGGCGGAGGTTGCAGTGAGCAGAGGTTGCACCATTGCACTCCAGCCTGGGTGACAAGAGTGAAACTCCATCTCAAAAAAAAAAAAAAAAGCAAGAATGAATGTTGAATTTTTAAAATGTGTTTCCTGCATCTGTCATGGTGACCGGGTGCTTGTCTGCCTGTAATCAGTGTGGTAAGTTACACTGATTGATCCCTCTGGAGTCAGATGAGTCTGTGTTTCTGGGGTAGGCCCAAGGTGGCCATGATCCTTTCTGTATCTTGCTGGATGAGTTTGTTTATGTTTGGTGTGGGATTTTGACAGGGGTCTTGGTGGATGATTCTGTTCCACGCTGTTCCTTTCTTCTGTCCATGCTGGATTTTGGTATCAAAATCATAACATGAATATTATGCAGAACTTGCCAGTGGAGCTGTTTGGGCCTGGAGGTTTTTTTGAGGGAGTATTTTAAAATTATAGCTCAGCTTCTTCAATAGCTTTAGGACTTTCAAGCTTTCCTTTCTTCTAGATTGGTATTGCTAATTTTTTCCCATATTGGCATAAAGTTGTTCGAATATTCTTTTGTTGTCTTTTTATGTAGCATTTGTGGGATGCCCCCACACCCTTTTTTTTGGTGGGGACAGGGTCTCGCTGTCACCCAGGCTGGAGTGCAGTGGCTCACCACAGCCTCGACCTTCTGGGATCAAGCAGGCCCGCCACCTCACACACACCAGCAGGCCTGGCTAACTAAAAAAAAATTTTTTTGTAGGCCCGGTGCAGTGGTTCACGCCTATAATCTCAGTACTTCAGGAAGCCAAGGCTGGAAGGATCACTGGAGTCCAGTAGTTCTAGACCAGCCTGGGCAACACAGTGACATCTGATCTATACCGCCCCCCGCCCCACAATATATGTGTGTGTGTGTGTGTGTGTGTGTGTGTGTGTGTGTGTGTGTAGAGCCAGACTCATGTAGAGCCAGTTGTGTGGCCGGACCGGTCTTGAACTCCGGGGCCTCAAGCAAATGCTCCCTCCTTGGCCTCTCAAAGCCAGAGATTACAGGCGTGAGGTACTGTGCCTGGCATTATTTGCTGCTTGCATTATCATTCCTTCTTTGACCGATGAGTTATGCAGAAGTGTGTTTCTTAATTTCCAAACGTGGTGGTTTTCTAGTTATTTTAAAAATTATTGATTTCTTTTTTATTGCATTATACCCAGGAAACTTCGTCCTTATCAGATCAGATTTTTGAAACTTGATCAGTGGCAGCTTATGATCAGCCTTCGTAACTGTGGAGTGCTTGAAAAGAATGTGCTCTCTGCAGTTGCTGGAATCAGTGTTTGTACAGATCCATCAGATAGAAGTATACGTCGCGTGTTCATTCTACATCCTGCTGACCTGCCACTCCCTGAGGGAGGTGTTAGAAATCTGCTGACAACAGACTAATCTGTTCCTCCTGTAGCTTTGCCAGTTCTGGAGACGTGTTCTTAGGGGCATAGGACATGAGGTTCGTCTCTTTGTTTTGGGAAACTGAATCTCCTAACGCGATGGACTCGCTCTTTATCTCCAGCATTGCCCGCTGCCTTGGTGTCTGCTTTGTTTATTACACAGTGATGCTAACTTTCTTTTATTTAGTGTTTGCCTGATGTGTTGTTTTTCCTCCGGTTAGCTTCAGCTTTTCCATCCTTAGTGATTTAGATGTGTTTCTTGTGGACGCCCCCGGACAGGTTTCTTGCGTACTTGTTTGCCGTCTTGAATGAGAGCGTTTGGCTGCTGAGCACGTGCTGTGGCCCACTGTTTGGATTTGTCTACTTCACCCTGCTCTTTGTCTCTCACTTCTTGTCTATTTTTTCCTCTGTTTTTTGCTCTTCTGGTTTATGTTCTTTGTCATTTAGCTTTTTGCCGTTTACTAACTGTTGGTGGTCGCCCTGGCACCACAGTGGACATTTCTAGCCCTCTGGGTTTGAGGTTAATCAGAGTCACTATCTTCCTCCCAAATAATGTGTGATGGTGAATTCTCTGCGTCCACTTGTCTGGGCCCTGGTACCCTCGTTTGGTCAAACTCCAGTTTGGATGTTTCTGTGAAGATATTTTTTATGTGTGATTAACATTTAAATCAGTAGACGTTGAGTACAGGAGATCTCCCACCACAGTGTGGGTGGGCCTTACCCAATCAGTCGAAGGACTTCGCCACAGCGTGGGTGGGCCTTACCCAGTCGAAGGCCTTCGCCACAGCATGGGTGGGCCTTACCCAATCAGTCGAAGGACTTCGCCACAGCGTGGGTGGGCCTTACCCAATCAGTCGAAGGCCTTTGCTACAGTGTGGGTGGGCCTTACCCAATCAGTCGAAGGACTTCGCCACAGCGTGGGTGGGCCTTACCCAATCAGTCGAAGGCCTTTGCTACAGTGTGGGTGGGCCTTACCCAATCAGTCGAAGGACTTCGCCACAGCGTGGGTGGGCCTTACCCAATCAGTCGAAGGCCTTTGCTACAGTGTGGGTGGGCCTTACCCAATCAGTCGAAGGCCTTTGCCACAGCGTGGGTGGGCCTTACCCAATCAGTCGAAGGCTTTTTGCCACAGCGTGGGTGGGCCTTACGCAATCAGTTGAAGGCTTTTTGCCACAGCGTGGGTGGGCCTTACCCAGTCAAAGGCCTTTGCCACAGCGTGGGTGGGCCTTACCCAATCAGTCAAAGGCCTTTGACACAGCGTGGGTGGGCCTTGCCCAATCAGTCGAAGTCCTTCGCCACAGTGTGGGTGGGCCTTACCCAATCAGTCGAAGTCCTTTGCCACAGTGTGGGTGGGCCTTACCCAATCAGTCGAAGGACTTCGACACAGCGTGGGTGGGCCTTACCCAATCAGTCGAAGGCCACAAGAGCAGAAATCTAAGATCTCTTAAGGAAGAGAGGATTCTGACCCAGATGGAGACTCAAGCTGCAGCACCAGCTCCTGCTGGGATCTCCAGCCTGCTGACCTGGACTTCAGATTTTAGACTTAGCTCCCTCAGTCACATGAGTCAGTTCATTAAAATCAGTGTCTGTCATCTCCCTGTGTCTCAGTGTGTCTCTCCATCTTTCTCTCTCTGTTTGTTTCTCTAAATATGTATAATCTCACTCTTGCTCGCACTGTCTGTACACACACATCCTGCTGGTTCTGCCTCTCTGGGAGCCCTGATGGCTGCACAGTGCGAGGACTTCAGGGCCCCGTCACTTTGGCTGTCGTTTACCCCCCAGTTTATGGTGGCCCCTGTATTTGCGGGCTCCACATCTGCAGATTCAACCATAAAAATAACAATACAACAATAAAAAATAAACAAAAGACGATGTAGTATAACAGTGACAGACACAGCATTTCCGTCGTACCAGGAATCGTAAGTAATCTAGAGGTGATTTAAAGTATACAGGAGGGGCCGGGCACAGTGGCTCACGTCTGTAATCCCAGCAATACGGGAGGCCAAAGCGGGTGGATCACCGGAGGTCAGGAGTTCAATACCAGCCTGGCCAACATGGTGACACCCCATCTCTACTAAAAATACAAAAATTAGCCAGGCATGGTGGCGTGTGCCTGTAATCCCAGCTGCTTGGGAGGCTGAGGCAGGAGAATTGCTTGAATCTGGGAGGCGGAGGTTGCAGTGAGGCGAGGTTGTGCCACTTCACTCCAGCCTGGGCAAAAGAGCGAAACTCCGTCTCAAGAAAGAAAAGTATACAGGAGGATGTGTGTAGTTTATATGCAAATCCTATGCCATTTCCTGTCAGAGACTCGAGCATCTCAGGATTTTGATATCCGAGGGGTCCTGTATCCAGTCCCCCAGGGACACTGAGGGGCACCTGCATGCTGTTCGGTGGTGTATTCTGGTTCTGCCTTGTTCAGTCACACATAACCCTGTCACCATGTCACCATCCTGATTCTGCGTAGCCAGTTTGCACACAGCTTCTGCTTGAATCTCAGCCTCCAGAATTTTCCCTGGCATGGAAAAATAGGTGACGGAACAGCTCAGATTTTCTTTGTCTGGAAATGTACTGATTTAGTTGATAAAAATGTCTTTTCCTCAGTGGATTTCCGTGGTTCTGGGTTGACAGTTGCTTCCCAGCAGCAGGAGGGAGTCTCTGTTCTCTCTTCTGATGTCTGCTGGTGCGGAGACAGCCTCAGTTCAGGGCAGTTCCCTTCGGGGGAATGGAGGGAACAGAGGGAAATAAATAATTTCTTTCTTTTTCTTTTCCTTTTTTTTTTTTTTTTTTTTGAGATGGAGTCCCGCTCTGTCACCCAGGCTGGAGTGCAGTGGTGCGATCTTGGCTCACTGCAACGTCCGCCTCCCGGGTTCAGGCGATTCTCCTGCCTCAGCCTCCCGAGCAGCTGGGATTACAGGCGTGTGCCACCACACCCGGCTAATTTTTGCATTTTTAGTAGAGATGGGGTTTCACCATATTGGCCAGGCTGGTCTCGAACTCCTGACCTCGTGATCCACCCGCCTCAGTCTCCCAAAGTGCTGAGATTGCAGGTGTGAGCCACCGCGCCCAGCCTGCTTTTTCCTTTTTGCTGCTTTCAGCTCCTTCCATTGTCTTTGGGGTTCTGCGGTTTCACTCTGGTTTGGCCGGGAGTCGGCCAGATGAGTGTTTGTTTACCTGCCTGTTGGCCGGGTGAGTGTTTACCTGCCTGGCACTTCTTGGGCTTTGGGGTCTTGCTGGCTTTAGAAATTCCTCAGCCACCAGAGCCTCTTCAAACACCGTTTCTCCCCTTCCTCTGTTCTCCTCTTGGAACTCAGTCCAAGCCCCCTTGTTTCTTATCGGCTGCTGCCAGGGTCCCGCCTCTCAGGTTTGGATGCTATTTGCAGTGTCTCCAGCTTGGCGTTCTCTGCCGTGTGTGATCGGCCGTCAGATCTGTCTGCTAAGGTCCACAGGCCAGCCATGATGCATTTCATCTCCGGAAGATTGGCGTGGATATTTAAAAATTGCTTGGTCAGATTTTTTGGTTTTATATTTTTGTCTCTTATTTCTTTACACATGACACGTTTGTGTTCTGTGTCTGGAAATGACAGCGTCTGAGGTGTTTGTGGGTCTGATTCTGACCTTAGCCGTGGTGGTTTGTCTTCTTGTGTGTGTGATTTTTGGCATGAGCTCATATTCGTTAGATTTTTATCTGTAGGAATTATTTGAGGCCTGCAGGGGAGGTGGTTTGCTTCTGCAGTGGGTGGGGAGGGTGAGGGCCTGGGGCCCCGCCCGGAACCTCTTTAATCTCCACATTCTCAGCCTTTGGGACCCGAGGCAGCGTGAGTTCCGGGTGCAGGCCGCCGTTGCTCGGGAATACAGTTGGGTGTTGCTGAATGATGGGGATGCGTCCTGAGAAATGTGTCATTAGGTGGTTTCGTTTTGTGTGAGCATCACGGAGGGCACTCACACCCAGATGGGACAGCCTCTTCCACACCAAGGCTGTGTGGTGTAGCCATTGCCCCTAGGTGACAAACCACAGCTGTCATCCACTTAATGCCGGAAGCAGTTGTGACATAATGCTGAGTATGTGCCTGAACACAAAAGCTAATCCTAGAAAAGGGACCGTAAAAGTATGGTATAAAAGGTAAAAATGCCACACCTGCCTGGGGTGCCCATCACGAGTGGGTCTCGCGGGACTGGAGGTTGCTCTGGCGAGGCAGTGGGTGAGCGTGAGGGGTTGCGAAGGCCTAGGAGATGACCGTACTCTACTCTAGACTTTATAAATGCTGCACACTGAGGCCACACTAAACTGATATTAACAAGTAATTGTGCTACAACATGGTGACATCGTCATTAAGGTGATGGCAGTTTTTCAGCTCCATTTTAATGTTATGGGGCCAGCATCATCTCTGTGGTCCGGGGTTGGGTGAAACGTTGTTATGAAGCGTGACTGTATTCACATACTTTGTGGACGCCAGGCACGTGGCTCACACCTGTAATCTCAGCGCTTTGGGAAGCTGAGGTGGGAGGACTGCTTGAGGTCAGGAGTTCAAGACCAGCCTGGGCAACATGGTGAGACCGGCCCCCCACCCCCGACCACCCGCCGTTTCTACAAAAAAAATAATCAGCCAGGCATGGTGGTACATGCCTGCAGTCCCAGCTACTCAGGAGGCAGAGGTGGGAGGACTGACTGAGCACAGGAGGTTGAAGTGTGAGCCACGATCACTCTACTGCCCTCCGGCCTGGGTGACAGAGGGAGACCCTGTCTCAAAAAAACAAAACCAAATGAACATATTCTGTGGATGTGGTTTTTCTTCTTTCACAACCAGTCCTTCCTGGGCAAGTCCCCGGGCAGGGGATGTGTTCAGCCCTCTCTGGCCTGAGCACGCATCCGTGGGGACTGTGGGAGGGGCGGGGACTGGGGGGCGACGGGGACTGTGGGAGGGGTCCCTGCTGTACTCCCTGCCTGGGGTTTGTTCTCGTAGGGGTGGAGAAATAGTTTTCTGTCTACCCTTTCTAGTTCCCAGCTGGGATGGACCCTGCAGCTACAGACAGATTAACAGGAGAAATAACAGAGGCTCATGACGTGCATGTTTCACGTCTACTTGGGAGTGGCCAGGGAATGAGTGATTCTCAAAGAGCTGGCTGTGAATTCAGGCCCACGTGGCGTCTTCAACAAACAGTCAAATTTTAGGGATGTCACATGACAGGACATGGACTATGAGTCTCCAGGTGGCATCTCGGAGGAGGCAGGGAGCTGGCAGAGGACGGCAGGGCCTGAAGCTGCCTCGACCTTTGTCGGTTCTGGTGGAGGGAGGGGCCTTGCCCTTGTCAGTCATTCCTGTGCCGCTCTGAGGCAGGACCTGAGTTGGGGGAGCTTTCCTTGGATCTGCCGCTTCTCAGTTGCCTTTGTGGGAAAACAGCCCTCACCCCAACATGGCACAGTTTGGGGTGGTGCGTCCTGGTTTGCCTCTGGAGCTCCTCCTCGGTGTGCAGCTCTGCGTTAAAAGCCGCTGTCCTTGTCTGGGCAGCCCTTGAGCTGGTTTCTGGCTCCCTCTCCTGCTGGCCCGGAGGTGGGGCGGGGTCCTCACTTCACTCTGACCCTGGCTGTCCCCAGCCTCTTCTCTGAGCCGTCGCCTTCTTGACCTCTGAGGTCAGAAGAGGAGGTTGTGCGTGGGGCGGGCCAGGGCCAGGGTGTGCTTGGAGAGCTGCTGCCCTGGGGGCTCAGTGTGGGCTAAGTGGACCAGAGAGGAGGCAGCTGGGAGCCAGGACTTTGTCTGCAGTGGGCACTGGCTGGGCAGCTCCAGGGGCGACACCCATGGGGGTGGGGGCGTCCAGATAGAGCTGCCCTGGGCGCCACTGCGGACCCCTCCATCCGACCAGGTGCTGGGGATACAGACTGGAAGACGGTCTGGACTCTTCCAGGTCAGGAGGGAGGCAGTGGCAGGCCATGCGGTAACTCAGGTGGCCGCTCTCTGCCTGGGGAGATGGGAGCCCCGGGCTGAGGGAGTAGGAAGAGGGGGGAGAACTTGGGGAGATGGGAGCCCCGGGCTGAGGGAGTAGGAAGAGGGGGGAGAACTTGGGGAGATGGGAGCCCCGGGCTGAGGGAGTAGGAAGAGGGGGGAGAACTTGGGGAGATGGGAGCCCCGGGCTGAGGGAGTAGGAAGAGGGGGGAGAACTTGGGGAGATGGGAGCCCCGGGCTGAGGGATTAGGAAGAGGGGGGAGAAGTTGGGGAGATGGGAGCCCCGGGCTGAGGGAGTAGGAAGAGGGGGGAGAAGTTGGGGAGATGGGAGCCCCGGGCTGAGGGAGTAGGAAGAGGGGGGAGAAGTTGGGGAGATGGGAGCCCCGGGCTGAGGGAGTAGGAAGAGGGGGGAGAAGTTGGGGAGATGGGAGCCCCGGGCTGAGGGAGTAGGAAGAGGGGGGAGAAGTTGGGGAGATGGGAGCCCCGGGCTGAGGGAGTAGGAAGAGGGGGGAGAAGTTGGGGAGATGGGAGCCCCGGGCTGAGGGAGTAGGAAGAGGGGGGAGAAGGTGGGGAGATGGGAGCCCCGGGCTGAGGGAGTAGGAAGAGGGGGGAGAAGTTGGGGAGATGGGAGCCCCGGGCTGAGGGAGTAGGAAGAGGGGGGAGAAGTTGGGGAGATGGGAGCCCCGGGCTGAGGGAGTAGGAAGAGGGGGGAGAAGTTGGGGAGATGGGAGCCCCGGGCTGAGGGAGTAGGAAGAGGGGGGAGAAGTTGGGGAGATGGGAGCCCCGGGCTGAGGGAGTAGGAAGAGGGGGGAGAACTTGGGGAGATGGGAGCCCCGGGCTGAGTGAGTAGGAAGAGGGGGGAGAACTTGGGGAGATGGGAGCCCCGGGCTGAGGGAGTAGGAAGAGGGGGGAGAAGTTGGGGAGATGGGAGCCCCGGGCTGAGGGAGTAGGAAGAGGGGGGAGAAGTTGGGGAGATGGGAGCCCCGGGCTGAGGGAGTAGGAAGAGGGGGGAGAAGTTGGGGAGATGGGAGCCCCGGGCTGAGGGAGTAGGAAGAGGGGGGAGAAGTTGGGGAGATGGGAGCCCCGGGCTGAGGGAGTAGGAAGAGGGGGGAGAAGGTGGGGAGATGGGAGCCCCGGGCTGAGGGAGTAGGAAGAGGGGGGAGAACTTGGGGAGATGGGAGCCCCGGGCTGAGGGAGTAGGAAGAGGGGGGAGAACTTGGGGAGATGGGAGCCCCGGGCTGAGGGAGTAGGAAGAGGGGGGAGAAGTTGGGGAGATGGGAGCCCCGGGCTGAGGGAGTAGGAAGAGGGGGGAGAAGTTGGGGAGATGGGAGCCCCGGGCTGAGGGAGTAGGAAGAGGGGGGAGAAGTTGGGGAGATGGGAGCCCCGGGCTGAGGGAGTAGGAAGAGGGGGGAGAAGTTGGGGAGATGGGAGCCCCGGGCTGAGGGAGTAGGAAGAGGGGGGAGAAGTTGGGGAGATGGGAGCCCCGGGCTGAGGGAGTAGGAAGAGGGGGGAGAACTTGGGGAGATGGGAGCCCCGGGCTGAGGGAGTAGGAAGAGGGGGGAGAACTTGGGGAGATGGGAGCCCCGGGCTGAGGGAGTAGGAAGAGGGGGGAGAACTTGGGGAGATGGGAGCCCCGGGCTGAGGGAGTAGGAAGAGGGGGGAGAAGTTGGGGAGATGGGAGCCCCGGGCTGAGGGAGTAGGAAGAGGGGGGAGAAGTTGGGGAGATGGGAGCCCCGGGCTGAGGGAGTAGGAAGAGGGGGGAGAAGTTGGGGAGATGGGAGCCCCGGGCTGAGGGAGTAGGAAGAGGGGGGAGAAGTTGGGGAGATGGGAGCCCCGGGCTGAGGGAGTAGGAAGAGGGGGGAGAAGTTGGGGAGATGGGAGCCCCGGGCTGAGGGAGTAGGAAGAGGGGGGAGAAGTTGGGGAGATGGGAGCCCCGGGCTGAGGGAGTAGGAAGAGGGGGGAGAAGTTGGGGAGATGGGAGCCCCGGGCTGAGGGAGTAGGAAGAGGGGGGAGAAGTTGGGGAGATGGGAGCCCCGGGCTGAGGGAGTAGGAAGAGGGGGGAGAAGTTGGGGAGATGGGAGCCCCGGGCTGAGGGAGTAGGAAGAGGGGGGAGAAGTTGGGGAGATGGGAGCCCCGGGCTGAGGGAGTAGGAAGAGGGGGGAGAAGTTGGGGAGATGGGAGCCCCGGGCTGAGGGAGTAGGAAGAGGGGGGAGAAGTTGGGGAGATGGGAGCCCCGGGCTGAGGGAGTAGGAAGAGGGGGGAGAACTTGGGGAGAGAAGCAGGGAGAAGCCAAGGTAGCAGCGGCCCCAGAGGAGGGGTCGGCACGTCCAGGGCGAGTGGCATGAGGGTGAGGCTCAGCCGGGGGTCTCGGGGTTGCTGGGGAGGGGATCTTGGGAGGGGCTGTTGGGGGAGGAGTGGGGTCCTGGGGGCTGCCCTGCCCAGCCTGACCCATGTGCCCTTGTCCCTCCAGGAGATGGTAACCTGCACCTCAATGTGACGGCGGAGGCCTTCAGCCCCTCGCTCCTGGCTGCCCTGGAGCCCCACGTGTACGAGTGGACGGCCGGGCAGCAGGGCAGCGTCAGCGCGGAGCACGGAGTGGGCTTCAGGAAGAGGGACGTCCTGGGCTACAGCAAGCCACCGGGGGCCCTGCAGCTCATGCAGCAGCTCAAGGCCCTGCTGGACCCCAAGGGCATCCTCAACCCCTACAAGACGCTGCCCAGCCAGGCCTGACGGCCACTCCTGCTGCTGCCAAGGCCCACTGGGGGTCGGCGGGTGGCTCTCGGGCGGGGGTGTTGCGGTGGCTCTGAGGGATGAGCCGGCAGTGGGCAGGGGACCAGGCACCTGGTTGAAGGGACTGGGAGCCCGCACTGGGGAACTGCCGGACGCAGGCCCTCGGGCAGGAGCATCTGGCAGAGTGGGGGGCGTGGCAGGCACCCTCCTTTGCAGGGCGAGGTGGGGCCTCTGCAGCCATCCTGGACAGGCCGGGGTGGCGGCAGCTTTGCCCACGTGGAAGCGGGGTGGGTCTCACTTGCGTGGTGGCCCCTGGCCCCATCTTGCCTGCTGCGGCCTGGGGAGCAGGCGCTGGGTGGTGGTTCTGCCTGCTTGCTGCTCGTTCCCCGGGCATGCGTGGGCAGCGGGGGGCATGCGTGGGCAGCAGGGGGCGTGGGCAGCGGGGGCACGGGCAGGACCACGTGGGCCGTGATCGTGGGTTGCCGAGAGGACCTGAGCGCTGCGGCTCTGCTGAATGGAGCCGGGTCCCTCAGGCCGTGGACGCCCTCGGGAGGGGGGTGACTGTGGCTTGTGTCTGGACAGGAATGTGTCATTTCCCACATCTTCTAGAGGGCTGCCAGCTGGGAAGACAGTTATCAGGGCAAGCTGTGCTCTGAGTTTCGGGTTCTGCTCCTACAAAGAACGTGCGGTGCTGCGGGCGAGGGCCCCGGCACGGACAAGGGCCACTGCAGAGTGTGTTTCTGCTCGTCAGCTGCCCTGGGCAGCGGATGGGCTGGGCGATGCAGCTGGATGCACATCTCATTCTGTCATGAATGTCCAGTAAAAATCTGAATTGGTTGCAACCTTCTCTTTGCTTCTGTTACTGGAAAATCATCTTTCAGAGCCCATTGTGAAGGGCCTGTGCATCCCATTCCCACAGCCCCTGGACCACTGGGGCCATAGTGTGGCCGGGCCTGACACTACTGTGACTGTCACTGTGCCTCCTGTCCCCATGCACTGTCTGGTGGCAGCTGAGCTCCCACCGGCTGCACAGGGCAGGCCTGGACATGGAACGGGCAACTCATAACCCTTGGTGGCCCTGGAGGCCCTCAGCAGCTGGGCCTGACCGAGGTGTATCCACGGGCCCCTCCTGTCCCTGTGGGTGTCGAGGACCTCGGATCCTGCTCAGAGGGGGAAACATACCTCTGACCCGCTGCCCTGCAGAGCCCGCCTGCCTAGCCAGGGCCTCTGTGTGGACAGGCCACGTCCTCCTGGTGGAGGTCCTCGGGGGATGGGTGGGGGCCTTGGTCCAGCATGATTTTTTTTTTTTGAGACAGGATCTCACTCTGTCACCCAGGCTGGAGTGCAGGGGTATAGTCACAGCTCAGTGCAGCCTCCACCTCCTGGGCTCAAGTGATCCTCCCACCTCAGCCTCCTGAGTAGCTGGGAGTACAGGTGTGAGCCATCATGCCCAGATAATTTTTTTTTTTTTTTTTGAGACAGAGTCTTGTTCTGTCACCCAGGCTGGAGTGCAGTGGTGCGATCTTGGCTCACTGCAAGTTCCGCCTCCCGGGTTCACGCCATTCTCCTTCCTCAGCCTCCCGAGTAACTGGGACTACAGGTGTCCACCACCGTGCCCGGCTAATTTTTTGTATTTTTAGTAGAGATGGGGTTTCACCTTCTTAGCCAGGATGGTCTTGATCTCCTGACCTCATGATCTGCCCGCCTCGGCCTCCCAAAGTGCTGGGATCACAGGCATGAGCCACCGCACCCGGCCATGCCCAGATAATTTTTAAATTTTTTTTTTTGTAGAGATGAGGTGTCCCTGTGTTGCCCAGGCTGGTCTTGAACTCCTGGCCTCCAGCGGCCTCCCACCTCAGCCTCCCAAAGTGCTGGGATTACAGGCCCGAGCCTCTGCGTCCAGCCGATCCAGCATGCTTTGAAGGCACAAATCAGGGGCACTTTCATGCTGGCCCAGCAGAGCCAGTGGGTCCCGCCCAATGCCTGGGCTACTTCCTGCTGTGCCTGGGGGCACCTGGGGCTGTCCTGCCTCACTGGCCAAGGCCCGGCTCTGTCCCTGGGCTCTGGCCACTGTTCTGCCATCCCAGGCTGGGTACCCATGGGCAGCCCGACAGTATCTGTTGCACAGAGCAGACCCCAGGCCCCATGGGTGCCTGACACGAAGCCCCACAGCGTGTGCCCGCGTCCCCCGAGGTCAGCCGGCGGCTCCTGCCCTTCCCTCTGACCTCTGGTTGGGGGCCGGCCATTTTTCTGCTTGTTCCTCTAGCTCTGCTACTGGGCACATGGTCCGTGCTGGGTAGGCTGCAGGCCAGGGTGAGTTGCTGACCCGCTGACCCTGGCTGTGCACCTGCCCTCCTGCCCTGGGTGGCTGCTGCTGGCCCAGGGGTGACTTGGGGGCTTTCAAGCTTCTGCCCGTGCTGGCCGCACGACCCCACGTCCCACCCTGGGTAGGGACTTGTGATTCTCAGAGCTGGGGTCCGTTGCTTTCCTAAGGACCTCCGGCCCTGGTCGTGGTCTAAATGCTCACTCCTGTTGTTGGAGAGGCCAGCCGGGTGACAGGGAAAAGCCCAGAGCCCCGGGCTTCCCGTGAGGATCTGGGCTCAGCATGGGCTGTGGGGCTGCAGAGGCCTGGCCTTGCCTGCTGAGGGACACCCGCTGGTAGTGCCTGCAGAGGGGGGAGGAGGAATTCCTCCCCCTAGTGCCCTCTGGACCCTGGGAGAGCAAGACCTCTGCATCCACACTGCCTTCCGCTGGGCCTCTGGGGACTGGGGAAGCGGACACAGTCCAGGACTGTTGGAGGAGGAAGAGGCTGCGGCTGCTCTTCCCTGGGGGTCCGGCTCCAGGAGGCTGCGGTGACCGTTGGGCCGGAGCAGGCCAGTGCCGGGCACGTCCTGCCCATGACAGCCCTGCTGCCAGCCGTGGGCACTTGTTCCTGGAGCTCCGTGGCTGGGTCCTGCCGTCTCCGCTGCTGCCCTGCCCTGCCATGTTCACCTCCAGTTTATCCAGCAATGGGGAGAGGGGCTTCTTAGATCCCCCTCAGGCTTTTCTTTTGTGCCTTTAGATATGTGAAATACAACACAGCCAGGCAAAGCAGGTGCCGGTGAGACACCTGGCTGGCCCGAGCTGGCCCGAAGAACTGCCTGTCTGCCATGAGGAAAACCCACACTGCGTGGTGGCTGGGAGGCCAGGAGTTTTCACAAGCCGGAAACCTGTTAGATTTCTCTACCTGACAGCAGGAAAATCTGATGAGACCCGATCGCATCCAGGCAGGCCGTGTTCTCGCAGCCCGCGGGTTAACACAGACTCCGAGTGACTCCGACGCAGGAGAACGCGGCGAATCTGCGTGAGGCAGGCCACCAGCCTTGGTGCCCCGGAGACAGCTCCCCCAACGGCCATGTGACGGCGTTGAGTGTCCGTGGTCAGGTGTGTGTAAGAGACGCGCAGAGAATTCCACGCCGTCCCAACCTCCCAGCCGGAGGCTCTGACGAGGCCTGCAGCCACGCGGAAAGAGCAATGAGGAGCACGTGTGTGGGGAGGAAGGCGGGTTCTGGCCCCGTTCCTTCCGCAGCAGCTCCGGCCTGGCGGGTTCTGACGGAATTCTGCAGCGGCTCCAGCCAGGGTCGTCGGGGCGGGGTGGGTGCTCAGGGGCGGCCTTTGTGTTCGGATTAGAAGCTGGTGATTGTCACATTAAGACCTCTAAGCTGCTGCAATCTGAGAAGATGTTACACAACCAGGGCCCCTGAGCTGAGGCCAAGGAGGGGGCCAGGAGAGTGGTGGGAGGGGCCCCAGGCAGGGCCAGAGCTGCCTGTGTACAGCAGGGGAGAGGGGAGAAGGGGTGGGCCGGGTGGTCTCAGCCCCAGGGAGAGTGGAGTGCCCGCCCCTCCCCTCCCCCAGGACGGCTGGCCCCTGGGAGAGCCCCTGGGGGAGCCAGTTTCCTGTAAGCAGAAGGGCAAGTGGTTGGGACCCAGAGGTGTCTGACAGTTGTGGACTTAGAGCCCAGAGGAAGGGTTTGGGGTTTGGGGCTCCTGGGACGCCGCAGGCCCCTGAGGACGTCCATCAGGATCCTGGCAGTGTGGAGGTGTAGGGTCCAGCCCTACGGGGCTTAGCGGGTGTTTTCCCTGTGTGTGGAGATGAGGGATTGTAATAAATAAAGACACAAGATAAAGAGAGAAAGAGAAAGCAGCTGGGCTCTGGGGACCACTACCATCAAGACGCGGGGACCAGTAGTGGTCCCAGAGGGCTAGGCCCACTGATATTTATTGCATACAAGACAAGGGGGCAGGGTAAGGAGGGTGAATCTTCTCAGTGATTGACAAGGTGAAGTAAGTCATGTGATTACAGGATAGGGGGCCCTTCCCTTTTAGGTAGCCGAAGCAGAGACGGAAGGCAGCAAACGTCAGCATTTTCTTCTCTGCACTTATAAGAAAGATCAAAGACTTTAAGACTTTCACTATTTGTTTTACCGCTATCTGCTACGAACTTCAAAGAGGAACCAGGAGTACAGGAGGAGTATGAAATGCAACAAAGAGTAATATTAAAAGCTAATGATTAATAATGTTTATAATAATGATTGATAATTGTCCATGATCATCTCTATATCTAATTTGTATTATGACTAATCTTATTCCAACTATTTTCTTTATTATACTGAAACAGTTTGTGCCTTCAGTCTCTTGCCTCGGCACCTAGGTACTTTCGCCCACATGGAGGCAGAGGTGACAGGCGTACAGGGCAGTGTGTCTGGACCCAGATGGCAGGCACGTTAACGACCAGTGACCAGGGCTCTGCCCACCTGGCCCGGCGCGTTGGCCCCCCAGCGATGTGGCTTCACGCCGGCTGCTTTCCTGAGCGCTCGGGGTTTAGGTCCTGTTCTGCTGCCTCTGAGCACCTGTGACCTGAAAAGGCCCTACCCTCGGCCTGGGTCCCTTGGGGTGCCACTGACCTTCTGGGACCCTGAAGCTGCCTGTGTGGTAGGCGTGTCCACCCCCACACCCACCCAAACGATGCAGAGGAGTGAAAAATGATTCCTCGAGGAGCTGGTCCAGGGCCGGGCGCGGTGGCTCACACCTGGAATCCCAGCACTTTGAGAGGCCGAGGTGGGAGGATTGCTTGAGCCCAGGAGTTTGAGAAGAGCTTGGGCACACATGGTGAGACTCTGCCTCTACAAAAAATTAAACATAGCCAGGCGTGGTGGCATGCACCTAGAGTTCCAGCTACAGGAGGCTCTTACAGGGGAGGAGGGACAAGCCTGAGCTCAGGAGGTCGAGGCTGTGGGGAGCCCCACGTGACTACACCACTGCACTCCAGCCTGGGTGACAGAGCGAGACCCTCTCTGGAAAAATAAAAAGGAGCTGGTCAGGGAGGCCGAGAGCAAATAGCTGCTAGAATGTGGCGCTGCCTGGGACGGGGAGGGCTGGGGGCCCTTGGGGTGGACCAGGAGCCTGAGTTGAGGGTTAGGGGCAGGTGGAGGGGCTGGGAAGCTCGGGGCTGTCTTAGGAGAGCCCTCCTGACACCTAGGCCCTGGGCCGGGTTCCTCCTGGTGGAACATCACAGACCTGAGCCCTCCCACTCACTTTTCCTTGGACCCCACAGGCAAGGAGCTGGGGCGGCTGTCTGCTCCCAGGCTGAGGCCCCGGGACGGGCCCCTCCTCGCTTTGTTAGCCGGTTAGACCCAGGGCGGGCGCAAGCCCTTGGCAGTGCTCCCCAGCACTGCCCCTTGGACCTCAGGGGTGTGGGGAGGACAGACCAGGGCAGGACCCAGGAGGCCACAAGGGCTGGTGGGGGTCATGGTCCTGGCAGCCCCAGTCAAAGGCTCTGCCCTCCTGCACCCACCCCCAGAGGGGGATCCTCTCGAGGGAGCATGGGCCCTGTCTCCCCACCTGCCCTTCTGGGAGATCAAGAGTTGCTGTGAAGTTTCTAGAACAGTGCCCGGCCTGGCGGACGGGCACGGAGGTGCCTCCTGGGTGTGCCCGGGTGCGGCCTGACAGGGCTGGGGTCCTGTTGGGTTGTGGGCAGGTCCTCAGACGGCCTCCTGGCTCCTGCCTCGCCCCTCCCCACAGGCCCTGTGCCAGCGGCTGTGCAAACAGAGGCCAGGAAGCGAGGTGATGCTCCCTTTGTTTCTGGCAGAGTGTGTGGCACCTGGAGCTACCTTCCGGGTTCCATGGCCCTGGGGCCCTGGGGCCCTGGGGACAGGGAGGGAATGGGATGCACAGCGGCCAGGGGTGTTCAGCGTCACCGGTGGAAGGGGTGAAACCTGTTCTTCCTGGTGGTGAGGGTTTGCCCCTTGACTCCGGAAAGCAGAGACCGTGGAGCAGGGCCCACTTCAAAGCACAGTGCTGGGGGCTGTGGCCTCGGCCCTCTGTGGACGTGGGCGGATGGGTGGCCCTGGACTGGTGAAGGACTGGCCGGGAGTTCTGTAGGGCCCCCACCTCCTGCCAGCGCCCAGCCCACAGTCGACCACTGCCTGCCCGGGGCAGGAGACTTCCTTCCTGCAGCCCCGGACCCGGGATCTGAGACCTAGAAGCTGACTCCATCCTTTGACTGCTCTGTTCTGAGCTAGGCCACCCCTGCCCCTGCCCCGAGGTGGCCCTGGGCTTGCCCGCCCGCCTGCAGTGTCGGCTGAAGAGGGTAACGTGCGTGCGCCCCGGCTGCTCCCGGCTGCTCCCGGCTGCTCCCCGGCTGCTCCCCGCTGCTCCCGGCTGCTCCCCGGCTGCTCCCCGGCTGCTCCCCGCTGCTCCCGGCTGCTCTCGGCTGCTCCCGGCTGCTCCCCAGCTGCTCCCCACCGGCCTTGGGTCTGGTGGGTGTGGCCCTCCTAGTGGGACCAGGCCACACACTGGAGCACATGGGCACGGCAATGCCAATGCCGATGGAGGCGGGTTCCTGGGCATGTGGACCTGTCCCTTACTCGAAGCAGCTGAGGGGCCTCCAGCCAGCCCCGTCCGCACCCCAGGGGTTAGGGCTCTGCCATGGGGGCGTGGGCATCTGCTCTGACAAACAACGTGTGCATTTGATTGGTGTTCCTGAGTCACCGTGGACCAGGCAGGCTGCCAGAGCGGCTGATTCTTAGCGGGGAGCTGGGGCCGGGCAGACACCCTGACTCCCTGGGGCTCCCAGCAGGGCCCCACTGGCAACAGGCAGCCTCCTCCCTCTGGCCGCCGGGCCTCCGTCCCTTTCCCAGCCTGGGGCTGGGACCACCGCTCCACACCACACTGCACTGCCCTTGTCTGCCCCAGCAGGGGGTGAAGGTGGCTGGTGGCTGAGGACCCCCTGCCCAGGCCCACACTTCTTGCTCAGGCCCCATAAGTCACTTGGGATCTGGAGAGCTGGGGACTTTGACCTGGGAGGGAGGCATCTGGTCGTGACCCTCAGGCGTGTGTAGGGAGGTGCCTGGCCGTGACCCTCAGGCGTGTGTCCCTGGCAGGTTGCTCTCCACCGGCCCCACCGTTTGTAACACATGGCTCGGCCAAGGTGATTCTGGGGTAAGGACCCATGAGGCGCCATCTTCTTTGTTCCTAGGCTGAGCCTGTGGTGCCCTGGGCAGGGTGGGTGGAGGAAGCAGCAGGGAGGCTCCTTAATGGTGGAGTGAACACCCACACGGATGTCTCTGGATAGTGGAATGCGGAGGATGCAGGGCACGCCGGTGGAGAGCTGCCCAGCCGTGCCAGCAAGGCCCCGGCATCCCTCCCACCTGCCGTTAGCACCGGGAGCTGCTCTGCTGGCCCCTCCCACAGACTCGGGCTCTGGAGGTCTACAGAGCAGCTGGGAGGGTGATGCCTAGGCGGGGGCGGAGATGCCAGGCCCCTGGGCTGCAGGTGGAGGTAAATGGGGAAGGGAGGCTGGGGGTCTCTGGGCCTTTCGCCAGCAGCCGCCCAGCCCAGGGTCTCTGATGCCAGGGAGGTCCATGTGTGCTCGGCCCCTCCTCTGAGCCCCTCAGCCCAGCCTTGTTTCTGCCTCCATGGCTATGGGGCCTGCACCCATCCGAGCCAGGCACTGGCTAGGGCAGGGAGGCTGCCTTGGGCTGGGGCCAGTCCCGGAATCCAGGCTCAGCTGGCACCGACAGGGAGGGGTTGTGGGAAGGTGACCAGCCGTGTGGAGAGCTTGGCGTCGGAGGGCATGGTGGGCACCAGCGCTGGTGGGATGTGGCGAGGGTGGTGGTGACTCATGGCGCGTGGCCCGTAGCTCTGAGGAGCATTTGCGTTTTCCTGTGGATTCACTGTAGCGCCTGGTCACAATGTTGCAGCATTTCCCTGGCTGCTTGTCTCGGAATTAATATCTATTTCCTGAAAAGAGAAATGAACTTTCTTGCAGTAAAATCTAAACAAATATTTATATTTATTTTCCACCTCCATGTCCTGTTTCAAACTTATTGTCCAGCCCAAGATTTTAAAAAGTCAGATTTTCTTTTGGTGTGAAGCAGGCTCAGGAGGAGGAGGAGGGGGAGGAAGAAGAGGAGGACGAGGAGGGGGAGGAAGCTGGGAATTGGGCTGAGCTTTCCTCGCTCATCCTTGCAGTGGCCACAGGGCCCTCTGCCCTCTCGTCTGCGTCAGGTCCTGAGTTCTGAGTCCAGAAGCCGTCGCTGTGCTGTTGGAGCCCACCAAGCCCGTCCCTTGTGGGGACAGCTCCCTCCAAGCCCCCCGGGGGGATGGACACTGAGGGTGGGGCAGGGGAGCAGGGGTAGGCCCCAGGCAGGTCCTCCCAGGGCCTGGGGAACACAGGGGCCCATCGAGGGCTCCCCAGACTCCCTCAGCCAGTTCTTCCCGAGAACAGAACAGTTAAAACCAAGCCCTCCGATGGAGGTGCGGGGAGAGGGCGTGGCTCCCGTCCCAGGAGGCAGGTGAGCTTCTGGGGATTCCAGTTCACCTGCCCCACAGCCGCACCCTGCCTGTGCCTGCACCCTGGGGAGCCCAGAGCCGGCAGGGGCCGAGGCGGTGGGACCTCGGGGGAGCTCAAGCCTCGACTGTCCCCTCGCTGGAGGCCAGAGGCCAAGATGATGTCCATGCTGGGCGGCTTGCAGAGGTAAGGGGGGCAGTTGGACCCCCCAGGTGGACAAAGCGCTTCATCTGTGGCTATTCTGAGAGACGGACAGGAGTGGGTTTTGTTTGTCTTTCGAAGGAAGTGACTTGGATTTGGAGGCTGTTCCTACTCAGGCTTCCCTGAATTCACCTGTCTTGGCTTCGTTTCGGAAGTAGGGGGCCCCTCCTGCCCAGGCCTGGTGCTGCTTCTGGGTGTTTGGGGGTTCTGGGATGTGGGGCCCAGTGAGAAAGCTGCCCCCCAACACTGTGGCGTGGAGACGCTCGAGTGTCCGCGTGACGGCTGGGGAGGGTGAGACCTGCTGGGCTTGGGACCTCCCAGCCTCGGTCTGCGGCTCAGGCCCATGGCTGGGCCGTGTTGGTGGGAGTGCCAGGCGCTTGCTGGAGCGTTGGTCATGCGTGCGCTTCAGGATGCTCCCGGGGCTCTGGGTGGTGACGGGGAGGCTGGGCTCTGCTGTGCTGTCTCCCTTCTGTAAACAGAGGGGAGGTGGATTTCTTCCCAGTTAGGTTTGGAGGGGTGGTGGGTGTGGCTAAGGATGCCTTGCGTTTTCCTTCTCCTGCTCGCCATCCTGTTTGGGGTGATTCCAGGGCAGTTTGAAGCCGTCCCTGCGCTGGCAGGTCCCTGCCTCCCCGGGGCGTGTGCCGCCATGAATTCAGTTACCTTCCTTTAAGGGGTGACTTAAGACCAGCTGCCAGGACACTGGCTGAGGACACCCCGTCACAGGGCTGAGAGGTGTGGGGCCGGCTGCCTGGCCTGGACCATCCTAGATGCCCCCTCCTGTGGACATTGTGACCATATTGTGAAGAAGAGGCCCAGGGGCTGGGGAATCAGGCTCACTTGATTAGCTGGTGGCCAAGCTAGGGCCCCCCTGGCTGCCCTGGGGCCCCCCGAGGTCGGCCAGGGCGGGTGTGCCTGACCCCAGCTGAGACTCTGTGGGTGAGACATGGGAGGCATTGCAGCCGAAGGCCCTCGGGGAGCCCAGGGCACAGGCTCCTCAGCTGCTGGTCTCACTGCCTGGCAGGATGGGCTCACTGCAGCAGCCCATGCAGGCTGCACGTCCCACACTAAGGCCAGGGAGCTTTGGCTCCGGGTGTCCCAGGCTTCATTGAGCACGGCCTGCAGGAGGGAAGCCCCGAGTCACTTCCCCACAGCCCTGGACAGCAGCCTTCCTGAGCCTCGCATTTATTTTCCTGGGGTTGGGCAAGTGTGGGAGGCTCACCTCGCTTGTGTCAGCTTGCTTGGCCTGTGGGTGGAACAAATCAACAGCCCTGGGGACAAAGGGGACGGTAGTGTGTGGTGCCACTGGCACCCACCTGGGTGATTCAAGGAGCTGCCCAGAACAGAGGAGAGACTTTGCCTGCGCTAGTGAGGCCTAGTCTTGACCACCGGCCACGGGAAATCCAGGCCGCCGGGCAAAGTGCTCACTTGGATGCTTGCTGATCTTTTGTTTTGCTGGTGATGATTCAGGCACAAAACTCTGAGCTATGGCACTTGGGGGTGTTGCCTCCCTGGGGTGTGGCCAGGTATCTTTGGGGAGGAGGGGACTCATGATCAGAGAAGATGTGGTACAGAGCCCATGGGGGTCACCATGCCGGTGTGAACCCCCAAAATCTGAGACAGGTCTCGGTTAATTTAGAAAGCTTACTTTGCCAAGGGTGAGGACGTGCACCCATGACCCAGCCTCAGGAGGTCCTGATGACGTGTGCCCAAGGTGGTCAGGGCACAGTCTGGCTTTATACATTGTAGGGAGACATGAGACATCAGTCCGCATATGCAGGACGAACATTGGTTCGGTCTGGAGAGGCAGGACGGCTCGAAGCAAAGGCAGGAAGACTCCAAGTGGGGAGGGGACTTCCAGGTCACAGGCAGGTAAGAGACAAATGGTTGCATTCTTTTGAGTTTCTGATGAGCCTCTCCAAAGGAGGCAGTCAGATACGCATTTATCTCAGTGAGCAGAGGGGAGACTTTGAATACAATGGGGGGCAGGTTTGCCCTGAGCAGTTCCCAGCTAGACTCCTCCCTTTAGCTTGTAGTGATCTGGGGGCTCAAGATCTTTTCCTTTCACATTTCCCCCCATTTTCTCTTTAAAATCTTGGAGAAAGCTCTCCAAGATTTTAGAAGAAAATGAGTCTCTGGTCCCAGGTTTTGTCTTATCTCTCATGGCTAGGATAGTTTATTTCTAGACGGGCAGGTCCTGAGTTACTAGGAAAGCTCATTTTTTTTTTTTTTTTTTTTTTTTTTTTTTTTTTTTTGAGACGGAGTCTCGCTCTCTCTCCCAGTCTGGAGTGCAGTGGAGCGATCTCGGCTCACTGCAAGCTCCGCCTCCCGGGTTCACGCCATTCTCCCGCCTCAGCCTCCCGAGTAGCTGGGACTACAGGCGCCCGCCACCTCGCCCAGCTAATTTTTTGTATTTTTAGTAGAGATGGGGTTTCACCGTGTTAGCCAGGATGGTCTCCATCTCCTGACCTCGTGATCCGCCGGCCTTGGCCTCCCAAAGTGCTGGGATTACAGGCGTGAGCCACCGTGCCCGGCCCTGGGAAGTTCATTTTTTAGCAGGTTGTGAAGTGTCAAGTCCTAGGAAGACAAAATAGGAGAAGGAAGGAGAAAAACAACAACAAAGAAAAGAGCAATCCTGGAAAATCGATACAGGCCACACTACTCTGAAGTCCAAACATCAGTAGGCAAACATGAAAGTGGCTTATGTGGCCGGGCGCGGTGGCTCACACCTGTAATCCCAGCACTTTGGGAGGCCGAGGCGGGCGGATCACCTGAGATCAGGAGTTTGAGAACAGCCTGACCAACATGGAGAAACCCCGTCTCTACTAAAAAATACAAAATTAGCCGGGCATGGTGGTGCATGCCTGTAATCCCAGTTACTCAGGAGGCTGAGGCAGGAGAATTGCTTGAACCTGGGAAGCGGAGGTTGCGGTGAGCCGAGATCGTGCCATTGCACTCCAGCCTGGGCAACAAGAGCACAATCCCGTCTCAAAAAAAAAAAAAGTGGCTTATGTATGTAAATAGATTGCTGTTATTTTCTTCTGAAGTTTAAGTTGTCTAGCTTATTCCAAATTAGGAAAAATGGGAAAAAAAGAAAAAAATGCAAACATTATTTTGAAGACTTGTAGCCAAGAAAAATTAGAATTCAGTCCAAACTGCAGAAAATAGTAAAAATTGAAAAACATTAGGCAAGACTAGAATCTAACAACAGGTGTACTATAGTTTTTGAAAGATAATTTTTTGGTTGGGTGTGGTGGCTCACATCTGTAATCCCAGCACTTTGGGAGGCCGAGGTGGATGGATCATGAGGTCAGGAGTTTGAGACCAGCCTGGCCAACATGGTGAAACCCCATCTCTACTAAAAATACAAAAATTAGCTGGGCATGATGGTGGACGCTTGTAATTCCAGCTACTCAGAAGGCTGAGGCAGGAGAACTGCTTGAACCTGGGAGGTGGAGGATGCAGTGAGCTGAGATTGCACCACTGGACTCCAGCCTGGGTGACAGAGCGAGACTGTCTCAAAAAAACAAAATGACAACAAAAAAGAAACATAATCTTTTCTCTCTCCAGTTTCCCATTTTTACTAAAGACAAGTCATGGTAGGACTGGTTTGCTTTATTATGCTTGGCCTAATTATTTGTATACAGTGCAGCAAGAATAATTACTTTTTACATAGGCTTTTAAATTGGCTTTGATGGAACATTGATCCATAGGAGGAATCTCAGATAAGACTTTTTTAAAGCTGAGCCCAGCCACGAATTTGTGCCATTAAATATCTGTGAGTTGGGTGATCCTCTCCTCTTGAGGATCCAAGATAAACTTGGGGCTCCTGGACATGTCAGAAAGTGATATTCTTTACTTGCCACAGGTCAGGAACCCTGTTCGGGGACTCTGTAGACAAAAGTATGAGGCCAGTTTTTCCAAGGGGCATTTATTGGGTCCGTAAGTCAAGTTTGATTCCTTAAAGGAAAGCTCACCGTTCCAGTCAGTCTTGGTAAAATAACCAGTTTCTCCAATTGTGTCATGTTACAAATGAAAACAGATTCTTATTGCACTTATGCAAATAACTGTATTGTCATAAATTAAGAATGCTCACAGATAGTTTCCAAATTCTGGATAAATCAGGTAGAGAGAAACAAATATGCTTGAAATTTTGTTCACAGGAGTATACTTTACTCAATTCTTAAAAGCTGTAATAACTTAAAAGTTTTCTTAACTCTAAAAAACAAAACAAAGGATCAGCAATGTTTTACGAAAAACGTTAAAAAGATTACTTTAGTCTTCTGTCAGTTCAGTTTACACAGTTAACTCCTGTTCTGCTTGATATTCATGAACATTTCAGCTCTCCATGAGAGTCCTGAAAATTTTTTCCTCTATTCTGATGACACAGTCTCCAACGTTATCAGAACCCTGTATTTAAGAACACCTGTTAGAGTTCTATAGCTGATTATAAAACCACCGTAAAGAGGACCAAAACAAGACAACAATTGCCTGTGGATGATAAAAAGTTTTAGGACAGCCATAGTCAAAGACACAATTGACAAGGAAATTTGTTACCTTTGTGGCACAGTATAATTTAACATAAGAATTATAAATATTATTGATAACATACATTAAATTATATCAGAATTATAGGAGTTTCCCATAATTTTGGTACACATACCAATAACATATTTATACAAATACAGCCTAAAGAAAACCAAATACCATTTCATACTTGACAATGCTTCCTGTATAACTTTTATACCAAATAAGCCAAACTATGTCGTTTTTGGACTTTAGCAAACCTAATGTCTTAAAGGATTAATTAGGTCAGAAAAAGACGTAATTTATAATTTGATTTTGGAAAGTTTGTCAAGTATCAAAGGTTTAAAACACTTTATATCACAAAACAGGATCATTCATTTAACCAAGGTGGTAACTCAAGGATTTCAAAAAAGGCAAAAGCCTTCATTCTTTGAGAGAGGTGACTTAGTGTTCCAAACAATAAGCCCTAATAAAAACAGCATGAAGCCAATTTAATTTGCTTTTCAAAATTTTATAAATGATCTATAACATTTTAATCTTGATCATAAGATACAACTTCCATAAGCCTTTGTAACTTTTATTTAGGAGTTGGTTGATGCTTCAAGAAAACCTTGTTAATCTGGCACAGGCCCATATGCTGGTCTTGCATCAGTGTGTCTTTGACGTTAATGATTAATTTATAGAGAAACAACTTATTTTATCTCTCAAAATCAGCCCTTATAATCTCACAAGCCTACCTCTTCTGTGATTGTCCCTGGGCCTTGTGGAGTTAGATAGCTTTATTTATTTTATTTTATTTTATTTTTATTTATTTATTTTTGAGATGGAGTCTCGCTCTGTTGCCCAGTCTGGAGTGCAGTGGTGCAATTTCAGCTCACTGCAACCTCCACCTCCTGGGTTCAAGCTATTCTCCTGCATCAGCCTCCGGAGTAGCTGGGATTACAGGCACTCACCACCATGCCTGGCTAATTTTTGTATTTTTAGTAGAGATGGAGTTTCACCATGTTGGCCAGGCTGGTCTTGAACTTCTGACCTCAGGTGATCCATGTGTCTTGGCCTCCCAAAGTGCTGGGATTACAGGTGTGTACCACCATGCCTGTCCCCGAGGGGTTGAATAGCTTTAATTTCTGACTCTGTGTTTCAATAATGCAGTTTATTTTGATTGGCATCTTCTACTGGGGCTTTAATTGCTGTCAGTGTTTAAAATATAGCAGGACTTGGTGTCCTTTTTACACCCAGGAGTCAATGTCCTGTAATTCAGTGTCACAAGTACTTTAAAAGTGCATACAGAGAGATACGTGGATGGAATAACCTTAATTTAAAAATGTTTAAGGCTGGGTATGGTGGCTCACACCTGTAATCCCAGCATTTTGGGAGGCTGAGGTGGGTGGATCACCTGAGTTCAGGAGTTCAAGGCCAGCTTGGTCAACATGGTGAAACCCTGTCTCTACTAAAAATGTAACAAATTAGCTTCGTATGGTGGTGGGTGCCTGTAATCCTAGCTACTTCGAGGCTGAGGCAGAAGAATCGCTTGAACCCGGGAGGCAGAGGTTGCAGTGAGCCGAGATTGTGCCACTGCACTCCAGCCTGGGCAACAAAAGTGAAACTCCATCTCCAAAAAAAAAAACCCACACAAAAAAAGTTTAATCTCAATTTTTTTTCCTAAGGAAACCAAAACTTAATAATAATATGACAACTTGATCATATAAAAGTTTTTGTGTTTGTTTTTTTAAATATAATTCCTCTTATTGTGACTTACATAAACCATTCATTACATGTTTGGATTTTCTCGTTTGTCCTGAACTTCCCTGCATCTTAAACAACCAGTCATTTTACTCTAGGACTAAATTTACCATACAAGATTCTTTCTAATATGAAATTATTTCCCTTTAAGCTTTCTTACCAAAAAATCCTCTGTATTGTTATAACTTTCTATCTTGTTTCGTACATAAACTTTAAGCTTTGAATTAGACAAAAATTATTCACCTTTTTAAAAGGATACCATTTTTTTTAGCAAGAATGTTTTCCTTCAATATATTTTTATTGGAAAATATCCAAATATGAAATATCTATTATCTAATTTAATATAACTTTAGATTCTAAATTATGACGTTTGTCTGCAAGTATTTATTCTAATACATTTACCTAATTATTTTATTTTAATCATTTACTTATTTATGAAAACTGTGATATTCATCATTTAACGTTATGAAACTGCTCTTGCAAAATTATAACTGAGACAGTAAAAAACATCTGCCCTAACTGACTCCTTGTTGCTTCTAACCTCCAGGCCATCCTTGTTCATTCCTGGTTGGAGGCTGAACTAACTTTGGGAGGAACGAACTTAGTTTATAGTTTAGTTTTGAAACAAAAATGATAAGAGCCCTTTCCCAAAACAAACCTCCTTACTGCCTGTGGACTAGACTGTCTAAAGCCACAGGATTAGAATTTATGGTAATCTTACTAAATTCAAGCTGTAGCTATGGATCATTAAACAAATATTAATGTCTTCTTTTTTTTTTTTTTTTGAGATGGAGTCTTGCTCTCTTGCCCAGGCTGGAGTGCAGTGGTGCAATCGCAGCTCACTGCAACCTCCGTCTCCCGGGTTCATGCCATTCTCCAGCCTCAGCCTCCCGAGTAGCTGGGACTACAGGTGCTCACCACCACGCCCGGTTAATTTTTTGTATTTTTATTAGAAACGGCATTTCACCGTGTTAGCCAGGATGGTCTCGATCTCCTAACCTCGTGATCCACCTGCCTCGGCCTCCCAAAGTGCTGGGATTACAGGCGTGAGCCACCATGCCCGGCCTAAAGTCTTCTTTATTAAAGATTACACAAATAAAGACCATTCTGTTTTGGGCTGCCTTTATAGTTTTGCAACCCCTATGCCAAATTTTGACACCTTATATTATTTGGCAGAGATAAGTAGGAAATTGCTTGATTAACAAATGCAAACAAAAATGGATGCTGGCAAATTCTTAAGACATTTCTAGTATTATTTTACCAATGATTTAAAATCCAGCGTATTAAAGATTTGACTTAAGTGGTGTGAACTTGAAGGGCATTTGACTAGTCTTTTTTCTTTAGTATCTAAGTACTTTTATTTTTTAAGCCAATTAATTGAGCTCCTTTATATATTTTTACTAGTGAAACATTGTGTACACAACACATAAATACATAGACATATTAGGCACACTGATAGAAGTACATCTTACTGATTTATAAAGACTTTTTCTTTCTTTATCTCAGACTTTCAGATTCTTAATAACCTGTTTCAGAACCCTAGGCAGTTGTTAGCTAGTCTTAAATTTGCATATTAAAGGAAACAACTCTGGTGAAAATCAAATAGCAAAATTTACAACATATGATATGGAGAGAACAAGTCTGGTGTGCTAGAGGGAGGTTAAAGATGGATGCCAAATCAAACATAAAATTATAAAAATCTACCATTGGATTATATAAGGAGACCAATTTTATTTAGACAGGGACTACCTATATTGTAACTGGACCTGAGCTCTGGGCAGAGCCCACACTGAATCCTGGGTTTCCAAAAAGGGAGAATTATTATGAGGCTGGATCATGTGATGCTTTTACAGTGCACTTAATTTTTTTTTAAACAAAGACGTTTCTAAGTGTCTAAACTACACTCTTCTGTAAAAACCCAAGAGTAGCCTGTTTCAAATAACTATTTTAGTCAATAAATCAGGTAACACAATACAAAAGCAAGCAGTTTAAAAGCTAAGACAGCCCACGTGTGGTGGCTCACGCCTGTAATCCCTGCATTTTGGGAGGCCGAGGTGGGTGGATCACCTGAGGTTAGGAGTTCGAGACCAGCCTGGCCAACATGATGAAACCTTGTCTCTACTAAAACTACAAAAAATTAGCCAGGCGTGGTGGTGGGCACCTGTAATCCCAGCTACTCAGGAGGCAGAAGCAGGAGACTCGCTTGAACCTGGGAGGCAGAGGTTTATTGAGCTGAGATTGCACCACTGCACTCCAGCCTGGGCAACAAAGATGAAACTCCGTCTCAAAAAAAAAAAAAAAAAAAGCTGAGACGAACTTGTCTGTTTACACATTTGGGGTTCCATGGGAACCCAAAGGGAGTCTGGCACCTTCTTGGTTTTCTTTAAGGAACCCCAGTCTCTTATAAACTATTTTAGGTCTCTCGTGCAGCAGAGGGTGCAAGATAAAGGAGAGACAGCAGAAGTAAATAAAGAAAAACAGACCTCAGTCAACTGAGAAAAAACAAAAAACTTTTGCTCAAAAAAAGGACAAGGTCCTAGGAGAGACAAAAAACCCAAAAACATGAAGAACATGAAGAAGGCCTTTTAAATACACACACACACACACACACATCCCTTGGATGTTAGCTTTTAATTAAGCTGACTTTAACAGTTGAGCTCCTTTAAAAAAATGTTTTTAAATCTCATTACCATATTTCACCTGCGACAAATTGCTGCTGTTTCAGAAATACAGACATTGCTCTTTCAATTTGGTCTGGCTAGCAAAAAGGTGGTCTTGTTATGTAAATAAAGTCCCTTTAGTAGTCAAAATAAAAAATATTTCCTCTTTTTTTTTCTTTTGGCTGGCATCTTTCTCCCCCACCACACACCTTTTGTGTGTGTGTGTGTGTGTGTGTGTGTGTGTTGGGGGGGATCTTAACCATCTGAGAGGTCTTGTTCCCAATAATTTGGAACTTTTCTTCAGATTTGATAAAGTTGGATAGAGTTGGTCAAACCCAATGGGAAAAAGACTGAAAAAACAACAAAAACAGAGACAAACAACAACAACAACAAACAGTTCAGTAAAACAAGCAATCACACAACTATATGATTCCTGAGTGCTCTAATGGTAAGGAGAAATTAAGACCAGCTGGTTGATAACTTTAGCCAAGACAGAACCCCAATTCGGCTACTTAACCTAGGGATGGGTCTCAGGCTGATACTCTCTACCATCTTAGAAGCAGGAAAAAAAGAAAACCTCATCTTCCCTGTTGGAAACAATCTCAAACTCCATAAAGGAGTTACCTGCCTTCCATCGTCATGGAAGCAGGAGAACTGGCCCTCCTTGTTGGAAGCAAGTAAAACTCCAAAAAAATAGGGAGTTGTACAGCAAAATAAACTTTAGATCTTGACCAAATTTTGGGAGATCAGGGATTTTTTGGAGGGGGTGCTCCCAGACCTCAGCAAATTGTCCTATTGGTTTGAGCCATAAAGTTAGCTCATGTCAGTACCAAGCTCCGATAGGAGGTTTGCCAAAGGTCAGGGACATCTCCACCCAGAATCCCTCCATGGTTACCGAAATGCAAACCCTGAAAATTTGAGATAGGTCTACAAAAGGAAAATATCTTGGGCCCCTGAAATCACTAAGCTAAAGCAAAATGTCAAACTGGGAACTGCTTAGGGCCAACCTGCCTCCCGTTCTCTTCAAAGTCTCCCCTCTGCTCACTGAGACAAATGCATATCTGATTGCATCCTTTGAAGAGGCTCATCAGAAACTCAGAGAGGGTAATCAGAAACTCAAAAGAATGCAACTGTTTGTCTCTTATCTACCTATGACCTGGAAGCCCTTCCCTGCTTCAAGTTGTCCCATTTTGCTTCTAGTTGTCACACCTTCCCAGACCAAACCAATGTTCATCTTGCATATGTTGATTGATGTCTCATGTCGCCCTACAATGTATACATAAAAAAAAGCTAAGCTGTGCTCTGACTACCTTGGACACATGTGGTCAGGACTTCCTGAGGCTGGCAAACAAATGCGCATCGTCAACCTTGGCGCAATAAGCTTTCTAAATTAACTGAGACGTGTCTCAAATTTTTAGGTTCACATTTTGGTAACCACAGAGGGATTCTGACCTTTGACAAATCTATTGGTGCTTGGTATTGGCATGAGCTAACTTTATGGCTCAAATCAATAGGATAATTTGCTGATGTCCGGGAGCACCCCCTCCAGAGACTCCCTAATCTCCCCAAATTGGTCAAGATATAAAGTTTATTTTGCTGTACAACTTCTCCTCCTTTTTTTTTTTTTTTTTGGAGTTTTACTTGCTTCCAACAAGGAGGGCCAGTTCTACTGCTTCCATGACGATGGAAGGCAGGTAACTCCTTTATGGAGTTTGAGCTCACTTCCAACAGAGAAGATGAGTTTCTTTTCCTGCTCTAGGATGGTAGAGAGCTGTTTTCAACCTGAGACCCTTCCCTAGGTAAGTAACTGAACTGGGGTTCTGTCTTGGCTAACGTGACAACCAGCTGGTCTTAATTTCTCCTTTCCGTCAGAGTGCTCAGTGATATATTGTTGGGGATTTTGTTGTCGTTGTTTGTTCTTGTCTTTCTCTAATTGGATTTGACCAACTCAGCCTGACTTGGTCAAATCCGAGTGAGAATTCCAAATTGTGGGTAACAAGGCCTCTCTAATTTGGCTAAAATTCCTTGCAGCTGCAAAGGGGGAAGAACGATCAAACATAAAACCACGTGTTTGCTTTCTGTCTTAAAAAAGCAATTGTCCCTTCATTTACTTTTCTTCCACCCCATACCTCCTTCCCCCTTTGCCATCTCCAGTACCAAGGACTCTAGAGAAGGCTTCTAATGACTTGAACCCCTTTAAATAATTCAGAACAAGGGCACCACTCACCGCTTTTGGGGTGTTCTGTCTTCATTGTGGAGTTTCAAGAGTCATGGGCAGGTTCTTCTTAGGTCTAAAGCTCTGTTTTCCTGTATTGCATTACCTGACCTCTTTGGCTTTGGGGGGTACCATAGATGACCTTGCACTGTGAGAGGATTTGACCTCGGCGTGTATAATGGCAGATGAGAGCTACAAAGTTATGGGTGGCTGAATACAGTTTACAGGAAGTGGTCTTGGCTGTATTTTTTTTTTCTTTTCTCTCCTAGGAGGTTGTTGTTTAAGGATCCTAATTCTAGTTTGAAGATGCATTCTAAAGGGTCTTCTTTATTGCTTTTCTCCCAACATTAATCTCAGTTTGGTTTGTCTGTGTGCATTTGTGCGAGGAACTGAACTGAACTGTTGTTTTCATAGGTAAATGAGAGACTGAGTTTTTCAGCTCCAAAGAGAAAAGGTATCTGCTTCTCCCAGCCAAAGGTGCCCCTGGGTGACCAGGGGGCCTCGTGGGAGTGTCTAGGGGGTTGACCCCTGCTGTGACATGCAGCAGCCCTTCAGGGAAATCCCCTCAAAAGTTAATTTAAAAATAGTTCATCCAGGAAACGCATGTAAAGGCTGATCACCCAGCGTTTTGAGCCCTCTCTGAGGTCATAGACCTCTGGAGAGAGAAACTGAGACTCATAAGAGGGCAGAAGTGACTCAGTGGTGACACACTGTGGAGTCCTGCCCACAAGCAGCACACATCAATCCACTACACAAAAACCTAGGCCACAGCTCAGTTCCTCCTTTTAAGAAAAAAAAAAGTGGGAAACAAATAATCCAAGAATGAGGAGAAAACACAGAGAATGATCCCCTTTTGAGCACTCTGTAGGGTTTAAGGCACATCTACTTGCCAGAGTAAAATGGAAGTAAGACAGTCTTTGTGCACATTTACATTAAGGAAAAAAGAGCCCTAACGTCGACCCCAAACCAATAGAGTTCTTACGTCCCCTTTTCCCCATTTTCTTTTCTGCCTGCTTTAAATCTGCTGTTACCTTTCTAGTGAGATAAAAACCACTGTTTCGATCTAGCAGGTCTTTTTTTGCAAGCCAGTGAACTTATATTTATCTCATGGCTAAAGTACTGAAGTAAAAGCTATAGAATCTTTGTGTGTGTGTATGTGTGATGTATATGTCTGTGTGTGTGTATAGTTGAAGGCCCTTATAATAGACTTATATAATTTTATGTTCAATTGGCAATTAAATCTGCTTTAGTTTCCCTCTAGCTCACCAGACTTTCTCTTCGTACCTTACTATGTAAATTTTGCTATTTGATTTTCACCTGAGTTATTTCCTTTAATATGCAAATTTAAGACTATTTAGCTGACAATTGCCTTAGGGTTGTGAAACAGATTATCAAGAATTTGAAAGTCTAAGATAGGGAAAAAAATATGGTCTTTATGGATCTATAACATGTACTTCTGGCTGGGTGTGGTGGCTCACGCCTATAATCCCAGCACTTTGGGAAGCCAAGGAGGGTGGATCACATGAGGTTAGGAGTTCAAGACCAGCCTGGCCAATGTGGTGAAGCCCCGTCCCGGGGCATGGTGGTGGGCGCCTGTAATCTCAGCTACCTGGGAGGCTGAGGCAGGAGAATTGTTGGAACCCGGGAGGCAGAGGTTTCAGTGTGCCGAGATTGTGCCACTGTACTCCAGCCTGGGCTGATAACAGTGAGACTCCATCTCAAAAAAAAAAGAAAGAAAAAATGTACTTCTATCAGCATGCCTAATATGTCTATGTATTTAGATTTCATAGGTAAATGAGAGACTGAGTTATAACATATGTTATGGAAAACTCCTATAATTCTGATATAACTTAGTATGCTTTATCAATAACAATTATAATTGTTATGTTAAGTTATTGTATGCCACAGAGGAAACAAATTTCCTTGTCAATTGTGTCTTTGACTATGGTTGCCCTAAAACTTTTTGTCATCCACGGACATTTGTTGTCTTGTTTTGGTCCTCCTTAGAAAGTGGTTTTGTAATCAGCTATAGAACTCTAACAGGTGTTCTTACATATAGGATTCTGATAACTTTGGGGATTGTGGCATTAGAATAGAGAAAGAAACTTTCCAGACTCTCATGGAGAGCAGAAATGTTCATGAATATCAAGCAGAACAGGAGTTAACTGTGTAAACTGAACTGATAGAAGACTAAAGAATCTTTTTGACCTTTGCTTTAAATGTTGCTGATTCTTTCTTTTGTATTTTTCAGAGCTGAGAAAACTTTTCTTTTGAGCTATTGACAGCTTTTTACAATTCAGTATACTCCTATGAACAAAATTTGGGGTATATTTGTTTCTCTTAAGGACTAAGCTCTGATTTTGTATCTTGCCCAAATTCCTATCTAAGAGGTCTGGGGAGTCGTGTCCTACAAACCATAAATTCTCATCAGATGGCTTTTATTTGACCCTGTATATCATGATTTACTTTCCAATCTGAGTCTGGCATAACAAGGAAGAAAATAACAATGTTTTACCCCAAAATATATTTCCTTGTCATACCTTGAAATTGCCCTACAACGTCTCTTGTGGGAAAAATCCACATTCTATAGAGAATCACCTTTCTCCTTTGTTTTCCTTTCTTCTCAGATCCAGGAGATAATCAATTAAGAGCCAGGCACCCTTTTAGGTCTGATGAGAAACATTTTACAACCTGCTCTCTCTTTGAAGTCTGCTATCTGAGAGCTCCCTCTCTGCACAATAAAACTTGGTCTCCACAATCCTTTACCTTAACCTGAGCATTCCTTACTATTGATCCCAGGTCTTCAGATAAACTCAACCAATTGTCATCCAGAAAATGTTTAAATTTCCCTGTAGTCTGGAAGCCCCTGCTTTGATTTGTCCCACCTTTCTCAATCAAAACAATGTATTTCTTAAATGTATTTGATTGATGTCTCATGTCTCCCTAAAAATGTTTTAAACCAAGCTGTACCCCTACCAACTTGGGCACATGTTCTGAGGACCTCCTGAGGGCTGTGTCATGGGCCATGGTCACTCATTTTGGCTCAGAATAGATCTCTGCAATTATTTTACAATTTGACTCTTTTTGTCGACACTCTCTACCTGGTTTCCCCAGAATTTGGAAACTATTTGTGAGTATTTTTAATTTATGGGAGTACAGTTATTTGTATAAGTGCAATAAGAATTTGTTTTCATTTTGCAGCAGGACACAATTGGAGAAACTGGTTACTCCAATGTACTAAGGCTTTGACTGGAATGGTGAGCTTTCATTTAAGGAATCAAACTTGACTTATGGAGCCAATGAAAGCCCCTTGGAAAAACTGGCCTCATACCTTTGTCTACAGAGTCCCTGTACAGGGTTCCTGACCTGTGGCAAGAAAAGAATATCACTTTCTGACAGGTCCAGGAGCCCCAGGTTTATCCTGGAACCTCAAGCGATGAGGATGACTCAACTCATAGGTATTTGATGGCACAAATTCGTGGCTGGGCTCGGCTTTAAAAAAGTCTTATCTGAGATTCCTCCTATGGAGCAATGTTCCATCAAAGCCAATTTAAAAGCCTATGTAAAAAGTAATTATTCTTGCTGCACTGTATACAAATAATTAGGCCAAGTATAATAAAGCAAACCAGTCTTACCATGATTTGTCTTTAGTGAAAATGGGAAACTGGAGAGAGAAAAATTATGTTTCAATACTATGGTACACCTATTTTTAGATTCCAGTCTTGCCTAATGTTTTCAAGTTTTATTATTTTCTACAGTTTGGACCAAATTCTGATTTTCCTTGGCTACAAGTCTTCAAAATAATGTTTGCAATTTTTTTCATTTGTTTGCCCCACCCCCCATTTTTCTGTTTTCTTTTCTTTTCTTTCTTTCTTTTTTTTTTTTTTCTGAGATGGAGTTTTGCTCTTGTCGCCCAGGCTGGAGTGCAGTGGCATGATCTCGGCTCACTGCAACCTCTGCCTCCTGGGTTCAAGCAATTCTCCTCCCTCAGCCTCCCTAGTAGCTGGGATTACAGGCACCTGCTACCCTGCCCAGCTAATTTTTGTATTGTTATTATTATTATTATTTAGTAAAGATGGGGTTTCACTATGTTGGTCAGGCTGGTCTCAAACTCCTGAACTCAGGTGATCCACCTGCCTCAGCCTCCCAAAGTGCTGGGATTACAGACATGAACCACTGCACCCACCCGCCCCCCTTATTTTTCCTAATTTGGAGTCACTAAAATCTAAGCTGTGCTTTCTTAAAGCCCTGCAAACTGAAGCCAGACAACTTAAACTTCAGAAGAAAATAACAGCAACCTATTTTCATACATAAGCCACTTTCATGGCCTACCAATGTATGGACTTTAAAGTTATGTGGCCTATATCGATTTTTGCAGGATTATTCTTTGGTTTGTTGTTGTTTTCTTTCTTCCTCCCCCTATTTTCTCTTCTAGGACATGAGACTTCACAACCTGCTAAAAATGAGCTTTCCTAATAACTTAGGACCTGCCCATCTAGGAATAAACCATCCTAGCCATGAGAGATCAGATGAAACCTGGGACCAGAGACTCATTTTCTTCTAAAATCTTGGAGAGCTTTCTCCAAGATTTTAAAGAGAAAACGGGGGGAAATGTGAAAGGAAAAGATCTTGAGCCCCCAGATCACTATAAGCTAAAGGGAGGAGTCTAGCTGGGAACTGCTCAGGGCAAACCTGCCCCCCATTGTATTCAAAGTCTCCCCTCTGCTCACTGAGATAAATGTGTATCTGACTGCCTCCTTTGGAGAGGCTCATCAGAAACTCAAAAGAATGCAACCATTTGTCTCTTACCTGCCTGTGACCTGGAAGTCCCCTCCCCACTTGGAGTCTTCCTGCCTTTGCTTCGAGCCATCCTGCCTCTCCAGACCGAACCAATGTTCGTCCTGCATATGCGGACTGATGTCTCATGTCTCCCTACAATGTATAAAGCCAGACTGTGCCCTGACCACCTTGGGCACACGTCATCAGGACCTCCTGAGGCTGGGTCATGGGTGCGCGTCCTCACCCTTGGCAAAGTAAGCTTTCTAAATTAACTGAAACCTATGAACCTCCCAAATCTGAGACAGGTCTCAGTTAATTTAGAAAGTTTATTTTGCCATAAAGTTCATCCATGTCCAGCGAGCTGGTCAGAAGGAACCGCAGGGGGATGTGTGTGTCCGTGTGTGTGTATGTGTATGTATCTGTATGTATGTGTGTGTATTGTGTGTGTATGTATGTATTGTGTATGCATGTGTGTGTATATGTATGTATACATGTACGTGTGTATATTGTGTACGTGTATGTATGTACTGTGTATGCGTGTGTATGTGTATGCATGTGTATTATATGTACATATTGTGTATGTGTGTGTATATGTATGTGTGTATTGTGTTTATATGTATGTGTGTATATGTATGTATGTGTATATGTGTGCGTATATGTGTATGTATGTATATGTGTATATGTGTGTGTATTGTGTGTGTACATATTGTGTTTGTGTGTACATATTGTGTATGCATATGTGTGTGTATGCACATATTGTGTATGTGTGTGTATATGTGTATGTACGTATTGTGTATGCATGTGTGTATGTGTGTATATGTATGTGTGTGTGTATTGTGTATGTGTAGTGTGTATTATTTGTGTGTGTGTGTATTGTGTGTGTATGTTTGTGTGTGTGTTTAATCCTGGAGTGTAAAAAACCATCGCCATAAGAATTTGCATGAGTCTTCCTCATAGTCAACAAGGTTTCTAAAACCAGAAGTTCCCTGAGCTGGAGATGGGATGTCTTAAGTCGGTTTTGTTGTTGTTGTTTGTTTATTTTTTGAGACAGAGACTGGCTCTGTGACCCGGGCTAGAGTGTGGTGGTGAGATCAAGGCTCACTGCAGCCTCGACCTCCCTGGCTCAGGTGATCCTCCTGCATCAGCCTCTTAAGTAGCTGGGACCACAGTCCGGAGCCATCACACCTGGCTAATTTTTGTATTTTTCGTAGAGATGGGGGTCTCACTATACCACCTAGGCTGGTCTTGAACTCCTTGACTCAATTGATCTTCTCACCTCAGCCTCCCGAAGTGCTGGGATCACAGGTGTGAGCCACCACACCTGGCCAAGACTTTTATTACCCCTCATTTTAGATATTTTGTGGGTTCTTACTGAGAAGTTGCAGAATTCTCCCCGAATGCCCTGGGAACTGCTGTCCTGCAGGCGCTCACAGCTCACCGGGTTGTGCTTGCAGGGCCGAGGCCTGGTGCCTCAAGCTGTCCCCTCTGTCCCCACTGGAACTGGGCCAGTGCCTCCCAGGCCTCTCTTCTCTTTCTTTTGGGGAGCCTCAGCGACTTGCTGGGGCCATTTGTCTGGGGCTGGTGCACTGTGGCCCCTGATGGCCCTGCCTGATCAGGAACCATCAGCCCCACCAACCTGCCCAGAGCTGGAAAGCCAGACCTTCTGGGCGCTCCCAGTGAGGCAGCAGGTCAGTGGCCTCCAAGTCCCGAGGCTCCAACAGCAGGAAGTTTGAGGCTCTTTGGGAACGACTGAGCTACTCTGGCAACCCCCAGAGCAAAGGCAGCAGGGCCTGGCCGCAGTCCCCACGGTTGTGAGTCCCATAAGGCAGCTTTAGCTTGAGGGGAGGGTCTTTGGGGACTTCAGGGAGCTCCTAAAAGCTAAGGGCACTTGAAAGCAATGTCAAATGGTTTATAATTTTTGGCAATATTTCATTTTCCCTCCACAATCGTCAGCTTTCAAGGTTTTTAGCAGCTGAACTCTTGAACATTTTTAATTGATTTTTTATTTTTTTAACAGCCTTATTGAGATGCAATTCACACACTAAAGAATTTACCCAATTAGAGTGCACAATTCGCTGGTTTCTAGTAAATTCCCAGTAGTGCAGCCACAGGCTCTCCTTAAAGAATGTGTAACAATGTGTAACTCCTGCGTGTAAGGACAGAAACACCATCTCTCTGCTTGGTGGAACACATCACCCATTTACTGCCCCACGGTGCTCTGGGTCGGTCACGGGCACCTGTGGCTGGGCTCACCTCCTGGGTCCCCAGGTCACCCCCTTCCCGGTTGCTCCAACACTGACCACCCTACCTGACCCCTGCAGGTGTGGGACCAGCAGGTCTTTTGGCAAAAGGGAAGAGCCCGCCTTGAGAAGGCTGTAGCATTTCTCTGGAAACGTCATTGTTTTAATTGGGCAGTTGCAAAGAACAGAGACAGATTCATGCTGCCGCAAGGCCAAGGGGGGTATTGTAAGTGTGAAAGCAGCATCTCAAACAGATGGCCAGTGCGTCCCATAAAAGTGCAGAGGGGCTATAAAAGTGCAGAGTGAGGGGCCATAAAGGTGCAGGGTGTTTGAGGAAGGAGTTGACTATGGCGGAACGAAGTGATGGCCAAGGGTGGTGGCTGAGAAACCCTGCTGGTGAAGTCCTGCGTGGGCCTTATCAGTGAGTTAATCTCTAACTGTGCGGAGCCGTAAAACTGCCCTTCCCACCTCGTGCAGCCACTCTCCCGGGGAGGGTCTTGGGAAGTCCGCAGAAGTGGCCCAATGGCAGAGCAGGAGCTCCGCTCTCAGTGTGGGGCCTCGTTTGGGTTTGGGAAAACATGTCCTCTCTCACGAAGACGTGGGTGTCTCCAGCGGGACCCTGATCCCGCGTGGGGCGCATGGCCCTCTCTGCTCTGCGGCCCCTCTCGCTCTCCTCTCTGTGCCTGGGAATTCTAGTGTTTACTGGGCCTTGGCCGCTGGGAGCCTCTTCAAGGTGGTTCCATTTTGACGTAAGGACTGGAGGGGTGCATTGAAGAATTGTAGAGTGCAGGTGAAGGGAGGGCCTGGAAGCTCCTGTCCCGTCTCCTAGAAGCGTGGCTGTGGTGGCACTGGCATTGGAGTCTGAGGTGCCGCGTGTGCCGTGAGGATGAAGTGTGAGAAATTTTGGGAGGTCCTAGTTCTACCATCCCCAGTGTCTTCGAGACCCACACCCTTGGTGTGGAAGAAAGGAGACAAGATGTCATACGAAGAGGTTCTGTTGAAAGACGCAGTCTTGGAGCTGGGGGTTCCGGTGTGGACTCATGAGGGGTTCCGTCTCTGTATGTGTAGCTCTGAGCTCTGACTACGGAGAAGGCCCAGACATATGACCTTCTCAGGGCAGTGAGCACCCCAGCACCCCGAGTGTGGTCCCTAAAGACCACTTCCTACCAGCGGGACCCAGAGCTCCTTGGAGACATGGTTGACTCCAGACCTGGGCCAGGAGACGTACAAAGCAGGCTCGGAGCACCCTGGTCAGCAGGGAAGCCATCGAGGACCAGGGCAGGAGCCCTCCCTGGGCCGGCCACGGAGCTGATGGTCGTCACGTATCAGGGCTCTGCTCAGTCATGGGAACTGAGTCGTCACCCCATTTCTGTGGTGAGCGGCTTCTGCAGAAGACAGATTTGTTTCATCTGAAGTTATTTATTCTGCTGTCATAGGTGAAGCCTGCTACACCCATGTCCCCACATCCCACTGTTCTCTCCCTGATGGCCGGGGGGAGCAGGGCCGGCTCTGGTCTTGTCTGAAAGGGAGGCACAGAGCAGGGCCATCGGCTGGGGTCGGGGGAGACAGAGTGGTCCTGACCAGTAGCTGAGCGCCCGGGGTAGATGGTTACTGGGTGGTTCCCGTGGGGGGCTGGGCTGTTGGCAGCCCTGAGCTGGCCCCACGTGGGGTCAGCTAGTGGCTGGGTGGGGCAGGCACTTTGACCAGAGCCAGCTCACTGCTGTGGCCACAGCCCCAGGGGTGCCTTGAGGTCCCATGCAGGGTGAGGGGACTGCGGGGGGCTTGAGGCCCTGAGGGCTGCCCCGTTTGCTGTTAGCATGCACCTGGCCGCCCTGGCGCAGCCATCCTTGAAACACTCTGACAGCAATGTTTTAAGAATGTAGAGATGGGGTCTCACTGTATTGCCCAGGCTGGCCTCAAACTCCTAGGCTCAAGCAATTCTCCCACTTCCGCCTCCCAAAATGTTAGGGTCACAGGCGTGAGCTGCCGCGCCTGGCCTGAAACATTACGTGTTTGCCAGATTTGTCTTTCTTTTCTTCATACCCTCTTGGTTTTGTGTCTTGCTTAGACGGCAGCCTCATTCTCCTTTATCCTCTGACTTCAGTGGTTTTATTTTTTTACATTAAATCTTTGACCCCATGTGGAACTGATTCTGATCCATGGAGCAGATCTGGGAGAGCCGATGTTCGTTATCGTGACTGTTTAGAATTTTTCTGGCCATCACTATATGTTTTTTGTCCATTTGAACTTTAGAAGTGACTTCTTAGTTAAAAATTCTCTTCTTCGGGATTATGCTAAAATTCAAGATTGTTTTATGCAAAAATCATCTCCTTTCTCCAAAAGGAGAGGAGTGCCGGGCCAGCGTGTGGGAGTGAGGACCTGCTGCTCAGGAACTCTTCCTGGGCAGGGGCCAGTGGGGCCGGGCAGAGCCAGCCCAGCCCTCCCCGCTGCTCCCATGGCAGAGCCAGCCCAGCCCTCCCCGCTGCTCCCATGGCAGCGCAGGAATGGTCGTGTGACCACTGAGCAGCGGGGCTGATCCTAACCCAGTTCCACGTCCCGGGAGGGTGAAGAGTGACGTTGCACTGGGCCTGGGTCCTGCCTCCCTGCTGTTCTAGCACCCCCAGCCCCCTGGCCCGCTTTGCCTTGGTTACAATTCCTCCTTCCCCACTGGCTTGTTGTGCTCCTATGTACCCTGTAAAGCCCCATGCAAAGGCCCCAGTCCAAGCAGGAAGCTCACCCCTTGTGTCCTCTCCAGATGCTGAGCTTGCCGAGTGCAGGTGTGGTGTCTGGTTCCCTCGTAGCCTGTGCCTGACCTGCACTGAGACGCTACGGCCCACGTGGCAACCCCCCATCACTGAGGGGACACAGCCCACGTGGTAGCCCCACCCCATCACTGAGGGGCCCCTTGGCTGCTCTGTACTGATGGGGGGCTTTGCCCAGAGGATGGGGGACCCTGGCTCCCCGCCCGACTCCACGGTCAGGCCTTACCCAGATCTGCTCTTCCCTGATCTGGCTGCACCTGCTATGCTAGGCTCCTGGGACCCAGGCCAGGCCTCCTCAGGCCTCCTCATGTGGGCCCCGCCTCTCTGTTTGGAGACATCATGCTTCCTCCAGGCTCAGTCACCCCGGGCTGTCACAACAGACACCACAGACAGGCTGGCCCCAGCAGCAGACATGTGCTTCTCACCGTTCTGGAGGCCGGAAGGCATGCGATCTCGAGCCAGCATGGCGGGTTCCTGGGGAGGGCCCTCCTCCTGGCCTGCAGATGCCACTTTCTCTCTGTGCCCCTATATGGGGAGCGAGGGTGGGGAGTGGAAGCTGCACTCTGGTCTCTTCCTTGTCTTAGAAGGACACGAATCCCATTACAGGGACTCCACCCGCCCTCAAACCTCATCCAACCCTAACACCTCCCAGAGGCCCCACCTCCAGGCACCATCACGCTGTGTGTTAGGGGTTTGGCCTGTGGATTTTGGGGGCGCACAGTCCATTGCACCAAACTCTCAGCCTCTCCAGATCCCCTGGGGGCCTGGGGGTCTCCGTCCCATACAGTCTCCCAGGGGGCCCTGCGTGGGTAGAGGTCCCCTGACCTGTTCCCACCTCTGGTCCCAGGAGCGCGGCCCTGTCAGCTCCCGAACCCCAGGGAAAGGGATGGCTCATCCACTAGGCTCTTTCCGGCCCTAAGCCATTCAGGGGTGGTCGGGATGGGGTCAGATTCAGGCCTGTCCTGGGTTGAGACTCCCTAGCCCATGGGCCGGCACCCAGTGGGTTTGAGGACAAGACGTTACAGAGGTGAGGGGAGGCCCAGACCTGTGTGGCCCAAGGCCTGGACTTGGCTGCAGGATGGGAGGTGGGGGTGGGGCTGGCACGACCCGGACTGGGCACTCATGGCCTGCCCTTTCCACAGATACTTCCGGGTCATCCTCCTCCTCCTCCTGGCCCTGACTCTGCTCCTGCTGGCCGGATTCCTGCACTCGGACTTAGAGCTGGACACACCGTAAGTCCTGCCCCCACCATAAGTCCTGCCCCGGGTACCTCCTAACAGCCCCGAGGACAGAGCCTGGGACCCCAGCATGATCACGCCCCCCACTGGGCCTGTCTCCCTCTGGAAGAGGAGGGGTGGATGGGCCCTTCCTTGGGGGGACCCTGAGAGTCTCCTGTTAGCCACAAACCCACCTGGGCCTTTGGGGAGGGCTCTGGGGAGCAGGGGCCGGGTCTGGGTTTGGGGACAGACCCAGTGTGTGCAGAGGGTCCCTGTGTGTGGGAGGCAGGGCTGGAGGCCTCCTTCTTGCTCCCCACAACAGAGGTGGCCTGTGGGCCTGGGCTGGATCTGGGAAGGAAAAGGTCAGAACCGTGCTCAGGACAGACCTTGCAGCCATGGGCCCACCTGGGACCCTCTCCCCTGCCTGCCTGTGGCACATCCTCTGTGGAGCCCCTGCTGCATGGAGGTGCCCACCTGTGCTCACCTCGCAGCCCAGCTGTGCCTCCAGACAGGGCTTTAGCCAGGCTGCTGGAAGGGTCTTCCAGGCCCCGCCACTCCCCAGCCCCTCTGGTTGGAGGAGACAGAGGAAGCACCAATCCCTCTGGGCCGAGCTGCCAGAGACAGGTGCCAAGGACCCTGTCTTTGCTCACCCCCATCACCCAGGCTGGCCAGGCCTGGGTACCCTGACCCCACCATCCTGGTCACTTCTGCTGGCCCTGTTCTGGGGCAGGGAGGGCGCCTGCTACTCCAGCCCCACTGGGTGGGTGTCATGATGGGATTCTAGGAGTGGGCCCAGCCCTACATCTGGCCGCTGGTCTCGGCTTTGGGGTCCTTCCTTTTCCTGGTGTGAAGGGACAAGAAGCACTGCACGTGTGGCTGAGGTCACAAAGCCAGCTGCATGTGCGTGCCTGGGCACCAGGGAGAAGGCTGGGGTGATGTGTGGGCCAGAGTGTGTAGCCCCCGAGGGAAACAGGGATGGGTCTGAGGACACTGTCTCCGTGGGGCCCTGAGGCTGGGGCTGAGGGTCTCTAGGTTGGGGTGCAGTGATGGGTCTGGTGGGGGTTCCAGGGTTGGGGGTGTCAACTGAAGAATCATGACATCTATGAATGTGGAGAGGACACTTTGTTTCTTAAAAAGTGTGGACATCCCACAGGCTGGGAGCACAGCCGCCGACCCAGGCTGGGAGCACAGCCGCCGACCCAGGCTGGGAGCGGGCACTTCGAGGGAGGGGGTGGGACAGGGGCTTACGCTGAACGGCTTGGCCAAGTACACGTTCAGCAGGTGACGGGAGGAGCTGTGGATATTCATGAAGGGGGTCCTGACGCACGTGTCCTGAACAAACAGGTGTGTTACTTACTTGTGACCCACGTTCACCTTGGGGTGGAGACTGCACATCTAACTGCGTTACAATCAGGCCCTGCACGTCAGAAGGTGGAGCCGGGACGGGAAGCACTCGGTGCGCAGCCTCTGTAAACCGCCAGAACCAGTCCGGGGCTGGGGGTCCCTGCTCAGGGGACAGTTACTGAAATGCGGCTCTTGTCCGATGGCAGCTGTGGTTCTGGCTGGGGGAGCAGGGGTCAGCGAGGCAGCGTCTGGCAGCGGGTGAGCTGCACCTGCTTTAACGTTGTTCGTCTCAAGGCCAGCGTTTGGGTGTCAGAGAAAAAGAAAACTCCCGTGGCAGGTAGAACATAAATAAGTGCAGCGTGTGTGACTTCGCCCCTGCCCGGCATGGCCTCAGGTCCCGTTGATAATGTAGCGTCTTATGGCCACAGTCAGTTCTGCTGGGCCATGGTCTCCTTTTATTTTTTAATTTTTAAAAAATTTACTTTAAGTTCTGGGACACACGTGCAGAACGTGCAGGTTTGTTACACAGGTATACACGTGCCACGGTAGTTTACTGCACCTATTAGCCCGTCATCTAGGTTTCAAGCCCCGCATGCATTAGGTATTTGTCCTAATGCTTTCCTTCCCCTTACACCCCATCCCCGACAGGCCCTGGGATGCGCTGTTCCCCTCTCTGTGTCCACGTGTTCTCATTGTTCAAGTCCCACTTATGAGTGAGAACATGCGGTGTTTGGTTTTCTGTTCCTTTGTTAGTCTGCTGAGGATGATGGTTTCCAGCTTCATCCATGTCCCTGCAAAGGACATGAACTCATTCTTTTTTATGGCTGCACAGTATTCCGTGGTGTAGATGTGCCACATTTTCTTTACGGTCTCTATGTAACATTCACACCCGGCAGCTGCTGGGTCTAAACCGCAAAGGGGAGGGGGTGTGACGAGGCGTCTACCTCCCATCCCATCACTGCTGGGAACTCAGTTTTAAGGTGGGTCTGGGGTCCCCTTGGCCAAGATGGGGTTCATTTAGGGTTTTATTTTTAGTTCTCGGGGGCACAGGGTTGGGGGAGCATGGTTACGGGAGACAGTTGGGGGAGTTTGTGTTCGGGCCACCAGCTGGGAGGTTGTGGAGTGGGGCAAGGATTGGGGCCATGGGTCGGTGCCTACCCAGTTGGCCCCCTGGCCTAGAGTTGGGGGGCTCAGGTTGGGAGGTCTCTCCTTGCGGTTGCCGGGCTGGGGGTCGCTGTTGGGCGGGGGTTGGGGCATCTGCACCCTTGCTGAAGGCTGCGTGTGCCTTCCCTCCCAGCCTGTTTGGGGGCCAGGCTGAGGGGCCGCCGGTCACCAACATCATGTTCCTGAAGACGCACAAGACGGCCAGCAGCACGGTGCTCAACATCCTCTACCGCTTCGCCGAGACCCACAACCTGTCCGTGGCGCTGCCCGCCGGCTCACGCGTCCACCTGGGCTACCCCTGGCTCTTCCTGGCGCGCTACGTGGAAGGCGTGGGGTCGCAGCAGCGCTTCAACATCATGTGCAACCACCTGAGGTTCAACCTGCCTCAGGTACCGCGGGCCTGCTGGGGAGGAGGGCGGGCTGCAGCCGTGCCTGTGGCTGTGGGTCTGGGTGGTGTAGCCTGGAGGCTGGAGAGAAGGAGTGTAAGGCTTGGGGGCGGGGCGTGCAGAAGGCGGGTTGGGAGGGCCTGGGCCGCACGCCCTGCTGAGCCAACCCCTGCCCCTCCAGGCGGCCAGTCGCCTGCCGTTGCTCTTGGAATGAGACCTGGGAGCCCCACAGCCCCTGCCCAAGGGCGTCCCCAGCGCTCCCCCGCTTCTCTGGCCTCCTAGTTGTGCACAGGCCCGGCTCTCCCCACCCTGTGACCTTCGCTTCTGTGGCTGCAGGCCCTTCTTTGGGTCCCTTGGGTCTCAGCATAGAGCCGGCTTCCCCCCAGGGCTTCCCTGACCTTCCTTACAAAGGAAGCAGGGCAGGGAGTGTGGGTGGGAGGGCTGTGGGCAGGCACAGGTGTTTTAGGGTCACCCTGAGCGCTCTGTGGAGAATGGCCAGCAGAGGCTAGGTGACCAGGCGGGGCCAGAGGGAGGCCGGGTGGGGAGAGGTGATGGGCAGAGAGCGGGGCAGCGGGGGTGTGCTGTGGGGTGGGGGCTGCGGGGCAGAGGGAGGAGGAGGGGCCGGGAGGAGGGGAAAGGAAGAGGGTGGGGGCAGGGAGGAGGCCTCCCACTGTTCTCTCCCTGGGTTTCTGAGGATGGAGAAGCAGGCGGTGTAGTTGGGCGTGACTTTCTGCAAGACTTTACTTTCTGTGGGTGGGGTATATCCTCCAGGACCTCTGAGGGGGCACAAGCGAGGGTGAGTCCAGACCCACCCTGTGGGGAACCTGGGTCACGGACCTTCTCTGGGCCTCAGTTTCTTTGTCTGTTAGGTGGGTGTCACCCTGGCCTGTGGGCAGCTGGTGGAGTGCTGAAGCCCCCTGTGCCAGGGGCCCGTGGAGGGCCCTTCGTGCTGTCTGTGCGCCACAGCATCCCACTCCTAGAGGCCTCTGGGTCTCCTCGAGATGCCAGTGGGAGCTCCTCCTCCCTCCTCCTGCTCTGCCCACGGACTCCTCCTCCTGAGGCCCCTTCCTGGCGTCCTTGGCCTCTGTTCTGGGCACCCGGGAACCAGTGACTGGGCTGCAGGGCCTGCGTGTGGCCCTGGCTCTGCTCCCGGAGCTGCCGCACGAGAAGGCGCCAGGCCCAGGTTCCTCGGCAGATGTGAGGATGGGGGTGCTCCTTGAGCGGGTGTGGCCAGGGCGCGCCTCCTCCCCGCGGGTGGGCCACCCTGGCCTGGGCCCGCGGTCCGCAGCCCGCCTCTCTGTCGCCACACAGGTGCAGAAAGTCATGCCCAACGACACCTTCTACTTCTCCATCCTGAGGAACCCCGTGTTCCAGCTGGAGTCCTCCTTCATCTACTACAAAACCTACGCCCCCGCCTTCCGGGGCGCCCCGAGCCTGGACGCGTTCCTGGCCTCGCCGCGGACGTTCTACAACGACAGCCGCCACCTCAGGAACGTCTACGCCAAGAACAACATGTGGTTCGACTTCGGCTTCGACCCCAACGCGCAGTGCGAGGAGGGCTACGTGCGCGCGCGCATCGCCGAGGTGGAGCGGCGCTTCCGGCTGGTGCTCATCGCCGAGCACCTGGACGAGTCCCTGGTGCTGCTGCGGCGCCGGCTGCGCTGGGCGCTGGACGACGTGGTGGCCTTCAGGCTCAACTCCCGCAGCGCGCGCTCCGTGGCCCGCCTGTCGCCCGAGACCCGGGAGCGCGCGCGGAGCTGGTGCGCGCTGGACTGGCGCCTGTACGAGCATTTCAACCGCACCCTCTGGGCGCAGCTGCGCGCCGAGCTGGGGCCGCGGCGGCTGCGCGGGGAGGTGGAGCGGCTGCGCGCCCGGAGGCGCGAACTCGCGAGCCTGTGCCTGCAGGACGGCGGCGCGCTCAAGAACCACACGCAGATCAGAGACCCGCGCCTGCGCCCCTACCAGTCCGGCAAGGCCGACATCCTGGGTTACAACCTCCGGCCGGGCCTGGACAACCAGACGCTGGGCGTGTGCCAGAGGCTTGTGATGCCTGAGCTCCAGTACATGGCCCGCCTGTACGCCCTGCAGTTCCCGGAGAAGCCCCTCAAGAACATCCCGTTCCTGGGGGCGTAGAGGGGCCGGGCCGGGGACGAGGCCTCCTGCGGACACCAGCTCCTCTCTCCGCCGTCACCGGGGAGGCCGGGGATCCTTGCAGGGCTTCTGGGGCGTTGGGAAACCCAGGCCCGCCGGCCACGGCTCTAAAATGAAGAGGGCGGAGACCCCAGTGAAGAGCACCCCCCGCAATCCGCGCAGATCCCTCCCAGAGAAGGCCCTGAGCCCAGGCGGCAGCCACCCGCCCCCCTTCCGAGGCTGTGTCTCTGTTTAGAACTGAACACGAGGGTGGGGAGTGGGGGATGCTGGACCACAGGGCAGCACCTGCCCGGCAGGATGCGCGTGCCTGTGAGCCCCGGGACTCCCCAGGGTCCTGGGCACTGGGGCTGTGGATCCTCGGAGGAACTCAGAGTGGTTCCCCTGAATTTCCCGGCCCTGGCGACGAGGTGCTGGTCCCAGAGACAGGTGCAGGCACAGGCAGTGCCACAAAGACCGGCCCGGGAGCGGGGCAGGGGCCAGGGCTCAGCCGCTCCCGAACAGCTCCACAGCTTTCGCTGCAGGAGGTTTGGTTCTGATGGAAGGATGTTTTCTACAGAGAGATGGCACAACTGCTCACAAGACCAGGGTTCTAGCCGGAGCCCAGGTCGAGCTCAGCTCCACGACCCCTGCTGGTCAGCCCCTGATGCCTCGTGAAGGAGAGGAGTCTCACTTGCCAAAGGAGGCTGGAGTGGTTGGGGGTACACACACCCTTGGTTGCCTTGGAGACCGTGTTGGGTGTGGTGCCAGAGGGCAGCTGTGGGTACCCCTCTTTGTCATTCACAGGGAGGGACAGAGCCTCCCTGCCTGGCAGGACGTGATCCCTGGCTGCCAGGGGCTCAGCGGGTAAAGGGGGTGCACTCGCCGGGACCAGCCGATGCCTGGGGCACCCAGGAAACGCAGCTACTCTGCAGCATGCTCAGCCTGGAGGAGTTGCAGGAAGAGTGAATTTTCAGTGAGAGTCGGCCGTGAAGAATGGCAGGAGCTCTGCTGAGTCAGAGTCAGCCAGGGACGTCTGCAGGCCACCTTCCCTCCCCCTCAACCCAGGGACCTCCGCAGGCCACCCTCCCTCCCCCCTCAGCCCAGGGACCTCCGCAGGCCACCTTCCCTCCCCCCTCAGCCCAGGGACCTCCGCAGGCCACCTTCCCTCCCCCCTCAGCCCAGGAACCTCCGCAGGCCACCTTCCCTCCCCCCTCAGCCCAGGGACCTCCGCAGGCCACCTTCCCTCCCCCCTCAGCCCAGGGACCTCCGCAGGCCACCCTCCCTCCCCCCTCAGCCCAGGGACCTCCGCAGGCCACCCTCCCTCCCCCCTCAGCCCAGGGACCTCCGCAGGCCACCCTCCCTCCCCCCTCAGCCCAGGGACCTCCGCAGGCCACCCTCCCCCCTCAGCCCAGGAACCTCCGCAGGCCACCCTCCCTCCCCCCTCAGCCCAGGAACCTCCGCAGGCCACCCTCCCTCCCCCCTCAGCCCAGGGACCTCCGCAGGCCACCCTCCCCCCTCAGCCCAGGAACCTCCGCAGGCCACCCTCCCTCCCCCCTCAGCCCAGGAACCTCCGCAGGCCACCTTCCCTCCCCCCTCAGCCCAGGGACCTCCGCAGGCCACCCTCCCCCCTCAGCCCAGGAACCTCCGCAGGCCACCCTCCCTCCCCCCTCAGCCCAGGAACCTCCGCAGGCCACCCTCCCTCCCCCCTCAGCCCAGGAACCTCCGCAGGCCACCCTCCCTCCCCCCTCAGCCCAGGAACCTCCGCAGACCACCTTCCCTCCCCCCTCAGCCCAGGGACCTCCTCCCTCCCCCCTCAGCCCAAGGGACCTAGGCAGGCCACCCTCCCCCCTCAGCCCAGGAACCTCCGCAGGCCACCTTCCCTCCCCCCTCAGCCCAGGGACCTCCGCAGGCCACCTTCCCTCCCCCCTCAGCCCAGGGACCTCCGCAGGCCACCCTCCCTCCCCCCTCAGCCCAGGGACCTCCGCAGGCCACCCTCCCCCCTCAGCCCAGGGACCTCCGCAGGCCACCCTCCCCCCTCAGCCCAGGAACCTCCGCAGGCCACCCTCCCCCCTCAGCCCAGGAACCTCCGCAGGCCACCTTCCCTCCCCCCTCAGCCCAGGGACCTCCGCAGGCCACCTTCCCTCCCCCCTCAGCCCAGGGAACCTCCGCAGGCCACCTTCCCTCCCCCCTCAGCCCAGGGACCTCCGCAGGCCACCCTCCCTCCCCCCTCAGCCCAGGGACCTCTGCAGGCCACCCTCCCTCCCCCTCAGCCCAGGGACCTCCGCAGGCCACCCTCCCTCCCCCCTCAGCCCAGGGACCTCTGCAGGCCACCCTCCCTCCCCCCTCAGCCCAGGGACCTCCGCAGGCCACCCTCCCCCCTCAGCCCAGGAACCTCCGCAGGCCACCTTCCCTCCCCCCTCAGCCCAGGGACCTCCGCAGGCCACCTTCCCTCCCCCCTCAGCCCAGGGACCTCCGCAGGCCACCCTCCCCCCTCAGCCCAGGAACCTCCGCAGGCCACCCTCCCTCCCCCCTCAGCCCAGGAACCTCCGCAGGCCACCTTCCCTCCCCCCTCAGCCCAGGGACCTCCGCAGGCCACCCTCCCCCCTCAGCCCAGGAACCTCCGCAGGCCACCCTCCCTCCCCCCTCAGCCCAGGGACCTCCGCAGGCCACCTTCCCTCCCCCCTCAGCCCAGGGACCTCCGCAGGCCACCTTCCCTCCCCCCTCAGCCCAGGGACCTCCGCAGGCCACCTTCCCTCCCCCCTCAGCCCAGGAACCTCCGCAGGCCACCTTCCCTCCCCCCTCAGCCCAGGGACCTCCGCAGGCCACCCTCCCCCCTCAGCCCAGGAACCTCCGCAGGCCACCCTCCCCCCTCAGCCCAGGAACCTCCGCAGGCCACCCTCCCTCCCCCCTCAGCCCAGGAACCTCCGCAGGCCACCCTCCCTCCCCCCTCAGCCCAGGAACCTCCGCAGGCCACCTTCCCTCCCCCCTCAGCCCAGGGACCTCCGCAGGCCACCTTCCCTCCCCCCTCAGCCCAGGAACCTCCGCAGGCCACCCTCCCTCCCCCCTCAGCCCAGGAACCTCCGCAGGCCACCTTCCCTCCCCCCTCAGCCCAGGAACCTCCGCAGGCCACCTTCCCTCCCGCCTCAGCCCAGGGACCTCCGCAGGCCACCTTCCCTCCCCCCTCAGCCCAGGAACCTCCGCAGGCCAGCTTCCCTCCCCCCTCACGCCAGGGACCCGGGAAGAGCACCTTCCCTCCCCCCTCAGCCCAGGGACCTCCGCAGGCCACCCTCCCTCCCCCCTCAGCCCAGGGACCTCCGCAGGCCACCTTCCCTCCCCCTCAACCCAGGGACCTCCGCAGGCCACCCTCCCTCCCCCCTCAGCCCAGGGACCTCCGCAGGCCACCTTCCCTCCCCCCTCAGCCCAGGGACCTCTGCAGGCCACCTTCCCTCCCTCCCCCCTCAGCCCAGGGACCTCTGCAGGCCACCCTCCCTCCCTCCCCCCTCAGCCCAGGGACCTCCGCAGGCCACCCTCCCTCCCCCCTCAGCCCAGGGACCTCTGCAGGCCACCTTCCCTCCCCCCTCAGCCCAGGGACCTCTGCAGGCCACCTTCCCTCCCCCCTCAGCCCAGGGACCTCCGCAGGCCACCCTCCCTCCCCCCTCAGCCCAGGGACCTCCGCAGGCCACCCTCCCTCCCCCCTCAGCCCAGGGACCTCTGCAGGCCACCTTCCCTCCCTCCCCCCTCAGCCCAGGGACCTCTGCAGGCCACCCTCCCTCCCTCCCCCCTCAGCCCAGGGACCTCCGCAGGCCACCCTCCCTCCCCCCTCAGCCCAGGGACCTCTGCAGGCCACCTTCCCTCCCCCCTCAGCCCAGGGACCTCTGCAGGCCACTCTCCCCTCTTAGCCCAGGGACCTCGGCAGGCCACCCTCCCTCCCTCCCTCCCTCCCCCCTCAGCCCAGGAAAGGCACAGGAGAGGATCCTGCCAGGTAAAGGGAAAGTGGCCCGGGAGGAGCCCACGTGCCAACAACAGGAGTCCCAGAAGACAGAAAAGACCACAGATGAGAAAGCAGTTCACGCAGAGAACAAAACGTTCCCGGACCAAACCCAGGGTCGGGTTGCTCATTCCCGAGGCCCGATAGCGAGATGCAGATGAACTGGGGAAGAAGAGGGATTTTATTTCTGTAACTGGTTACAGGGAGAAGGCCTGGAAATGATCGCCAGACCAACTCCAGATTACAGTTTTTCCAGAGCTTACACACCTTCTAAGCTCTGTGTCTCCGTGTCAGTGTGCATTCGTCTAAAGACGTACGTGATTCAATTCTTCTCATCTCTAACTGAGGTCTGGTCCTGAAGATCTTCCTCTGAAGACTCAGTAAATTTACTTGATCTAAATGGGCCCAGGTGTTTACCCTTATCTTGTCTTCTGCTAAATCATGGAGGTTTGGGGAGTTCCTTCTCCACTTGTTTGTGGAGGCCTGGGGAGTTTTTTCAGACCCCCAGTAAAACTTGTTTAATCCTAAACGGGTCCTGGTCTCGTCATGCTTCAAGGCCCAAGAAAGCCCTGGGCAAAACTCTTGATGGGCTTTTGTTACGTCCCAGCCCTCGTGTGAGGGCGCTGGCTCTCAGCTTTCAGGATTTCACTTCACCCTCAGTCAGTGCTGAACAGTTGTCGCGGAGGCCTGCGTGAGTGAGGCCTGGCGTGCCCTGGAAACATTCCCCTGAGTTGAAGAAAGACTCACAGTTTTCAGCATCCAGTTACCCTCTGAGCATCAGGCAGAACCCGCCGGCCCCAAAACCAGGCCCCCTTGGCACATGTGGGCCCGAGTGAGTCCAGCATGAGGAGGTGCCGCTTCTGAGCAGAGCTCAGGTTGTCTCTGGGAGGAGGAGCGAGCGTTGGGTGCGGTGGCCGCTGCGTTGGCAGCCCTGTCCCTGAGCGGAACGCAGGTCGTCTCTGGGAGGAGGAGCGAGGGTTGGACGCAGTGGCCGCTGCGGTGGCAGCCCTGTCCCCAGGCGTGGACTCTGCCCTCAGCTTCACAGTCACCGAAGAAATGAAGTTACAGGAGGGGCACACCGTCCTTTTGTCTCTGCCTTTGAGGTTGGCGGGAACTGAAACTGGTACGGTCTTTTTGAATAGAAATTTGGGGTCTTTCTGGCGACGTAAAACTGTGTGTAGTTTGCAGTAGAGAGTGTTGAGAACAGCCTGTCCGGGCTGTGCATTGAGAAGGGGCGGTTAAAATGCTGCCACGTCGTGCAGCCCATAAAAGGGGGACACAGAGTAGCCGAAACTGCTCTTGGGGGAGGGGGCACGTCCCAGCCTTCCGTGTGATGCTGGGGTCAGCGTGGCCCCTCGGCTGCCAGAGCTCACGAAGACGGTTAAGGAAAGCTTCCCCCGGGTGGCTTTCACCCCACGGGGACAGAGCCCCAGATGGGCCCAGGGACCTCTGAGCAGCCGTGGGCCATGGGGTGACAGTTGGGGGTTGGTGGGACCCGTGGCTGTCATATACCCTGGGTAGACGGTGGCTTGTCCAGGCAGAGATGCCCAGGGGAAGTGGGTGGCACCTGAGGGCAGATCTGACTTTTCAAGAGAAGCTGAAAACACGGGTTTTTCTGTGAAATCTCTAGATTGAAAACAGTGGGCTTGAAAAGCCTGGAGCAGAGGGAGTGAGGCCTGCCCCCCACCCCAGCTCTGCGGGCACACCCTGGCCAGACAGCCCTGCTCCAGACCCGGCCTGTGTCTCAGGGTGGCCCAGGAGGGGACTTTGCAAGGTGACGTGGGGCTTGGAGGTCCCGTTTCCCTGTAAGCCTGGGTACTTAGGGGATGGCCCTGGTCAGACTCCACCAGTCCCAGACTTGGGGGACACGAGAAGGGAGATGGGCCACCCAGTTCTGGTTGGGCTGGGGTGGGGCTTCTGAGGGGTGGGGAGGTTGTCCCTTCCCACCCACCTGCCCCTGCCCCAGGATTCTCGGCTGTGAGCAGGAGGATGTGTACGATGGCCAAGTTGCCTGGACTGGGTCCGCCCCTCCTGGGGCTGTGAGTGCACAGGACACTGGGCCCACAGGCACCTCTGGGGCTCTGTCCCCGTGGGGTGAAAGCCACTTGGGGGAAGCTTTCCTTAACCGTCTTCACGAGCTCTGGCGGCCGAGGGGCCACGGGGGGCATTCAGATGAGTCAGAAGGAGCTGGGGCCCACCCCTCCTGCTTCCTCGCCGCCCCCCTCCCAGCTGCCCCCAGTAAATCCCCTCAGGCCCCTAGGACCTGGAGGGACGCGGCAGGTTTATCATCTCAGCCTGGAAACCACGTGACCTACCTGTTTCCCACCACAGCGCCCCAGGTTTCAGAAGCAGCTGAGGATGCCCTTCGCAGGGGAGGGAGGGACAGTGAGAAAGGAGGGTGTTCAGGGCCCAGGGATCCCCCACGGAGGCTGCCCCATCAGAACATACCGGGCACCTGTGGCCTCCTCTGAGATTCTGGCCTGGGCAGTGGTCATTTGAGCATTGGTTACCAAGGCTGCCTCTGAAATGGCAGGCTGGGGGCAGGCCAGCGTGAAAGGGACTGGCAGGAGTCCTGCGGGGACAGGCTGGGGGCAGGCCAGCGTGAAAGGGACTGGCAGGAGTCCTGCGGGGACAGGCTGGGGGCAGGCCAGCGTGAATGGGACTGGCAGGAGTCCTGCGGGGACAGGCTGGGGGCAGGCCAGCGTGAATGGGACTGGCAGGAGTCCTGCACGGCAGCTGTGCTGGGGAGGGGTCACCCTGGGCCCTGAGAGGCACAGGACATTGCGATGGGGTGCTGGCCTGCCAGGAGCACAGATACAGAGCTAGAGCCCAGTGAGGCCTGTGCTGTGAGGGGCTGTGCTGTGCCAGGGGAGGCCCCGCACCCGGGAAGCCCAGAGGAGAGTGTGCACTCACGGAGCCCTCCTGGCAGGGCCGCGTCTCTGGAGCAGCAGACCCGTGTCCCTCTGGGAGGTCAACTGCGGCCTCACAGCTGGGCCTGTCCCAGCACAGCCCTTGTTGGAGGGCGCACCCCCGTGTCCTCAGCACCCCAGTGTTGAGTGCCTTGACCTGCAGAGGGGAGCCTGTGCTGGTCCCGGGCGTCTGTGTGGCTCCTGGGTGCCCATCTGCACCCCTGGCCCTGCTCTGGGCTTCAGTGGAGCCGTGCCACCGTGGGAGTGTCCAGGGTCCTGACGTAGCCCTGAGACGTGGCCAGCTCCCTGGCCTGCTGCCCGCACAGTGGGCCCTTGTCTCTGCTCTGGGTCAGGCGAGGCAGCCACCCATGATGAGCTCTGCAGCCTTCCCAAGGTGGCTGGTGAGTCCCTGCCCTTTGCACCCCCAGCACCCTCACCCCTCTACCCGGGCGCCCGGGGTCAGGACCCGCTCCTGAGGTATCTGTCCAGCTGGCCGCCCCCTCTGTCTGGGGGTGCTGGACGAGTCCCACTCCTTGCCAACCCCAGGGTGGCTCCTCAGCTCTCAAACAAGGGGCGGGCTGCAGGGATTCCGAGGGCCCCTCCAGCAAGAGGTCCCACATGCATCTCCCAATGGGACACTTACCTGGCCCACAGGGTGGGTGTGACACTGAGGGTTCCTGGGGGCAGATTCAGGGCATGGGATGGAGACAGACTGGTTGTGAGGGGCCCAATGCAGGGGGCCGGCCCCAGCCCACAGGGTCGTTCTGCAGATGGGCTGGTCGGGGACGCTCTACCAGGTGAAGGGTCTGTGGTCGGAGTCTTCGCCCTGGCCAGGGCCCAGGACGCTCACGGTGCAGGCTGAGGGTCAGAGCCGCCGAGGGCCCCCTGCCGGGATTCTGTGCAAAGGGCCTCTGCACTTTATGTGGGTGCATGTGAATGCCCCTCGCCAAGATGTTCCTACCCTGCACCTGACACTTCCCACGACAAGAAGTGCTGACCCCAGAGGGTGTGCGCGGACCCCAGAGGGTGTGCGTGGACCCCAGAGGGTGTGTGCGGACCCCAGAGGGTGTGCGTGGAGGGCCTGGTCTGACCTCAAGGCTCTTGGGGCACCCACACAGGATGGGCTGTGAGGGGTTGGCGGGGGTGGGGGGGGTGGTCTGTGATGGCCCCCTGCTGAGCCAGAGTGACCCCTACAACCGGTCCAGGGGTCCACGGACCAGAAGGCCAGGTTCTCCTGGAGGTCCCATCTCCCCTGGGCCTCGGTTTCCCCTTCTGTGACTCCACACCCCCAAGGAGGGCCCTGTCAGGGAGGGCGGGGGGCACTGGTTAATGTCCAGGACATGGCTGTCCCAGTCAAGCCAAACCCCTGGAATGTGCTGAACTGGCTACACTGAGCGGGGCTGGCCTCCGAGACAGAGGGGCCTGCCGAGGACACGGAGGCTCTGTGGAACCCAGGGAACTGGTCACACTGAGGACACGGAGGCTCTGTGGAACCCAGGGCCTGGCCACACTGAGCACGGCTGGTCCCCCAAGACAGAGGGACCTCCTGAGGACACAGAGTCTCTGTGGAACCCAGGGCCTGGCCACATGGAGGACACGGAGGCTCTGTGGAACCCAGGGCCTGGCCGTGGCAAGGAAGCCCCAAGCCAAGTGTGTGTCAGCCTTGTCCTCTCTGTGGGCCTCAGTTTCCCCTCTGTGCAACAAGGGGAGTGACCAGCTGGTTTCTGGAGTCTCCTCCTCTCCCTCTCTGTCCCCAGGGGTGGGCCTGGGCCTCATGTCTGCAGGGGGTGCTGACACCTGCTCCTGTGGTCCGGGCCTTGGGGAGGGAGCCAAGTGCAGAGAGAATGTCTTGCTTGTGCCTGCTCAGCCCAGAGGGACACATGGCGTCTGCACCTGCTTCCCGCTTGGGCACAATTGCCCTTTGAGAGCAGAGCCAGGGGCTTCTTGGGGACGGAAGCTGCTCTCAGAAGCCGCGCACTGGTGGTGGGGGAGCGGCAGGAAGGGGCCGGCCAGCTGTCCTAGCCAAGAGCCTTTCAGGAACCGGTGGCCCAGGGCAGAGGTGGCTGGAGGTGGAGCTGTCTGTTTGGGCCTCAGGTGTCGGGGCAAGGCCTGCTTGGGTTTTACACGAGTGTTGCGCCTTTACCCGGGTCTCTGTCAGTGGGTCCCGCCTGACCCGTGGGTGTGCATGGGTCCCCGTCGTAGGCAGGCGTTCTGCCCTGGCCAGGCGTGGTGTCCGGCATCCGGCCATCTCCCTCCTCCCTCCTTCCCTTAGCCCCGCATCCAGGTGCCCCGTGTGCCCGGCCTGGGCGGCTGGCCGTGGATCTGACCGCTCCTGCATGGTGGAGGACCAGCGTTCCCACTGTCTGCAGCTGTGCCACCTCCCTGTGCCGGGCTGTGCGTGCTCACGCTCGGCTCCGTCTGCCTTTGTGCGATCAGACTGAGAGACCCCCCAGGCAGGTCCCGCCTGCAACAAGCAGACCCCATGCGTGCCCCAAATGCCCCCTCACCCGGGCCCTGCCCTGGTGGGTGTTGCCTGGGAGCAAACTCCCAGAATGGCCGCCGGGCCCCACTCGGCTTTGGAGCTTCTGATTCCTGTGGGCGCTTCTCAGGTCAGGGCCCTGCAGGTGGGAAGCACCAGGCACTGGAATGAGGGCACTGTGGGGCCAGCTGCCTGCAGGCAGGGGTCTGATCACCAAGCACCTGTCCCCTGCAGGATCCCTGGCTGTGGCTCCCCCGATGACGTTCAGGAAGTGGGAGCCGATCCCCTGTCCCCAGAGAGCCCCGTGACTCCCCCGATGACGTTCAGGAAGTGGGAGCCGATCCCCTGTCCCCAGAGAGCCCCGTGACTCCCCCGATGACGTTCAGGAAGTGGGAGCCGATCCCCTGTCCCCAGAGAGCCCCGTGGCTCCCACAGGTCCCTGTGGGCTCACCTCTTTGTGTCTCTGCTGTGGCTTCCACGGTGCTGTGGCCTCTATTCTGGGGACACTGAGCTCCTCCTTGCTCGAGGTTTTGGGTCCTCATTGTCCACATGACCTCCTGCTGGGCGAATTCTGGGATGACCCTGTGTCCTGGGCACATGGCTGGCAGGGTCCCGGGGGCTCTCTGGCCAGCCTCCCCTGCACCCTGGCACCAACCAGCCTGGCCGAGGGTCAGCTCCCAGAGCCGTGTTGAGAGGGGAAGGGGCTGATTCCACAGACATTTGGGGTGGAGTGGGTGCGAGGGAGGGTGGGGGAGGGGCTGCTCCAGATCTGGGGTGAGGGAGTCAGAAACAGGGCTGACCCCAAGGTGGGTACAGGAAGAGGCCCAGGTGTGGGCAGGAGCTGTCTGCACCTCCTGAGCGCATTCCCCAGTCCAGACCGGGAGCGAGTGTGGGGCTCCCTGGGCCTGTCTTGCTGACCTGTGGCCCTGTACTGACCAGCAGAGCATGGGGGTCCCTCGTACCCCTTCACGGACAGTGCTCTTCGAGCGGGAGAGGACGGGCCTGACCTACCGCGTGCCCTCGCTGCTCCCCGTGCCCCCCGGGCCCACCCTGCTGGCCTTTGTGGAGCAGCGGCTCAGCCCTGACGACTCCCACGCCCACCGCCTGGTGCTGAGGAGGGGCACGCTGGCCGGGGGCTCCGTGCGGGTGAGTGAGTGGCCGGGGGCTCTGTGTGGGTGTAGTGGCCGGATCTGCTGGGGCTGCACACCCCGGGATGGGGCGGGGGTGGCGGCGGCAGGCAGATGCCCGAGGTAGAGATGAGCAAACCAGGCTCAGCGATCCTGGGTGCCCTGCGGGGGGCTGTGCCCAGGTCCCTGGACGTCCTGGTCAGCGGAACTTCCTCCTCTGGGCAGTGGGGTGCCCTGCACGTGCTGGGGACAGCAGCCCTGGCGGAGCACCGGTCCATGAACCCCTGCCCTGTGCACGATGCTGGCACGGGCACCGTCTTCCTCTTCTTCATCGCGGTGCTGGGCCACACGCCTGAGGCCGTGCAGATCGCCACGGGAAGGAACGCCGCGCGCCTCTGCTGTGTGGCCAGCCGTGACGCCGGCCTCTCGTGGGGCAGCGCCCGGGACCTCACCGAGGAGGCCATCGGTGGTGCCGTGCAGGGTAGGCGGGCAGGGTGCCGGTCTGGGTCCCTTTGATTGGCCACGGTCCACATGGAAGGGAGATTCCAGCGGGAAATTGCCATTCTGCCCCACCCCTGTCTCCAGCCACAAGGGAACCAACCATCCCTTTCCCCAGGACTGTTCTGCGCCTCCCGTCCCAGGCAAATCCCTCTCCCCAGGACCGTCCTGAGCCTCCCGTCCCAGACAAATCCCTCTCCCCAGGACTGTTCTGCGCCTCCCGTCCCAGGCAAATCCCTCTCCCCAGGACCGTCCTGCACCTCCCGTCCCAGGCAAATGGGTATTGATCACCCCCAGTCACCCAGTGGGCAGGAGCAGGCCCTCTATGGCTGACCCGACTCTCTCTCATCCCCCCCGCTAATCTCTTTATCTGCAGAGGAGAAGGCTGGACGCTGAGGTGTCTCTCAGCTCCCAAACCAACAGCCACCCCGCCCCACCCCTTCCTCTTATTCTTTACTCCCTTCTCACCCTGCCCAGGGCCTGGCCAGGCCTCACCCACAACTTTCCCTCCACCCCATCCTCTGTGGCCACCTGACCCCGGCCCGTGGGAGCTACAGCAGGGAGTGCAGCAGACACATGGCCAACCCAGGGACCCCACTGCAGGGCCTCATGCCCCCCGCCTGCCCTCCGCTCTCTCTGTGTGGGCAGCGCTCACCAGCCTCCCTGGGTGCCGTCCACCTGGGCTCGGCTGCTAAGGGCTGTGAGAGGCTTGTTCAGCCTGGGAGGACTCAGGGCGGCTGGGATGAGTCGTGTGGAAGGGCGGTCAGAGTGCGATGGTCCTAACCCGAGGCACCAGCCCCTCCTTCCCCGTCCCCCTGTGCCTTCCTCCAGCCCCCCGACCTCGGGGACCCAGCAGCCCCTCCCACCTCTGCCCTCCTCCCTGCAGACTGGGCCACATTCGCTGTGGGTCCCGGCCACGGTGTGCAGCTGCCCTCAGGCCGCCTGCTGGTACCCGCCTACACCTACCGCGTGGACCGCCGAGAGTGTTTTGGCAAGATCTGCCGGACCAGCCCTCACTCCTTCGCCTTCTACAGCGATGACCACGGCCGCACCTGGCGCTGTGGAGGCCTCGTGCCCAACCTGCGCTCAGGCGAGTGCCAGCTGGCAGCGGTGGACGGTGGGCAGGCCGGCAGCTTCCTCTACTGCAATGCCCGGAGCCCACTGGGCAGCCGTGTGCAGGCGCTCAGCACTGACGAGGGCACCTCCTTCCTGCCCGCAGAGCGCGTGGCTTCCCTGCCCGAGACTGCCTGGGGCTGCCAGGGCAGCATCGTGGGCTTCCCAGCCCCCGCCCCCAACAGGCCACGGGATGACAGTTGGTCAGTGGGCCCCGGGAGTCCCCTCCAGCCTCCACTCCTCGGTCCTGGAGTCCACGAACCCCCAGAGGAGGCTGCTGTAGACCCCCGTGGAGGCCAGGTGCCTGGTGGGCCCTTCAGCCGTCTGCAGCCTCGGGGGGATGGCCCCAGGCAGCCTGGCCCCAGGCCTGGGGTCAGTGGGGATGTGGGGTCCTGGACCCTGGCACTCCCCATGCCCTTTGCTGCCCCGCCCCAGAGCCCCACGTGGCTGCTGTACTCCCACCCAGTGGGGCGCAGGGCTCGGCTACACATGGGTATCCGCCTGAGCCAGTCCCCGCTGGACCCGCGCAGCTGGACAGAGCCCTGGGTGATCTACGAGGGCCCCAGCGGCTACTCCGACCTGGCGTCCATCGGGCCGGCCCCTGAGGGGGGCCTGGTTTTTGCCTGCCTGTACGAGAGCGGGGCCAGGACCTCCTATGATGAGATTTCCTTTTGTACATTCTCCCTGCGTGAGGTCCTGGAGAACGTGCCCGCCAGCCCCAAACCGCCCAACCTTGGGGACAAGCCTCGGGGGTGCTGCTGGCCCTCCTGACAGGCCTTCTGGCCGTGCCCATGCCCCTTGGGTGCCTGGGGCAGAGGGGTGGAATACGTTGGGGTGCCCCACGATAGCTGTGGGGGGGGCTCTTAGTGCAGGATCCTGTGGATTAGAAACAAGTTGCTCCTCAGAGCTCTCAAGCAGGGACTGCTCTTTAGGAAGGGGAGCAGCGGCTGGGAGTGAGCAGGGCAGGGTGGGGGCAGGGTGGGGGCACGAAGTGGGCCCTGGGTGACCCCCACAGCTCCCTTCCGAGGCTGCAGGGCCAGGCGCGGGACCGCAGGTAGCCCAGGGTGTTGTGGGTGGCAGCACTTGTTTACTGGCTGCTTTCTGGCTCGAAATAAAGGAATCGTGCTTGTGTCGGGGTAGACGTTTCTTTCCTTTTCAGGTTCCAGCCCTGGGGAGGGGAGTTCTGCTGTAGCCCACTTCTCTGACCCCCATCCCAAAATCCCGCTGCCTTAGCAAAGCTCTACTCCTAAATGTCCTGGGGCCAGCAGAGGGAAGGCGGGAGGGAGGAAGTGGCCTCCGCCCCTGGCCTCCGGTGACAGTGATTTGCAAGTGGTCTGCTGTGCTCTCTGAACTTCCTGCTGGAGGAGTAGGAGGTAGGGCCTCTCCCCGCAGAGTTGAACGCCAGGAGGGGGTCACCTTCCAGGACCAGTCCAGTGTCCTGCTCCCCTGACCCCACCCTGGAGGGGGCTTGGGCTCCACTGGGGCTGTTTCCCCAGGGAAGTTCCTTTTTATTTCTTCTCCTTTTATAGTCTTCATTTCTGATGATAAAAGCAACATATGCTTACTGTAGAAAATCTGGAAAACGAGCCGGGCGCGGCGGCTCACGCCTGTAATCCCAGCACTTTGGGAGGCCAAAGCAGGTGGATCACCTGAGGTCAGGAATTCGAGACCAGCCTGGCCAACATGGTGAAATCCCGTCTCTACTAAAAATACAAAAATTAGCTGGATGTGGTGGTGGGCACCTGTAATCCCAGCTACTCGGGAGGCTGGGGCAGGAGAATCACTTTAACCTAGGAGGTGGAGGTTGCAGTGAGCCAAGATTGTGCCACTGCCCTCCAGCCTGGGTGACAGAGTGAGACTCTGAAAAAAAAAAAAGAAAATCTGGAAAATGTAGAAAACTATAAAGAAGAAAGAGAAGTGAGCCCCCGGGCCCCTGTCCCCACGGGCCCTTCCTTCTGGCTTCCTTTCAACGGTCCTGCCCAGCCTGCTGTCACGCCCATGGACGACGGCGCCAGCCGGGGGGTGCACACGTGTGTCCCACCCATGGATGATGGCACCAGCTGGGGGGTGCACACGTGTGTCACACCCGTGGACGATGGCATCAGCCAGGGGGTGCACACGTGTGCCACCTTCTTCCCGGCCCTGAATTGTGTGTGATGGGCTCCTTTGCATGTCTCTGGGTCTGGTCACCCCTTGGGGTGGCTTCGGTGACCACTCCCAAGGGTGGGGACCCACGGCCAGCCCCCAGCAGTGCGGAGCGTCCAGGTGGTCTCTGAGTTGCCGAGGGTCCCCAGGGGAGCAGAGATGACCTCCCCTTGCGGCCCCCTTTTCCCCAGCAACTGCCCTGCCAGGACGGCTGCTGCCTGAGAGGGGACACCACTGGGTTCCAGACGGGGGCAGGATGGGGGCCTGGATCCGGGGCCCCTGACAGCCCTGAGTTCCCACAATCACCCCGGGCCCCTCCCCACCTCAGGCAGCCTCAGCCCCTCATAGGAGGGGCCCGTTGCCCGGGCCCTGGCAGTGCTGGTTTTAGGGGGTCTGTGTCTTAGTCCCTTGGGGCTGCCAAAATGAAATACACAGACCAGGGGCCTTGGAAACAACAGAAATGTATTTATCACGGTTCTGGAGGCTATAAGTCCAAGGTCAAAGTCTGTGATCATGAGGGCAGGCTCCGTGTCTGGTAAGGGCCCAGTTTCCGGCTAGTGGATGGCGGCCTCTGGCTGTGTCACACACGGCGGGAGGGAGAGGTCTCTCCTGGGTCTCCTGTATGGGACACTATCCCATTCATGAGGGCTCCACCCTCCCAGGAGGCCCCACCTCCTGACCTTATCACCCTGGAGTTAATATTTCAACATGGGAATCTGGGGTGCACGTGTAGATCACGTGCTGGGTGCCTTGTGTCACGTGTGTGTCCTGACTTGTGGCCCGTGTGTAGGTCACATGCTGGGTACATTGTGTCATGCATGTGTCCTGGCTCATGGCCCGTGTGTAGGTCGTGTGCTGGGTGCATCCTGTCATGCGTGTGTCCTGGCTCGTGGCCCGTGTGTAGGTTGTGTGCTGGGTGCATCCTGTCATGCGTGTGTCCTGCCTCGTGGTGTGTGTGTAGGTTGTGTTCTGGGTGCATCCTCTCATGCGTGTGTCCTGGCTCGTGGCCCGTGTGTAGGTCGCGTGCTGGGTGCATCCTCTCATGCGTGTGTCCTGGCTCGTGGCCCGTGTGTAGGTCATGTGCTGGGTGCATCCTGTCATGCGTGTGTCCTGGCTCGTGGCCCGTGTGTAGGTTGCGTGCTGGGTGCATCCTGTCGTGTGTGTCCTGGCTCGTGGCCCGTGTGTAGGTCGTGTGCTGGGTGCATCCTGTCATGCGTGTGTCCTGCCTCGTGGTGTGTGTGTAGGTTGTGTGCTGGGTGCATCCTCTCATGCATGTGTCCTGGCTCATGGCCCGTGTGTAGGTCGTGTGCTGGGTGCATCCTGTCATGCGTGTGTCCTGCCTCGTGGTGTGTGTGTAGGTTGTGTGCTGGGTGCATCCTCTCATGCATGTGTCCTGGCTCATGGCCCGTGTGTAGGTCGTGTGCTGGGTGCATCCTGTCATGCGTGTGTCCTGCCTCGTGGTGTGTGTGTAGGTTGTGTGCTGGGTGCATCCTCTCATGCGTGTGTCCTGGCTCGTGGCCTGTGTGTAGGTCGTGTGCTGGGTGCATCCTGTCATGCGTGTGTCCTGCCTCGTGGTGTGTGTGTAGGTTGTGTGCTGGGTGCATCCTGTCATGCGTGTGTCCTGGCTCGTGGCCCGTGTGTAGGTCGTGTGCTGGGTGCATCCTCTCATGCGTGTGTCCTGGCTCGTGGCCCGTGTGTAGGTCGTGTGCTGGGTGCATCCTGTCATGCGTGTGTCCTGGCTCGTGGCTAGCAGGGTCATCACAGTCCACTCTTCTGCCTTCAGATCTGAAGCAAAGGAGCCACAGGCCTCTCTGGGGTTCTGGAAGCCGTGGAGCCCACTGCAGCTCTGCATGGCCCATTCTTCGTCATTCTCTTCTATACTGGGGTGAGCGGCGTCCCCAGCTTCATGTCCCCCTGGAAGCTCAGACTTTGCTACCTTATTTGCAAGTAGGGCCTTTGCAGACGTGATGGAGGTAAGAGGAGGTCATACTGGATTGCAGTGGGTTTAGCCCAGTGACGTCCGTCCTTGTGAGTCACAGACGCAGGGAGGAGCCATGTGAAGGTGGAGGCAGAGGCTGCAGTGATGCCGCCACCAGCCACGGGGGCTGCTCAGAGCTGGAAGAGGCTGAAGGACCCTGCGCTGGAGCCTTCAGAGAGGGTGCGGGCCTGTCACCCTTGGCTTCAGACGGCCTCCAGAGCCGCGAGAGGACGCATTTGCATTGCTTCAGCCGCCAGTCGGTGAGATTTGTTGCGGCAGCCTGGGAAGCAGCACACCTTCCTGCCTTTGCCGTCTGTCCGTCCGTCCGTCTGTCCACATGGGCCTCAGACCCCGGGGGATCCTGGCCGTCACTGCCCGGCCATGTGCAGCCTCGGCCTGTGTCAGACAGACTTGGGCTCGAGGTCCCCAGGAGCTCCGGTCGCCGTGGTGGAGCCTCTCGATGTCTCGGGCTGTCTGCGGCTGGAGCACCCTCTGAGCTGGGGTTGGGTCAGGTCTGAAGAAGGGGCCGGAGCTGGCCCTGCCAAGGGCCCCTCCTAGCAGCCGTGGCCTCCTCAGGTGGGGCCCAGGGCTCCGAGGCCCTGACTCCTCCAGGTCTGGGCAGCTGCTCAGGACCGGGGAAGGCTCTGCCAGGTGTGATGCCCCAGGCTGGGAGAGGGTGTGGCGGGGGGGCTGCCTGGCTCAGGGCAGGTTGAGCCCTTCCTCCTGCCCTCCTGCCACTGCCCCAGCTGTGGCAGGCTCAGGACATCTGGTGTCTGCTGGTGGGGGGGTCGCTGTGCCTGGGGACAGTCCTTCCCCCCTGCTGCACTGGGAGTTCCTCTGGCATCCTGGGAGGCCTGTGCCTCGAGAGAGACCAGCCCCCTAGATTCCTCCCACCACGGGCGGCTCCCCGGCACCCAACCGGCTCCTGAGCCCCTGCCCCACCTCCACATTCCCGATGGCTGCTCTCCCAGCCTCTTTTCCTTCCTTCCACCCCTGTATGGTTTCGATCTGTGTCCCCTCCCAAATCTTATGTCGAATTGTAATTCCCAGTGTTGGAGGTGGGGCCTGGTGGGAGGTGACTGGATCATGGGGTGGACTCTCAGGAAGGGTTTACTGCTATCGCCTCGGTGCTGTCCTCATGACAGCGAGTTCCCCCGAGACCTGGCTGTTTAAAGGTGTGCGGCACCTCCCCACCTTGCTGCTGCTTTCGCCATGTGACGTGCCTGCTCCCCCTTCTCTTCCACCAGGATTGTGGGTTTCCTGGGGCCTCCCCGGAAGCCGAGCAGATGCCAGCACCACGCTTCCTGTAGAGCCTGCAGAACCGGGAGCCGATTAAACTTCTTTTCCTTAAGAATCACCCAGCCTCCGGTGTTCCTTCACAGTAGGGTGAGGGGGGCGAACGCACACCCTGAGCCTTAGGGGCAACTCCTGCTGCTGTGCCCAGGCTGGGCCGGGCAGTGGCTCAGGAACGTGGCGGGGAACACGGTGCCAGTGCTGGGGTCAGGGCTCTGTCGTGGAGGCAGGATGTCTCTGTGGTTCCTTCCTAACCCTCATCCTTTTACCTCTTGTCCTGGCTTACTGGGCTGGCAAGGACCTCCAGGAAGATGTTAAACAGCCTTGATGTCTGATAGGCCAAACAAGGGCCCGGAAGCCGTCTGCATCCTCATTCCGGGGCCTGCACCATGACGTCATGGCGAAGGGCTGCGCCGAGGGGGCCGGCTGAGGGTCTTGAGGTGAGAAATCATCCTGGTCATCTGGGTGGGTCCAGGGTCTCACCAGGGTCCTTATGGGAGGGGACAAAGGGTGGGAGAGGAGGGAGGAGGCCTTGGAGCTGGGTTTGAAGATGGAGGAGGGGCCACAGCTGAGGAGCCGGTGGCCTCTGGAAGCTGGAAAAGACGGGAAGCGAAGCCCGGACAGCCTGCAGAGGAACCAGCCTTGCGGACCCCTTGATGTTAGCCCGGGGAGGCCATGTCAGACCCCCGGCCCCCAGAACTTCTGGGGATGCATTTGTGTCGTTTCAACCTCCAGGTCTGTGTGATTTGCTATGCAGCCTCGGGAAACAGCTGTGTGGCCACCAGGGTCCCACCCTGCTCCCGCCTTCTGGGCTCCAGGACGCAGGTGTGGGACCCCTCACCATCCGCATGGCCCTCTGCTGTGCACTCTCCTTCTCGTTCGTGTCTGTGCTGCATTCTGGTTGGTTTTCCTTGGCTTTTTTTTTTTTCTAGTTCACGAATTCTCTCTTTGCTGTGTTTAATCAGCTGGGAGTTACTCTCTTGCTCCCTCTCTCCCTCCCCCATCCTTTCTCTGTCCTTGTCTCTCTGTCTCTGTGTCTGTCTCTGTTTCTCTTTGTGTTTGTGTCTCTCTCTGTCTCTGTGTCTTGGGCTGTCTCTCTTTGTGTTTGTGTCTGTCTCTTTCCGTGACTCTGTCTCCCTCTGTGTCTCTGACTCTGTGTCTCTGTCTCTCTGTGTCTCTGACTCTGTGTCTGTCTGTGTCTCTGACTCTGTGTCTCTGTCTCTCTGTGTCTCTGACTCTGTGTCTCTGTCTCTCTGACTCCGTGTCTCTTCTCTGTGTCTCTGAGTCTGTCTCTGTGTCTCTGTCTCTCTTTCTCTGTCTCTGAGTCTGTCTCTGTCTCTTTGTGTCTCTGACGCTTTCTGTCCCTGTCTCTCTCTGTGTCTCTGTCTCTGTGTCTCTGTCTCTGACTCTGTATCTCTGTCTCTCTATGTCTCTGACTCCGTGTCTCTGTCTCTCTCTGTGTCTGAGTCTGTCTCTGTGTCTCTGTCTCTCTTTCTCTGTGTCTCTGTCTCTGTGTCTCTGTCTCTCTGTCTCTGACTCTGTGTCTCTGTCTCTCTGTGTGTCTGTCTCTGTGTGTCTGTCTCTGTGTCTCTGTCTCTGTGTCTCTGTCTCCCTGTGTCTCTGTCTCTCTCTCTGTGTCTCTGTCTCTCTCTTTCTCTGTGTCTCTGTCTCCCTGTGTCTCTGTCTCTCTCTTTCTCTGTGTCTCTGTCTCTGTGTCTCTCTCTGTCTCTGTATCTCTGTCTCTCTGTCTCTGACTCTGTGTCTCTGTCTCTCTGTGTCTCTCTCTGTGTCTCTGTGTCTCTCTCTGTGTCTCTGTCTCCCTGTGTCTCTGTCTCTCTCTTTCTCTGTGTCTCTGTCTCTGTGTCTCTCTCTGTCTCTGTATCTCTGTCTCTCTGTCTCTGACTCTGTGTCTCTGTCTCTCTGTGTCTCTCTCTGTGTCTCTGTGTCTCTCTCTGTGTCTCTGTCTCCCTGTGTCTCTGTCTCTCTCTTTCTCTGTGTCTCTGTCTCTGTGTCTCTCTGTCTCTGTATCTCTGTCTCTCTGTCTCTGACTCTGTGTCTCTGTCGTGTCTCTGTGTCTCTCTCTGTGTCTCTGTGTCTCTCTCTGTGTCTCTGTCTCCCTGTGTCTCTGTCTCTCTCTTTCTCTGTGTCTCTGTCTCCCTTTGTGTTCTTCTCCACGACGTTCTCTTTGTCTGACTTTCTGCTCCTGCCGCGTGCGCAGAGGGGCGAGGAGGAAGCATTTGCGCATGCGCAGAAGGCTCGCTCCACGCCACGTGCTTCAAGCGCGTCGTTCCGTTTAGTATGAAATAAAGGCCCGCGGGGTGGAGAACGTGTCTGTTTTCCAGATGTGGAGATCAAGGCCCGGCAAGTCCTCTGTTGTTGACGGTTCTCAGGTGGTAGAAACGATCTCGCAGCGCACCTGCGTGGCTTCCGAAACCGTTGTCTCAAGCGTGTTCCACTTGATGTGATTAAAAAAGTTCTCGTGGCCCCAAGCACCTGCTTTACCTGCTCAGACCAGAGTGTCGTTCCGTCCCATTCATTCCGCAGCTTTCCCCGAACGCACACAAGTGAAATGTAAATGTCAGTGTGTGTGTATCTATCTCCCGTTTCTCCCAAAGCGAGACCGTCAGCTGCTATCACTGCACAGCGATGCGGGGACCAGGCCCGGTCCCTTCAGCCCGGGGCTTCGGCCCCCGGCGTTGTCTGACCCTCGTGCTCAGCTGTTCCTGCTTCTTCAGGTTCCCAAGGCATCCCCAGCCAGCTTCCCTCCTGCAAACCCCCACCCTGGGAGCTTGACCAATGACATCGACATCTTTCAATACTTGAATCCTGACTACTTCTTCTTCTTCTTCTTTTTTTTTTTTTGAGATAGAGTCTCTGTCTTCCAGGCTGGAGTGCCGTGTTGTGATATCTGCTCACTGCAACCTCGGCCTCCCGGGCTCAAGCGATTCTCCTGCTGTAGCCTCCTGAGTAGCTGGGATTACAGGCATCTGCCACTACGCCTGGCTAATTTTTGTATTTTTAGTAGAGATGGGGTTTCACCATGTTGGCCAGGCTGGTCTCAAACTCCTGACCTCAGGTAATCCGCCTGCCTCAGCCTCCCAAAGTGCTGGGATTACAGGTGTGAGCCACTGTGCCCAGCCTCATTCTTCTTCTTTTTTTTTTTTTTTTGAGATGAAGTCTCACTCTGTCGCCCAGGCTGGAGTGCAGTGGCGTGATCTCTGCTCACTGCAATCTTCACCTCTTAGGTTCAAGTGATTCTCCTGCCTCAGCCTCCTGAGTAGCTGGGATTACAGGCACGCACCACTATGCCCAGCTAATTTTTTGTAGTTTTAGTAGAGACAGGGTTTCACCACGTTGGTCAGACTGGTCTCAAACTCCTGACCTTATGATCCACCCACCTCCGCCTCCCAAAGTGCTGGGATTACAGGCGTGAGCCACAGCGCCCGGCCCTCATTCTTCTTAATAATTGCATGAGAGCTGCTGGTGGGAGTGTGAAATGGTGCAACCACTGTGGAAAACAGTAGCCATATCACTTCTCAGAAACTTAGAGATGGAATTACTGTATGATCCAGCAGTTACCCCGCAGAATTGAAGGCAGGGTCTCAGAGATACATGTGCACCCAGGTTCACAGCAGCGTTACTCACGATAGCTAAAATGGGGAAGCAGCTGAAGTGTCCATCCATGGGTAAGTGAACAAAACGTGGTCCATCCATACAAGGGAATATGATTCTGTCCTAGGAAGGAAGGGGATTCGACAGTTATTATGACATGGATGGACCCCGAGGATGTTATACTGAGTGAAATAGGCCAGTCACAAAAGGTCAGATATCGTATGATTCCACTCATATGAGGTCTCTGGAGGAGTCAAATTCTTGAGATAGAAAGTAGAATGGTGGCTTCCAGGAGCTGGGGGAGGCGGAGTGGGAGCAAGTGTTTAATGAGGGCAGAGCTTTGGTTTTTCAAGATGGAAAGTTCTGGAGATGGATGGCGGTGATCGCCGCACAACACTGGGAATTAGTTTAACATCATTGAGCCGGCCACTTAAAAATGATTAAGATGGTGTATTTTATCACAAAAAAAAATCAGCAAAAAACTTGCATGATGGATTCTAGAGTGTAGATGTGCTGAAATGTATTCCACATTTCCTTATCAAGGGAAATAAAGATTATTTCTATTTTTTTCCTTACCACTACAAAAATAGCTTCAGTAAATATTCTTGAACATAGATTCTTACAAACTGGAATTTTGATTTCTGTAGGATAGATTCCCAAATGTGGGGTGACTGAGCAAAACAGCTCTATCATTTTTATTTTAATAGAGAATTCTTTCTCAGAGGAAATAGCCATCCCTGTCCCATCAGTCATGCATGGGAAGGCTTGTGTCCTTGCACACCTGCTGGTACTTCACATTATCTGCCTTTTTACTCTTTTTCCAGTGTGATGGGTACACCATGTTATTTGCCAGTCTTGGGTGTAGAGCAGGTGAGAGTGAGCTTCTTGGCCAAACAACAGCATCCAAACCTCCCATTCCATGCTTGCTAATTTCCCTTTTCCTTGCCAGAAAACATGATTCTATTAGGCTCCATGCAATAGAAACTCTCCACTACCATATTTGAGGTGGGTGTCCTTAATAGATGGCATTTGCAAAACAAAACAAAACAGAGGCCGAGTGCAGTGGCTCACGCCTGTAACCTCAGCACTTTGGGAGGCCGAGGCGGGTGGATCACTTGCAGTCAGGAGTTCGAGACCAGCCTGGGCAACATGGCAAAACCCCGACTCTACTAAAAATACAAAGATTAGCTGGGCATGGTGGCGGGTGCCTGTAATCCTAGCTACTTGGGAGGCTGAGGCAGGAGAATCACTTGAACTTGGGAGGTGGAGGTTGCAGTGAGCCAAGATTGCGCCACTGCACTCCAGCCTGGGTGACAGAGTGAAACTCCATCTCAAAACAACAACAAACAAACAAACAAACAAACAAACAAAACTGAGCCCTGGGTTGGGAGTGGGCTCTGGAAGGCATCAAGAACAAAATTGTAAATAATGCAGAATGAGGTGGGGCTGTTATTGTCATTTATCTTCAAAATCTGAGCTATTTATCAAGAATGGTTTGGATGATGGGGAAGGACGGAGGACTGTCTACACAGGCAGATCCCATGGGGAAGGGAATAGGAAACTGGCTGGGGGGTTTCTTCCAGGGTGCCCAAGATAAAGAGTGTCCTTCAATTGGCATTAATGAAACAGGGTGGATGTGAATCCTGGAGTCAGGAGTCCTGACTTCAGACTTCACTTCCAAGCAGCATTACCATGGAACTCCTCAGAGCCTTTTCCCTCATCTAGGTTGGTGGTCCAGAGGCAAATGCAGGACCACCTTTCTGCTTACCAGGCTGTGAGCTCTTTGAGTGTGGCAACCAAGTCTTTGTCATCTTTCTGTTTCTCCCCTACCCCAGCACCTCGCTGAGTGCCTGGAATGTGAGAAAAACTCCATTAATGTGTGTGGAATTAATTATCAAATTAAGGAGTGAATGAAGCCCATGACAGTACCTTGTTTCTCCTGAAGCTACTTTCACAGACAGTTTGTGTGGTCATACTGGGACTGCACAGCCTTTTCTGGGAAGAGCTGAGGGTGGTGGCTGTAGCCTGGGTCTGTAGAGTTTTAGCACTGGGATGCCTGTGGTTGCCTATGAACTCCAAGTAGAATAAACCAAAAGAAAACCACACCTGAGCACATCATAGTAAAAACCACTGAAACCAAAGATGAGGAGAAATTTCAAAGTTGGCCAGATAAATGGATTACCTTGAAAGGCAAGCCCTACTTTGAAAGGGGCCACATTTAGATGAAAAGTTGACTTCTCAAAAGAAACAATGGAAACTGAAAGACAGTGGATACCAGTCGTCAAAAAGTGCAGAACGAAAATAACTGCCAACCTAGAATTCTATACCTAGCAAAAATATCCTTCATGAATAAAGGTAAAATAATGACACTTTCAAATACACAAAAAAGTGATTTTGTCATCAACAGATTCACACTAACAGAAATATGAAAGGGGGCTCTCCAAGTAGAAGAAAAATGATTCTGGATGTAAGGCCAAATGAAGAACAATGGTAAACATAAAAAGTGGGTGAATCCATGAGGTCAGGAGATCGAAACCATCCTGGCCAACATGGTGAAACCCCGTCTCTACTAAAATACAAAAAATTAGCCAGGCATGGTGGTGCATGGCTGTAGTCCCAGCTACTTGGGAGGCTGAGGCAGGGGAATCACTTGAACCTGGGAGGCAGAGGTTGCAGTGAGCTGAGATCACGCCACTGCACTCCAGCCTGGCGACAGAGCAAGACTCCGTCTCAAAAAAAAAAAAAAAAAAAGGTGGGAGGTGAATCTAAATGAAAATGAACTGTAGAAAATTACAACAGCAGCAATGTCTTGTGGGGTTTCAACTATATATAGACTTAAAATACATAATGAAAATAGTACTAAAGCGGAGAGGGAGGTAGATGGAATGAAAGTGTTCTGAAATCCTTGCATTGTTCAAGAAAAGGTGAAAGTACCAATTCATATTAGCCAAGGATGCATGATGAAATCCCTAGTGTCAACACTGAAAGAACAGCAAAATTATATGATCACCAGACTAACAGAGGTGCCAAATGAAAAATAGAAAATGGTCAATTTATAAAAGACAAGGGATTACAGACTTAAATGTTAGACCTAAAACCATAAAAACCCTAGAAGAAAACCTAGGCAATTACATTCAGGACATAGGCGTGGGCACGGACTTCATGACTAAAATACCAAAAGCAATGGCAACAAAAGCCAAAATAGACAAGTGGGATCTAATTAAACTAAAGAGCTTCTGCACAGCAAAAGAAACTACCATCACTATGCAGCCATAAAAAATGATGAGTTCATGTCCTTTGTAGGGACTTGGATGAAATTGGAAATCATCATTCTCAGTAAACTATTGCAAGAACAAAAAACCAAACACCGCATGTTCTCACTCATAGGTGGGAATTGAACAATGAGAACACATGGACACAGGAAGGGGAACATCACACTCTGGGGACTGTTGTGGGGTGGGGGGAGGGGGGAGGGATAGCATTAGGAGATATACCTAATGCTAAATGATGAGTTAATGGGTGCAGCACACCAGCATGGCACATGTATACATATGTAACTAACCTGCACATTGTGCACATGTACCCTAAAACTTAAAGTATAATAATAATAATAATAATAAAAAGAAACTACCATCAGAGTGAACAGGCAACCTACAGAATGGGAGAAAATTTTTGCGATCTACCCATCTGACAAAGGGCTAATATCCAGAATCCACAAAGAACTTAAACAAATTTACAAGAAAAAATCAAACAACCCCATCAAAAAGTGAGCAAAGGATATGAACAGACACTTCTCAAAAGAAGACATTTATGCATCCAACAAACACATGAAAAAATGCTCATCATCACTGGCCATCAGAGAAATGCAAATCAAAACCACAATGAGATACCATCTCACACCAGTTAGAATGGCGATCATTTAAAAGTCAGGAAATGACAGGTGCTGGAGAGGATGTGGAGAAATAGGAACGCTTTTACACTGTTGGTGGGACTGTAAACTAGTTCAACAATTGTGGAAGACAGTGTGGTGATTCCTCAGGGATCTAGAACTAGAAATACCATTTGACCCAGTGATCCCATTACTGGGTATATACCCAAAGGATTATAAATCATGCTGCTATAAAGACACATGCACACGTATGCTTATTGCGTCACTATTCACAATGGCAAAGACTTGGAACCAACCCAAATGTCCATCACTGATAGATTGGATTAAGAAAATGTGGCACATATACAGCATGGAATACTATGCAGCCATAAAAATGGATGAGTTCATATCCTTTGTAGGGACATGGATGAAGCTGGAAACCATCATTCTGAGCAAACTATTGCAAGGATAGAAAACCAAACACCGCATGTTCTCACTCATAGGTGGGAATTGAACAATGAGAACACTTGGACACAGGGTGGGGAACATCACACACTGGGACCTGTCGTGGGGTGGGGGGAGGGGGGAGGGATAACATTAGGAGAAATACCTAATGTAAATGACGAGTTAATGGGTGCAGCACACCAACATGGCACATGTATACATATGTAACAAACATGCACGTTGTGCACACGTACCCTAGAACTTAAAGTATAATAAAAAAATTACCTGACACAATGTAAATGTCTTCAAAATATAAGCTACTATATACATCAGAATTATTAAAAGAATTTTGTGAAGAATCAGAAGTACAACCTCATATCAGATTTACTTTCCTTAAACAAAAATTTTTAACTTAGCACTGCTAATTGTGAAATTTGCAGTTAGCAAATCATTTCTTCCTACTATGAAGAAATAATTAGGCTCCCAAAAATCAACGGAAAGGAATTTGGATATTTTTATTTTACTTTTTTATTTTTTATTTCACTTGCTTTAGGGTACAGGTAGATTTTGGTTATATAGATGAATTGTATAGCGGTGAAGTCTGAGATTTTAGTGCGCCCCACACTCAAGTAGTGTACACTGTATCCAATAGCTAGTTTTTCATCCCTCACTGCCCTCCCAGTCTCCACACTTCTGAGTCTCCAGTGACCATTATAACATTCTACAGGCCTTTGCATACCCACAGCTTAGCTCCTACTTATAAGTGAGAAGCTACTTCACTTAGAATGATGGCTTCCAGCTCCATCGAAGTTGCAGTGAAAGATATTATTTCATTCTTTTTTATGGATGAGTAGCGTTTCCTGTGTATATCTACCACATTTTCTTTATCTGCTTGTCAGCTGATAGGCACACAGATTGGTTCCATATCTCTGCAATTGTGAATTGTGCTGTGATAATCATGCACATGCAGGTGTCTTTTTGATACAATGACTTCTTTTCCTTTGGGTAGATCTGGATTGCTGGATCAAATGGTGATCTGCTTTAAGCTCTTTGAGAAATCTTCATACTGTCCAGTGGAAGAGAATTTGAAACAGTTTATATAAAGATAAATGTTGGTTTACAGATGTTTTAAGTAAAACAAAACAATAAATCATTTAAAAAAAGACAAGGAATGAGAATAAATATACATAGAACAGGCAAGGCCAAAATAGAAAGCAATATTATGGCATCCAATTCAAACCCAAACATATCCAAATTACATTAAACATAAATCGACTAATATTCCAATTAAAAGAACAAAATGGCCATGCAGGCAAAAACCAAAAAACAAACAAACAAAGAAAAAGCCTTCCAAAACGCAACTAAACTCCATTGACAGTAGATTTAGAGAAGATATCGAGATTCAGAAAGATTGACAGTGAAGAGGGGAAACTAGACCACGAGAATATCCACATAAGCTCTCTTTATGTTAGGCAGAGACCTTACAGCTAAAGTTCTGCTAGTGATGCAGGTGACATTTCAAAATGATAAAAATTTTGATTCGCCAGAAAGTTTTAACAGTTTTACTTTTGTATGTACCTAATATGCCTCAAAGTGGACAAACTTATAGGGAAAATATGCATGTTATCAATTGCAGCAGAAAGTTTTCCGCATGAGTCTCTCAATAACCGACAGAGCAAGCAGACAAAAAACATCACTGAGGACAGAAGATGTGGCCAACGTGATGAATGAACCTGACTTAACTCACAAGTGTAGAATCCTGCACAAAACGGCTACAGCACATCCACTCGTCTCAAATACACTCAGATGTGAACACTGACATTATGTTGGGCCACAAAATCCATTCTCCACAAATTTCAAAGGATTGAAAATTACAGTGCAATTGAGCAAGAAATAAAAAGGAGAATTAAACATCACTATGTCCTCAGAAATTAAGAAACACAATTCTAGATAATTCATGGTTCAAAGAAGAAGCCACAGTGGAAATTAGACAATGTTTTGCAATTAGTTATGGAGATACTACATAAAGCTTGTGGGATAAAGCCAAAGCCAGGCTTAGAGGGAAATACATAGCCTCTAAATGCATATATCAGAAAAGAAGAATGACTGACCATCATTGATCTCAAGGAGCTGCATAAAGAACAGCGAATTAAATCCAAAGAAAGAAGGAAGAGAATAGTGAAGATGAGGACAAAATGATGGAAAAATGATACCGTAGAGCGAATTGAAAAAGCCAAGGTTTAGTGTTTGAAAAGACTAATAAAGTTGATAAGCCCTTGATGAGGCTGCTCATGAGAAAAAGAAAGAAAACATGAATAACTGGTACCAGGAATGACAAAGGATGCGCTGGAGATCCTGCGGGCAGTCAGAGATTTCAAAATTGTGTTATGATCCAATGAGAACACATGGACACAGGGAGGGGAACATCACACACCGGGGCCTGTGGGCGGGAGGGGAGGCAGTGAGGGGAGGGAGAGCATCGGGACAAATAGCTAATGCATGCGGTGCTTAGAACCTAGGTGACAGGTTGATAGGTGCAGCAAACCACCATGGCACATGTATACCCATGGAACAAACCTGCATATGTATCCGGAACTTAAAGTAAAATAAAAATTAAAAACAAACAAACAAAAAAGATGTTATGATCATTTTAATGCCAATAAACTTGCCAATTGAGATGAAATGGATAATTCTTGGAAAATACAATTTATTAAAATAAATATAAGATTACATAGAAAATCTGAAAAAAATCTTATTAAAGAAATTGAATCCATCATTTAAAATCTGCACACTAAGAAGACTCCAGGTCTACATGGCTTTCCCAGTAAACTCTGTCAAACACTTAAGGGCAAAAATCACACGTAGATGTCTTCCTGCAGAGAGCAGGGCTCTGAGCCCCGGCACTGTGAGGGGCTGCCGTGGGTGACACGACCCCCTCCTCTCTCCTACGCCACCAGGACGTGCGTGTTCCTCCCTTGGAGGGAGAGGCCATCAAGGAGCTTAGAAACATTCAGTATGCTACGAAAAATAAAGTACAAAAGTGTAACTAATACAACCACCAAAGCTTGGCCCACGAAAAAAAATTGATAAGAAAAGGTGATATAACACTGTTAAGACAGAGAAAAGATAAGCCACAGACTGAGAGAAAATCTTCACTGAACTCGTGCCTGATAAAGGACCAGGACCAGTGTTCAAAATAGTCAAGGTACTTTTAAAACTCAGCAATAAAAAAAAATCTGTTTAAAAAACAGGCCAAAGATCTGAAAGGACACCTTATCAAAGAAGATATATGGATGGCAAATAAGCATGTGAAAAAATACTTTGCAGGCGGAGGCAGGGGGATCACAGAGGCCAGGAGTTGGAGAGCAGCCTGGGCAACATGGTGAGACACCCTATCCCTAAAAAAAAAAATAAAATAAATAAATTATCTGGGTGTGGTGGTGCACAGCTATAGTCCCAGCTACTTGGGAGGTTGAGGCAGGAGGATTGTGTGAAACAAGGAGTTCAAGGCTGCAGTGAGCCGTGATTGCACCACTGCATTCCAGCCTGGGCAACAGCCAGACCCTGTGTCTTAAAAAAAAGGATGCTCAACACCGTATGTCATCAGGGAAATGCAAATTAAATAACACTACTGCATACCGACTGGAATGGCCCAAATCCAAAACACTGACAACACCAAGCGCTGGTGGAGACGTGGACGTTTCATTCATTTATTGCTGGTGGGAAAATGGTACTTTGGAAAAAAATTTGGCAGTTTCTTACAAAACTAAACATACTTTTATCATACGATCTAGAAATTGTGTCTCTTGGTATTTATCCAAAGGAGTTGGAGACTTATGTACCCATAAAAGCTTGCGTAGGATGAATTTATAGCAGCTTTATTCATAATGGCCAAAACGTGGAGGGAACCAAGATGTCCTTTCGTAAGTGAGTGGATAAATAGCCCGTGGTCCATCCAGACAATGGAAGATGACTCAGCACTAAATGAAATGAGCCATCGAGCCCTTCAAAAGCACGGAGGAAACTTAACTCATATTAGTAAGTGAGAGGAGCTGTGGACTTAAAAATCGCACTTTATAAATTTAGAGTTTTATTTCTTAAGAAGGAGATGACAACCTACAGGTGGAAGCCGAAGCTCCAGCTGAAAACCAAAAGTAAGCACTTTGAAAGAGGGGAGGGTGGAACGGAATTTATGCTGAATGAGCCGGACACATATGCATATTCAGCAGGTTATAGAAACATCTTATGAATAGTTATGAGAGAGTCCTACACTGCATACAATAAACGGGCATGTTATATACCACCCACGTTCACCTTGGGGTGGAGACTGCACATCTAACTGCGTTACAATCAGGCCCTGCACGTCAGAAGGTGGAGCCGGGACGGGAAGCACTCGGTGCGCAGCCTCTGTAAACCAGAACCAGTCCGGGGCTGGGGGTCCCTGCTCAGGGGACAGTTACTGAAATGCGGCTGTTGTCCGATGGCAGCTGTGGTTCTGGCTGGGGGAGCAGGGGTCAGCGAGGCAGTGTCTGGCAGGGGGTGAGCTGCACCTGCTTTAACGTTGTTCGTCTCAAGGCCAGCGTTTGGGTGTCAGAGAAAAAGAAAACTCCCGTGGCAGGTAGAACATAAATAAGTGCAGCGTGTGTGACTTCGCCCCTGCCTGGGGTGGCCTCAGGTCCCGTTGATAATGTGGCGTCTTATGGCCACAGTCGGTTCTGCCAGGCGATGTTCTCTATCTCAACACTCATGCTGGGCAGTTGCTGCGTCTAACCACACAGGGGAGGGGTGTCATGGGACGCATCTGATCTCCTGTCCCCTCAGGGCTGAGAACTCCATTTTTCAGGTTTCTCTGGGGTCCCCTTGACCAAGGGGTGAGGAGCCCGTCGGTTCAGTCAGTTGGGTGGCTTAGAATTTTATTTTTCGTCTCCATTTCCCGCTTTTGGCTGAGATTTGCCATAGGCAGCATCCACGGCCAAACCTTTATCTTGGCCCACCTTGTTGCTGGGGGAGGTGGGGCTACCTGCCCTGGTCCCTCCAGCCCTTCAGTGGAACCCTGATTGCCAAGGGGCTTACAGCTAAAAGACTTACAGCCAACTCAACGTTCTGGGCCAGGCGGAATTGGAGGTAATATAAGAGCTGAAAACCAAAAGCCAAAAGGCGAAGTGACAAAACTGGCTTATCTATAAGTTCCAAGTGTTGAGCTATCATAATTTTGGTCTCAGTCTCTGACTTGTAGCAATTAGCTACACGAAACGTAAGCATTTTGTTAAAACCATTTCAGCTAAGGAATTTAGAGACTTTGATATGCTGCTGTGCTTTTTGTGGTCTTTTTAGTAATTTGTCCTAAGGCGGCCAATACCGTTTTAATTGTATCTCTATTTGTATAAATCCCATAACTGGGAACAGCTGTATTCTGGAGGCTGTGTCACTAGGTGTCATTACATCCTCTTGGTAATTAAGTCTATGGGAAGCAGGAAATTCTTTAGAGGGTTAGAGTTGGAGGGATGGAGAGGGAACCACCTAATGGCCCAGGAGGCACAGTCCCTTGATTTGTCAGCAGTGCAGGCATCTATGCACTGTCCTTGATTTGGAGGGTCTGAGCTAGTTTTTTTTTTTTTTTTTTTTTTTTTTTTTTTTTTTTTTGAGATGGAGTCTCACTCTGTCACCCAGGCTGGAGTGCAGTGGCATGATCTCGGCTCACTGCAACCTCTGCCTCCCGGGTTCAAGCCATTCTCCTGCGTCAGCCTCCAGAGTAGCTGGGATTACAAGCGCGTGCCACCATGTGAAGCTAGTTTTTGTATTTTTAGTAGAGACGGGTTTCACCATGTCGGCCAGGCTGGTCTCGAACTCCTGACCTTGGATGATCCGCCTGCCTTGGCCTCCCAAAGTGGTGGGATTACAGGCATGAGCCACCGCACCCAGCCTGAACTAGTTTTATCCTTTGAAGCCAGCCCTTACCATCTCACGCCCCCTTCTCTTCCTCAGCAGTCCCTGGGCCTAGACAGAGGGTGCTTGATATGGTATAGCTTCAGCAACAGCTCCAGGAGACTTTGAATGAGAGAGATTTGAGAGATAAATGGCATTAATAATTTGAGTGGTAGAATTATAACGTACAGGCATAATGTGTCTGGAGTTGGTTCCTTTGGTGGTTTCGTGGTCTCGCTGACTTCAAGAATGAAGCCACGGACTTTTGCAGTGAGTGTTACAGCTCTCAAAGATGGCACACATCCAAAGGGTGAGCAGTAGCAAGGTTTATTGTGAAGAGCAAGAGAACAAAGCTTCCACACCATGGAAGGGGACCTGAGCAGGTTGTTGCTGCTGGCTGGGGTGGCCAGCTTTTATTCCCTATTTGTCCCCTCCCATGTTCCATTTTTGTCCCATCAGAGTGCCCTTTTTTCAATCCTCCCTGTGATTGGCTACTTTTAGGATCCTGCTGATTGGTGCATTTTACAGAGTGCAGATTGGTGTATTTTACAGAGCGCTGATTGGTGCATTTTACAATCCTCTTGCTAGCTACAGAGCGCTGATTGGTGCATTTTTACAGAGCGCTGATTGATGTGTTTTACGATCCCCTTGCTAGCTACAGAGCTCTGACTGGTGCGTTTTACAATCCTAGCTACAGAGCTCTGATTGGTGCGTTTTACAATCCTCTTGTAAGACAGAAAATTTCTGCAAGTCCCCACGCCACCCAGGAAGTCCAGCTGGCTTTGCCTCTCAACAAGAATTTATGCGCCCCTAACAGGAAGAAAGGAATCAACCCCATTAGGGAGCCAACTAAAACGATCATGAAGAAAATTACAACCTGGATCCTCTTTAGAGATGTGTAGCCAAGAGATAATTCAAGACTCAGTTTGAATTATAGGCAAAAAATAAAACTCAAGAACAGTGGTCGGGGCTGGAATTGCAGAACAAGTGTTTTCTTTTGAAACGTAATTTTTTTCATCTCTTTAGTTCCCCCTTTCTACCACAGAGAAATAATAATAAGACCAATTTGTGTACAAAATAAGTTTTAGTCTTATTCTATTTGGCTTGATCATTTGTGTAAATTGCAGCAGGAATAGCAGCTGGCCGTGTAGGCTCTTTTTAAATTGGCTTTGCTGGAACTTTATCGGAAAGTGTTATTTCAGTCAAAGGTCTTGTTAAAATAATATCCCCAAAGTGTCCTGTTACAAAAGAAAATGTATTCTTATTGAACTTATGCAAACCACCATATTGCTGTAAGTAAGAATGCTCATGAATAGTTTTTGAATTCTGGAGGTAGAAGGTAGAGAGAGAAAGCTGAACTTTGTTATTTTACTCAGTTTCTGTCACCTATAAATAGGTTAAAAGAAAAAAGGTTTTCTTGACTTTGGAAAACAAAACAAAGAATCAGTAACACTTTAAATACAAAGGCAATAAGCGCTGTTCAGTTCTGATAAGAACAGGAAAAGGAAGCTCACAGGTAGCTAAACATCTAAAGTATATAGTACTAAGACATAGAGCAAATTATATTAATTCAGATAGAGGGAAAACTATGAAATGTCTTAACGTCTTGGAGTATAAACCCAGCCCTGTGTCTCATGAAAGCCGTTCACTTCGATGGTTGTCTTCCCCCGGATCTGAAGACAAGGCTTTGGTTAGCTTGAGTTTGGTTTCAGATACCAGTGTGGAATGTTCAAGATTCAGCAGGAGTTGGTGCCTTTTTTAGGTGATGTGATACGGTTTGGCTGTGTGTCCCCACCCAAATCTCATCTCGAATTGTAATCCCCATGTGTTGAGGGAGGGACCTGGTGGGAGCTGATTGGGTCATGGGAGCTTGTTTCCCCCACGCTGTTCTCGTGATACTGAGTGAATTCTCTCGAGATCTGATGGTTCGATAAGGGGCTCTTCCCCCTTTGCTCTTTCTCTCTCCCCTGCCATGATGAACAGGATGAACGCAAAATTAAATTAAGACGTACCTTGCTTCCCCTTCACCTTCCACCATGATTCTAAGTTTCCTGAGGCTTCCCCAGCCATGGGGAACTGTGAGTTAATGAACCCTCTTTTGTTGATAAATTACCCCGTCTCAGGTAGTGTCTTTACAGCGTGTGAAATCAAACTCATACAGGCTCTCGGGGCATTTGTAGCTGCAATGCTCCCTGCCTGGGATGCCTTTCCTTTGCATCTTCCTCTGGCTGTCACCTCTTTTGTTTATAAATTACCCAGTCTCGGGCAGTTCTCTATAGCAGTGTGAAAACAGACTCATACTCTATGTGTGCCCAGGAGTCAACTCCCTGTAACTTGGTAGCACATGGATTTGTTAATAGTACCTTTTAAGGACCCTTCCAAAGTGCAGGGGAAAGAGTCCTGTAACTGATGTTTCTTCCAGTGTATGTAATCAGCAGGCTGGAGGTGGTGATTTTGGAGTTCATGACACAACTGGAAGCTGCAAAAAGATTTTACAGGCCAGGTGTGGAGGCTCACTCCTATAATCCCAGCACTTTGGGTTCACTTGAACCCAGGAGTTCGAGGCTGCGGTGAGCTATGACTGTGCCACTGCACTCCAGCCTGGGCAACAGAGTGAGACTCTGTCTCAAAAAAATATGTATAATCTCGTAATGATTCATTTTTATAGCTTTGATGATCCTGCCTGCAATAAGTCTAAGTGAGATGCTTAATGTAGGATTTGATTTTGAGGACTTTTGTGAAAGATGTTAAAAGGCTCAAAACATTTGATCAAAATAGAATCCTAGGTCATTGTAAAATAATAGTTACTCATGTAACCATTGCCATCTTCAATGGCAAGGCAGAAAGTTACATGGATGTAAAAACAAGCTCAGTTTTCATAAGCAATCAAAAAACCAAATAAAAATGACACTGGAAATTATCTTGATAAAATGCAAAATCTTCGTTTTTTGAGGCCAGTTACTCAAAAGGCAAAGAAACACCTTCTGCAGTCATTGTTTCTCCTCTGGAAGCCCATTGAGCTAACCTGCAAGTCAAACCTGATGAAAAAGGATATTTGAATTTAGTCAGGTGCAGGAAGAGTGTGTCTAGGGTCATGAGTGTACCTGATGTTATGGAGGAAAGGAAACAAGAAAACCAGCACCTTGAGCAGGGCAATGCATGACTCTTAGTAACAGCATGAGAAGTTTCCTGGCTATACTGAACAATGTATAACAAGAAAAGCCAAGAGTACAGAATCAAGTTATATGAAGGAAAACATTGCTTTTCTAGACCTTTAAGATCAACATTTCAGCATCAGGCCACAGCAGTAGTTACAATTGGAAAAGAAAGTTACAGGAGCTGATGAAAAAAAAGGCTGAAAGGGAAGGTTATCATCCCAACCAAGCAAAAAGATACACCTTGGCAAGGGCACAAGAACAGAAGGCAAGGATCAACACAGAATTAAACATCAATTTTTTTTTTTTTTGAGATGGAGTCTTGCTTTGTTACCAGGCTGGAGTGCAGTGGCACAATCTCGGCTCATTGCAACCTCCGCCTCCCAGGTTCAAGCGATTCTCCTGCCTCAGCCTCCTGAGCAGCTGGGATCACAGGTGTCCACCACCACGCCTGGCTAATTTTTGTATTTTTAGTAGAGACAGGGTTTCACCATGTTGGTCGGGCTGGTCTCGAACTTCTGACTTCAGGTGACCCACTTGCCTCGGCCTCGCAAAATGTTGAGATTACAGGTGTGAGCCACCGCGCCCACCTAAACATCAAATTTTATTAATAGCAAATTATTATTTTAACAAAACTTTTCTCTAACCGAAAACTTTTGGTTTTATATTAATTAGTGTACTTTTTTTTTTTTTTGAGATGGAGTCTCAGCCTGTTGCCCAGGCTGGAGTACAATGGCACCATCTCAACTCACTGCAACCTCTGCCTCCCGGGTTCAAACGATTCTTCTGCCTCAGCCTCCCGAGTAGCTGGGATTACAGGTTCCCGCCACCACATTCAGCTAATTTTTGTATTTTCAGTATAGACAGGGTTTCACCATGTTGGCCAGGTTGGTCTCAAACTCCTGACCTTATGATCCGCCCGCCTAGGCCTCCTGAGTGCTGGGATTACAGGCGTGAGCCACTGCACCTGGACCAATTAGTGTACTTTTAATATCAAAGTTCAATCTTTAGAAAGACTGCTATAAGCAATTTCCTTTTAGTAATAGCCAGCTTAAACATATACAAAATTCCTTTCATACTTAAAAAAAAATTTTTTTTTGAGACAGGGTCTTTCTCTGTGTCCCAGGCTGGAGTGCAGTGGTGCCATCTCAGCTCACTGCAGCCTCTGCCTCCCGGGTTCACGCCATTCTCCTGCCTCAGACTCCCGAGTAGCTGGGATTAAAAGCATGCACAACCACACCAGGCTAATTTTTGTAATTTAGTAGAGATAGAGTTTCACCACGTTGCCCAGGCTGGTCTTGAACTCCTGGGCTCAAGTAATCTGCCTACCTTGGCCTCTCAAAGTGCTAGGATTACAGGTGTACGTTTTTTTTATGAACCTTATCACAACTTATACAGACTGTTTACAACATGCTGCGACTTAATGGTTTGTCCTGTGCTCTCTCTTTCTTAAATAACCAGTCATTTTACTTTAGGACAAAAATTTAGCACACAAGATTCCTTTTCATAGAAAAGTTACAGAAATCAGTCTCTTGTCCAATCAAAGTGGTCATTAGGGCTGGTGGCCGAGGGGAGCGAGTCATGAGCCAGCGTCTGGCGGCAGGTGAGATGCAGCTGTGTGAATGTGGCTTCCCTAGAGGCTGGTGCTTGTTTAGCTGCTAGAGAAAAAGAAAACCTCAGCAGGGCACGGTGGTTCATGCCTGTAATCCCAGCACTTTGGGAGGCCGAGGCTGGCAGAATACGAGGTCAGATCAAGACCAGCCTGACCAACATGGTGAAACCCTGTCTACTAAAAATACAAAAATTAGCCGGGTGTGGTGGTGCATGCCTGTAATCCCAGCTACTCAGGAGGCTGAGGCAGGAGAATGGCATGAATCTGGGAGGCGGAGGATGCAGTGAGCCGGGATGGCCCCACTGCACTCCAGCCTGGGCAACGGAGTGAGACTCCACCTCAGAAAAAAAAAAAAAAAGAAAACCTCATGGCAGGCAGGACATAAGTCAGTGCAGCGTGTGTGACTTCACCCTGCCTGGTGCAGCCTCAGGTCCTGTTGATAATTTGGCATCTTACTGCTGTATTCAGCCCTGCCAATTTTTTTTTTTTTTTTGAGACAGAGTCTCACTCTGTCTCCCAGGCTGGAGTGCAGTGGTGCGATCTCGGCTCACTGAAACCTCCGCCTCCCAGGTTCAAGCGATTCTCCTGCCTCAGCCTCCCGAGTAGCTGGGATTATAGGCGCCCGCCACCACGGCCAGCTAATTTTTTTATTTTTAGTAAAGATGGGGTTTCATCACGTTGGCCAGGCTGGTCTTGAACTCCTGACCTCAAGTGATCCACCCACCTCATCCTCCCAAAGTGCTGGGATTACAGGCGTGAACCACCACGCCTGGCCCAATCCTGCCAATCTTATGGTCTCTATTTCAACATTCACTCTGGGCATTTGTGTCTAAACCACAAAAGGGAGGGGCTCTAACGAGCTGTATATGTCCTCCTGTCCCGTCCTAGCTGGGAACTCAGGTGTTAAGGTTTCTCTGGGGTCTCCTTGGCTAACAGGCGTCCTTTTAGTTGACTGGGAGCTTAGAATTTTATTTTTAGTTCTCAAAGCTAATCTGAAAAGGCCGCATGCTGTATGATTCCAACTATACAACATTCCGGGAGAGGCAATCTACCCAGACAGTAAGAATCCTCAGTGGTTGCCAGGGAAGGGAGGGGTGAATAGTGGAGCTCGGGGGAATTTCGGGGCAGGGAAGCCTCTCCTGACACCATCATGGTGGATACCTGACCTCATGCACTTGCCAGGACTCCCGGAACGCAAGACGCCAAGACTGGCCCCCAATTCGAGCTGTGGACCCTGCGTGATGGGGCCAGGTCAGTGCAGATTCGTCGCACAGCAAGGACCCAGCACCAAGGCAAAGGCGCTAACAATAGGGGTGCAGAGTGTGTGTGAGGGGCGAGGCGAGGGGCACATGGGGGCTCCGTCTACTTTCCACTCAGCTTTTCCATAAACCCCAAACTGCTTTAGATAGTAGAGCCTATTAATTTTTAAAAAAGTGTAGCTATAAAAATTCCAAGAAAAGAGAAGGAAGAAAGTGGATGACAATCAGTATAATCTTGAGGGCATCCACGTGGCCAATGGACTTGTGAAAACGTGATCGGCTGCAGGCCCGCCTTGGCTGAGGGACCCCCTGCCGCACCGGCCATTCCCCCCACAAGCCCAGACTTCCTGGAAGAGCTGGGGTCCTGCGTGCCACCTGCTCCGCCTCCTTCGGCCTGCAATGGTTCATTCTGTGTCAGCTTGGCCAGGCCGCAGGACTCTGATGTTGGTCAAACAGCAGTCCAGAAGTTTCAGTGAAGGTATTTTTCGAAGATAAAATTACCGCTGAGATCAGTAGACTTTGAATCAGCAGGTCAGCCTCCGCGACACAGGAGTCTCATCCAGTCTATGAAGGCCGGAGAGAAAGGAGAGAAAGGAGGATGGAATCCTGCCTGCAGGCATCTTTGGATTTGAGTGGCTACTTCGGCTCCTCCTGCGTCCCCAGCCTGCCTGCCTGCCGTAGTCATGTGAGCCAATTTCTCCAAGTAAGTTTCTCTCTCTCTGTCTCCACATTCTATTGGTTCTTTTTTTTTTTTTCTTTTTTTGAGACGGAGTTTTGTTCTTGTTGTTTAGGCTGGAGTGCAATGGCGCGATCTCGGCTCACTGCAACTTCCATCTCCTGGGTTCAAGCAATTCTCCTGCCTCAACCTCCCAAGTACCTGAGATTACAGGCATGCGCCACCACCCACGGCTAATTTTGTATTTTTAGTATAGATGGGGTTTCTCCATGTTGGTCAGGCTGGTCTCGAACTCCTGACCTCAAGTGATCTGCTTGTCCTGACCTCCCAAAGTGCTGGGATTACAGGCATGAGCCACCACTCCCGGCCTATTGGTTCTATTTCTCTAGAGAACTCTCACTACTACAGCTACACCTCCCTGGGCCTCAGTTTCCCCTTCTGTCCATCAGCGAGGCCGAAGGCTGCCATGGGCTGAGGTCTCACACCCGGCGCTCCTGCCCCTGCCCCTGATTCCGGGGCAGCCTGCATAGGCCAGGCAGTGGTCGAGGCCCACTTTCCCCGCCCAGCAACTGTGGTTCAGCGGTTCAGCGGCTGACCTCCCAGCCCAGAAACAGAAACTCTTTTTCTCTTGCAAAACAGAAAGTGTCCCCATTAAACACTCACTTCCCGCTGGCTCCCCCGACCCCGGGCCCCACCGTCTGCTTTTTCTGCCTATGAACCGGCCCACTCTGGGGACCTCGTGTGTGGGGAGTCACACAGTGTTTGTCCTTTTGTGGCTTGTGCCCCTCGGTGTGACGTCCTCGAGGTTCCTCCACGCTGCGGCGGGTGTGGGAGCCCTTCCTTCCTGAGGTGACTCCCTCTGTGCGGAATCACCGTGCTGTCCGTTCCTTCCTCCGGCGGTGGACACGGAGCTGCTGCTTCCACATGGCCGCTGATTGTGAATTGCGCTGCTGGGAATGGGGTGCACTGACTTCCATCTTTTTAAGGCTGAATACTCCTCCATGTATGTAATAACTTGGTTTTGCAGGTTGAATTGAGATAAAAACTGAAGACCCCAAACCAATCTTGGATTCTGTGGCTAAGCAGTTGGGGACGACGGTGCCCCCGTGCCCGGGGCAGGCATCCTGCGCTCTCACAGCCCTGGCCAGTGGCACCGGCAGTGCCCCTCCGGCCACACCCCGGCCAGGTTTTCTAAGGCTGGACAAACACAGGGGCCCCCACTGGTGGGTGCGGCAGACTGACTGGGGTCAGAGGTATGGGGAGAACACGCGGAGATCCACCCAAGAAGGGGAGCGATTGTGCCACAGTCGAGGGGGCCACGGCGATGGTGTGGTCACACGGCCTCGGTCACCCTCCAGAGGACCCTCCACATCCTGAACTCTCCAGAATCTCAGGAGCCTCACCCAGACTCAGAGCGAGGTTTGTCCACACTGGAGCCCTGACGCACGAGGGTAGAGACCACCAGGACTCACACCGCAGCCCCCCATGCGGCCCCACCAGCCCCCAGGGCCTTGGCGCTGCACCCAGATCGCCAGCCCGGTCTCCTGTAGCCCGAGGGTGGGTTCCCTTTCAGAGGCCCCCCGCTCACCTTCGCTCCTGCTGGGAGCCCTGGGCGGACTCCCCCCCACCCCGCCCAATTCCAAGGACCCCGGGCTCCATCCACGAGGCCCACAGGACCCGCGGTCCCCCGTGCAGAGTAAGGCGTCCAACGCCCACGCACTCCGCAGACCCGGCCGGTGGGTGTGGGCGGGGCTGGGGTGGGGCGCAGGGGTGGGGGCGGCGCTGCAGGGTCGGGGGCGCGGGGGCGCGGGGGCGCGGGGGCGCGGGCGTGGGTGGAGCTGGCCGGGCTCAGGGGCCTGGGACACGGGGCGGGGCCGCGCCTCTCTCGCTCCGGGTCCCACGCGCCCCGGCCTCCTCCCGGCACTGTCCCCCGGGGAGCCCCGAGGCCCGGCCACACCCAGGGCGCTCCTGAAGCCGCCGCAGCTGCTGTGCGAGGCCGGGCCGACCCGCCTGGGGCGCGTGGGTGGGGCGGGAGCGCAGCCGCAGCCCGGCGGCGACACAGGCCCGGGGCCAGCCGGGGACGGAAAAAGTGAGTGCGCGGCGGCGCGGGGCGGCCTGACGGGAAGGCGGGAGGCGAAGTGCTGACTGCGCCGCGGTCTCTCAGCCGCCAACACACCGCGGACGCCCGGGGACAGCGACCGCTTCCTCCCTCCCCGCCCGCCTTGTCTCTTTTTGTGAGTATCGATCTGAGCTCATGTTCTTTTTAACGTACTCAAAGTGTGTCAATCAATTAGGCTTTTTTTTTTTTTTTTTTTGACAGGGTCTTGCTCTGTCGCCCAGGCTGGAGTCAGTGGCACCATCGTGGCTCACTGCGGCCTCCACCTCCGGGACTCCAGGGATCCTCCCGCCTCAGCCTCCCGAGGAGCTGGGACCACCGCACCTGGCTAATTTTAAAATTTTTCCTTAGAGACAGGATCTCACTTTGCTGCCCAGGCTGGTCTCAAACTCCTGGGCTCAAGCGACCCTCCCGCCTCGGCCTCCCAAAGTGCCACCGTGCCAAGCCTCAGTTAGGTTTTTAATTTTAATTTGGCATTGTTTGATGCTCAGACTGCTGCCGTGTCATTTTCACACGACAGCAAGTTGGGGACAGCGAGTTGTTCTGTCCTGCGCGTGTGTCCCCTCATGGTCTTGAGTGACCTGACCCTCTGTGGGGAGCCCTGAGCCTCCTCCCTGCTCCCGCGGCCCCAGCTCTCAGCTGATGGAGGCTCCGGGGCGGGCTCAAGCCCCCGGCCGGCTTTGGACGGCTTTGCCGTTGCCGAGCCAGCGCCGTGAGCTCGTGGGCTCTGCGTCTGCACATGTTTGCCGGTGACCTCTGGGAAGTGTTTCGACGAGGATGGGGGTTGAGGGGGCAAAGGGCAAGTGCCCACCGCCTACCAGACAGCACCGGTGCGTCTCCAGCTCGGCTTCCCCGCCAGCCCCTCAGGCCTGCTCCCTGCTGCCTCGCCAACAGCCGCACCGTTGTCAGAGCTCTGTCAGCCTGGTGGATGTAGTTTCAACTTGTATTTTTGTTGAGAGAACCTGAACAACCTTTCATTGTTTAAGGGATATGGGTATGCACGCAGGCACTGCCGTATATACATATATTGTAGATACACACGTCCGCACACCTGTACACACACACCCACACACATACCCCTGTGTATGTACATACACACATTTGTATGCACACATATGTCTACACACGTGTAGACACGTGCACACACAGGCTCACGCACACACATTTTCTCTGAGCTGTTGGGTTATGTCTCCTGCACTTTCTCGTGTATTTTTGACCTTGCTTTTTCCAGACTCTTAGATCTTCCTACGACTGGCATATTCGCTCTTTTGTGGTGGTGCAAACATTTTCCCTCAGTTTGTTTATGATTTTTTTTGCCAAGCTAAAGTTTTTTGTTTTCCAATATATGGAGTTCAGTGTATCAGTCTTCTCTTTAATTGTTGCCTGATGTCCTTTATTCATTGGGAATGCCTTCCCCTCCCACACTGCAAGAATGCACCCACGGTTTCTTGTTTCTTGTAGGGTTCCTTTTTTTTTCTTTTTTGAGACGGAGTCTTGCTGTGTCGCCCAGGCTGGAGTGCAGTGGCATGATCTCGGCTCACTGCAAGCTCCGCCTCCCGGGTTCACGCCATTCTCCTGCCTCAGCCTCCCGAGTAGCTGGGACCACAGGTGCCCGCCACCATGCCCGGCTAATTTTTTGTGTTTTTAGTAGAGACAGGGTTTCACCGTGTTAGCCAGGATGGTCTCAATCTCCTGACCTTGTGATCCACCCGCCTCGACCTCCCAAAGTGCTGGGATCACAGGCGTGAGCCACCACGCGCGGCCAGGGTTCTTTTTGTATGCTTTTCTCTCTGCTGCATTTGGGATTTTGTGCATATGAGTCTAACTTAATACTTTTCCAGATGGCTATCCCTATCCCTGGGCAGTTGGTTAAAAAGTCGTTTTTCCCCTCACTGATTTGGGTCGCAGGGACTGGGCCTGTTCCTGTGTCTTCTGGTGCTTATCCCACCCTGTTTTCATTACAGTAAGTTTCCCCTGAGCTCATAAAGCTGGTCCTCTTTCACTTTCTTTTCATGGTTTTTTTGGCTGTTACTTGCTTGTTAATTTTTCCATATGAGCATGGTAGTTCCAGAACTGTGGTTTTTACTGGGATCGTATTAAATTTACAAATTGTATCGGAAGAACGTGCATGTTTGCAGCTGTGGCGCCTCTTCGGGGCCCGGGGGTCAGGGTGCCTTTGATTGAGTTCAGCCTCTGCGGCAGCTTTCCCACGTTTCTGGCTAGGTTTATGCCGGGAGCATCTTCTCTCTTGCTGTCCTAGATGAAACATCGCCCGCCACTCCGTCTCCTAGCGCACTGTGCTGTGAATGGGGTGAATGGGTGTATGAGAGCCGTGAATTTTGGACGCTGGCGCGCTGCGCTGTGAATGGGTGTTTGAGAGCCTTGAGTTCTGGATGCTAGCGCGCTGCGCTGTCAATGGATGAATGAGAGCCGTGAGTTCTGGATGCTGGCGCGCTGCGCTGTGAATGGGTGTTTGAGAGCCTTGAGTTCTGGATGCTGGCGCGCTGCGCTGTCAGTGGATGAATGAGAGACGTGAGTTCTGGATGCTAGCGCCCTGCGCTGTCAATGGATGAATGAGAGCCGTGAGTTCTGGATGCTGGCGCGCTGCGCTGTGAATGGGTGTTTGAGAGCCTTGAGTTCTGGATGCTGGCGCGCTGCGCTGTCAATGGATGAATGAGAGCCTTGAGTTCTGGATGCTGGCGCGCTGCGCTGTCAGTGGATGAATGAGAGACGTGAGTTCTGGATGCTGGCGCGCTGCGCTGTGAATGGGTGTATGAGAGCCTTGAGTTCTGGATGCTGGCGCGCTGCGCTGTGAATGGGTGTTTGAGAGCCTTGAGTTCTGGATGCTGGCGCGCTGCGCTGACAATGGATGAATGAGAGCCTTGAGTTCTGGATGCTGGCGCGCCGCGCTGTCAGTGGATGAATGAGAGACGTGAGTTCTGGACGCTGGTGCGCAGCGCTGTCAATGGATGAATGAAAGCCTTGAGTTCTGGATGCTGGCGCGCTGCGCTGTGAATGGGTGTTTGAGAGCCTTGAGTTCTGGATGCTGGCGTGCTGCGCTGTCAGTGGATGAATGAGAGACGTGAGTTCTGGACGCTGGCGCGCTGCGCTGTCAATGGATGAATGAGAGCCTTGAGTTCTGGATGCTGGCGCGCTGCGCTGTGAATGGGTGTTTGAGAGCCTTGAGTTCTGGATGCTGGCGTGCTGCGCTGTCAGTGGATGAATGAGAGACGTGAGTTCTGGACGCTGGCGCGCTGCGCTGTCAATGGATGAATGAAAGCCTTGAGTTCTGGATGCTGGCGCGCTGCGCTGTGAATGGGTGTATGAGAGCCTTGAGTTCTGGATGCTGGTGCGCTGCGCTGTCAATGGATGAATGAGAGCCGTGAGTTCTGGATGCTGGCGCGCTGCGCTGTGAATGGGTGTTTGAGAGCCTTGAGTTCTGGATGCTGGCGCGCTGCGCTGTCAGTGGATGAATGAGAGACGTGAGTTCTGGATGCTAGCGCGCTGCGCTGTCAATGGATGAATGAGAGCCGTGAGTTCTGGATGCTGGCGCGCTGCGCTGTGAATGGGTGTTTGAGAGCCTTGAGTTCTGGATGCTGGCGCGCTGCGCTGTCAATGGATGAATGAGAGCCTTGAGTTCTGGATGCTGGCGCGCTGCGCTGTCAGTGGATGAATGAGAGACGTGAGTTCTGGATGCTGGCGCGCTGCGCTGTGAATGGGTGTATGAGAGCCTTGAGTTCTGGATGCTGGCGCGCTGCGCTGTGAATGGGTGTTTGAGAGCCTTGAGTTCTGGATGCTGGCGCGCTGCGCTGACAATGGATGAATGAGAGCCTTGAGTTCTGGATGCTGGCGCGCTGCGCTGTGAATGGGTGTTTGAGAGCCTTGAGTTCTGGATGCTGGCGCGCTGCGCTGTGAATGGGTGTTTGAGAGCCTTGAGTTCTGGATGCTGGCGCGCTGCGCTGTCAATGGATGAATGAAAGCCTTGAGTTCTGGATGCTGGCGCGCTGCGCTGTGAATGGGTGTTTGAGAGCCTTGAGTTCTGGATGCTGGCGCGCCGCGCTGTCAGTGGATGAATGAGAGACGTGAGTTCTGGACGCTGGCGCGCTGCGCTGTCAATGGATGAATGAGAGCCTTGAGTTCTGGATGCTGGCGCGCTGCGCTGTGAATGGGTGTTTGAGAGCCTTGAGTTCTGGATGCTGGCGCGCTGCGCTGTCAGTGGATGAATGAGAGACGTGAGTTCTGGATGCTGGCGCGCTGCGCTGTCAATGGATGAATGAAAGCCTTGAGTTCTGGATGCTGGCGCGCTGCGCTGTGAATGGGTGTATGAGAGCCTTGAGTTCTGGATGCTGGTGCGCTGCGCTGTCAATGGATGAATGAGAGCCGTGAGTTCTGGATGCTGGCGCGCTGTGCTGTGAATGGGTGTTTGAGAGCCTTGAGTTCTGGATGCTGGCGCGCTGCGCTGTCAGTGGATGAATGAGAGCCGTGAGTTCTGGATGCTGGCGCGCTGCGCTGTGAATGGGTGTTTGAGAGCCTTGAGTTCTGGATGCTGGCGCGCTGCGCTGTCAATGGATGAATGAGAGCCGTGAATTCTGGACGCTGGCGCGCTGCGCTGTGAGTGGGTGTTTGAGAGCTGTGAGTTCTGGACGCTGATCTCACAGGCAGCACTCTATGGCTTTCTCATTGCCTGTGGTCATTTTCCATGGGACCTATCGGGTTTTGCGGATGGAAACCCACATCATGTGCAGAGCCCCCGGGCAGCGTTCCCTGCCAGGCCTGATCTGCCGGATCTCACCGGGAGTTCCCAGAGCTGCGAGGTCTCTGTGCCTGTCCCTGACACAGGCATGGGGTCCAGGACTGGGCTCCAGGATGGCAAGCAGAGAATGAGCCCCGGGGTGTCAGTGGGTGTTTGGCTGCGGTGCCCGAGGGCCTGGCAGGGCTCCTTTCCCTGCACCGTCCCTGCTGCTAGCTGCCAAGGACCGCAGCAGGGTGATAGGGCTCCAGCAGACGTGACCCCGCCTCCCCCGCTGCCCCCACCCTGTGTACTTAGGGAGGGACCCGCAGATGCTGTGTCCCTCATAGCCCAGGGCAGCCCTCCCACCCCGCTGTGGACGCCCTGGCACCAGGTACCACCCCTGCCCGGAGGGACTGGTAGGCATGGGGACACGGGGGCTATGGAGCAGGCACAGTCACTCAGGGACACCCATGCCTGGCCAGGAAGCCTGGGGCCAGGGGGCCGTGGGACCCCCCTAAAAGGCCTGGGCTTGGGGAAGATGGTGTCCCCAGCCCCGTGATGTTGGAGGAATTTTTCACCGGAGGGCTCTACATGTGAGTGGGGCAAACAGGGCGAGGAGGGCCTGTGTGTTTCTGGGACAGCGAGGGGAAGGCCTGACTCAGGCCAGGATCCAGGGGAGCCACCAGCACCCTCCACACACAGCCTCAGCCTGGCTGCCGCCTTGTCCCTCCCTGGAGGCCTCCCTCCCTCCTGCCCACTGCCCCCACAGCCACCAGACAGGACAGAACTCCTTAGCATGCTCTCATATTTAATTATAATTATAATATAATAGAACCACAGGGAAGGGGGATCCCTTGTCCCAGCCACTCAGGTGCCTGCTGGCCGCCTGGATGCTGGTGGCCCTGCCCCAGGAGTGGGGGTGCAGTGTGTGGATGTGAGGAGTGGATAGGCCACGGCGGGGGTACTAGGCCCCGGGGGAACGCCTGTACCTTCCCACCCAGGCCCTGGTGGGAGCCCGGCCAACCCCTTTAAATAATTTCAGGAATGGGTTCCAAGGAGAGCTCCCAGGGTGGGCACATGGGGGGCCCTAGGTGCCTGCACTTCTGCCCTCCCAACACCCAGGTGGCCACAGCTGGGAGGGGCCTGAGTCAACCCCAGCCCTGCCCTCCTGACCTTGGGACCGTAGGATGTCCCTCTCCCGAGTGGTGTGAGGGGCTGGGGTGGAATGCGGCGGCAGGAGGCCAGAGTGCTGGCTGGGCCTGAAAGGCCTCCAGCTCTGCCTGCCCGCTTACTGCCTCAGCTTCCCTGCCCCACAAAGGGCCTGAGGTGCTGCCTGGGCATGTGTAAAGGTGGAGGGGTTTCCTGCCCTGCCCACCACAGCCAGGAGCTCTTCTGACCTTCCCTGAAACTTCTCTAGGCCTGCAGGGAGCAGATAACTCCTGGGGAGTCCCCAGCCCCATGTACCTCCCACTCCTGTGCCCAGTCTTGGGCCCTGCGTCCAGGGCGTTTCGGGATGCCACTGCCAGGGGCACCTTGGCTGCTCCAAGGCCATCTCCAACCAGCCCCCAAGTTCAGGCAGGAGGCTCCGGGGCGTCAGGCAGGGCCACGGCGCCTTCAGCCCCGGGCCGCAGGCAGCAGCAGCAGCAGCAGCAGCAGCAGCAGAGATTCAGGGAGCTGGACGCAGGCAGCTCTGTGCTGGCAGGACCTGAAGCAGTGACTGCATCTGGCCCTCCCTGTAGGGGACGGTGACACCTGCTGCCTGGGCTCACTGTGGGCATTGAGACATGAGTCCTGTGGTGGGGCTGTGCCTGGTGCAGGTGCAGGCTGGAGCCCCGGTCGCCCCCAGGCAGCTCAGCCCCTGGACGGCCTGCAATGGCCTGCACCCTGCCTGCTTCTCCTGAGGAAATGCGCTGACCCGGGCTCATGGTGGAGGGTCTGCAGAACACTGGTGGCCAAGGAAGCCGGTCAGAGGGGCCAAGAGCAGTGTCCATCCTCAGGCCTCAGTGGCTGGGCACTCCGAGGGCCGTCAGCTGAGCCCCTGCGGGCGGGGGATGAGGTGCCCATTCCGCTAGGAAAGACAATGGTGGCATACTCCGTCTGCTCAGGGACACAGGGCACGGGGGGCTCCGGGGTCTTCTCTCGCCACTGGAAATCCAGCTCCCCATAGTCCACAGAGAACACAGGCACGGCTGAGGGGTCCTCCTTCTTTGAGGAGAAAGGGAGAGGGAGTCAGCCCCACGGCCCACCGCAGGAAGGAGGCCCGCGGCTCCACAGCCTGGCTGCAGTACCGGCACCGAACCTGGGCCCCCCACTATGAGCTGCTTACCCTGAGCTGTCCCACCACTGCCCTCTGTGTGATCTGGGGACACCACCCCTCCTCTCTGGCTCAATGTCCCCCTCTGAAATGTCCCTGGCATTCTTGCAGATTTAGGATTCCAAAATGTGACTTTTCAAGCTCTCCTGTCTCCAATGTAAGATAAGAAATGACCAAGCCCACCCCACGCCCTCGCAGGTGGGCACACGCATGGGCCGGGCACACCTGGAGACCGCAGGCAGGCACATATGTGGGCCGGGCACCCCCAGAGACCGCAGGCGGGCACACGCGTGGGCCAGGCACCCCTGGAGACCGCAGGCAGGCACACACATGGGCCGGGCACCCCCGGAGACCGCAGGTGGGCTGGGGCCCCAGATCATGGCTTTAGGGATTGAGGTTGCTGCCTGGGGGCTGGGGAGGTGGGGTCCTGGCTATAATAGAATGTGAGTCCTGCAGGCCGTGTGGTCCCAGCCTGTCCTTCCACCTCTGCCCACCCAGGAAGGAAGGCACAGTGGATCATGCAGGAAAAGAGTGAGACTCACCAGGGGCTGGCCGGTGCGCCTGGCTCCTATTGTCCCTGCAGAGAAACACACTTGGGGTCACCAGGCCGACCCTGAGCCGTGCTCCTAGGTGGGGGGTCTTAGTCCAGGGGCCTTCATCAGGGACTTAGCCTGGCGGGGAGATGGGGGGAGGTGGGGTGGGGTGAGGGAAGGGTGGAGGAAGGGGAGGCGGGAGTGAGGGCCGCCAGCAGGGTTAGGGCAGGGCAGGCCGAGGGGCTGGGATGACGTTACCTCGTGCGGCCCGGGAGCAGATGACGGCCAGGACCCAGACTAGCAGCACCAGGCTGCCCAGCAGGCCGCCCACGACACCAACCACCAGGGTTTGGAACTGGCCGGCTGGCCTGGGTGAGGGGCTGGGGTGGGCTGTGGGCACTTCTGCCCTTCTCTCTGGAAGGGCACAAAGGTCAGGGGTTAGGACGGGGTCAGGGTGGAGGGTCAGGGTCAGGGGTGAGGGCAGACTAGAGGGGCTGGGGTGCTTCCAGAGCTAGAGGACAGAGATGCCGGTCACCATTCCCCAGGTGCAGGACAGAGCCCTGGACTGGAGCTGGGGGGTCCCTGCCCTACGACCCTGGAGCTCCTGATCCTGTGCAGGAGGGGACACCCACCCCAGGACCGGCTCAGCTCACCCCTGCCCCGGGGCCTCCGAGGCCGCACCTGTCACCCTGAGCTCTGCCCGCAGGCTCTCTTTGATCTGCGCCTTGGGGGCCAGGGAGATGGCCCCACAGAGGTAGGTGCCGCTGTCATTGCGCCGGGCCCTGACCACGCTCATGTGGAAGTCACGCCCGTTGGGCAGTTGTGTGACACGGAAGCGGCAGTCCTGGCCGGGCTGGCTGCGGTCCTCGGGGAAGGCGGCCAGCTTGTCCGTCTGGTTGCTGGGGCTCATGCGGTACCAGTTTAGCACGAAGCTCTCCGATGTGTTGGAGAAGCTGCAGGTGAAGGTGGCGTTGTCCCCTTCGGTCACCACGAGCAGGGCTGGGGAGAAGGTGGGGGGGTTCCAGGGCCTGTCTGGGGAGTCTGAGAGATGGAGAGAGGTGAGGAAGGGGCTGGGTGGCCCCACAAAGCCTCCCCGGCCACCTGCTCACATCCCTCGGGCAGCAAGGGCTCTGGAAGGGCCACCCCAGCTGGAATGTCATTGAGAAGTCTCTGCTGGGGCCTCTGCCACCCGGGGATGGGCACTGGCCTCCACTGCAGAGCCTCTTCCTTCTACGTGAGGCTGCAGCTTCTGCACAGCACCTGGCTCTGACTTGGGTCTCCCTGATTTCCTACTAAGAGCCTTCACCCCCTTCCCCGTTGAGGCCAGTTCCCCCAGAAAGGGCTGTTTGGGGGCTACCCATCCCCAGCCCCTGACCCTTGGGCATCCTGGCCTGGTCCTGTCTGCACTGCTCTGGCACAGGGGAGTGTAACTGGTCTGGGTGGGTGGGGGGCTGCCCATGGAGACCCCAGCCCTGGGAGGAGTGTGGCCCCTTGGCAGGCTCAGGGTCCAGTCTTTGCCCCCTTTTCAGGACAAGCTCGGAGCTGGGACCACGTGGTATGGGCATTGCTGCCCTGGGCAGTGGGCAGTGGGGCCTCCACATTTTCCAGCAAGACAGTGGGGACTAGAGCTCACAGCAAAGATGCTTCAGAGACGAGATGGGCCATTGACTCGGATGTGGACAGACACGGGGCCCCCGACCCTGGGCTCCCAAGACAAGGACCTCCTGAAACATATGCCTGCCAGGGTCAGGGCTTGGGATACCCGCATGGCAACGTGGGGGTCGCGGCTCTTCCGCCAGGCGGAGGCACCAACACAGGCGCTTAAGATCCAGGCCCGAGATGCCATGCAACGGGGTGATTTTCCCGGCTCACCCACAGGTCCCATGCCACAGGGTTCCCCAAACATGGCGCCAGCCCCACACTGTCAGACCCAGTGCACTGTCACTCAGTTCCGTCTCAGGCCTGGGCACGGCCCCCCAGCGAGGTGACACAGAGACCAGGCCCTGGTTGCCACAGCTGCGGTCCCTCTGCTTCCTGGGACAGGCGGCCTCCGTGGCAGGCGGTGGTGATGACTCAAGGAGCAACCAGCTCAGAGGAGGAGGGGGCTGCTGCCCTCGTGTCCCTGCAGCCAGGCTGGCCCACGGCGTGCTGGCTGGACACCAGAGGTGGGTGGGTCTGTCATGTGACCAGGACCAACTCCTAGTGCCAACCTCACTGGGCACCCTCCCAGGGGACGAGTGAGGGGTTTGAAGTGACCTTGAGGCCACCCAGGGTGTCCCTGTTCCCTCTGTGCCCATGGCCTCCCGGCTGACAAGCGCTCGCCTCCTTCACCTGCGTGCCTGTCCCCCAGCTTCCTGGTGGTGTTCCCAGAGGTGGCAGGGGCGAGGGCCAGCTACACAAGGGGCTGCTGAGGTGAGCCCCCTCTCTGAGACCGCCCTTGTCTGCCGGCCGGCCAGGGGAAGCTCCCTGCATAGGCGTGTGCGGCGTGGGCCCGGGGAATCTTCCAGCCACTCCAGAGTGGATTTTGACCAAGGAGGGCTGTGGGGTAGTGTGACTCTCAGGGCCAGCAGGCAGCCAGGCCAGGGCACTCAGAGACCTGCCTGAATGGAGGAAGATGGGCTTCTGGCATCAGGGCCAAGAGGGCTCCTGGGAGGCAGCCTGGGACAGGGTGGGCTGCAGCCCTTACTGGGCCTAGGCTGGGGCTGGGTGGACTCGGCACAGAGCAGGGGAAATGCCCTGCCCTCTGGGTTTCTGGGAATGCAGTGGGGACCCAGGGGCCCCACCACCGCAGGCAGCCCCTCGGGGTCTCCATCTCCCAGGCCAGGGCTGCCATGCAGCTGTCGGGACAGACAGGCAGGTGAGGAACAGAAGTCATCACGGGTACTGTGAGCAGGGACCCTGCATGGCTAGGAAGTGCTAAGGGACCCCCCAGCTGTAGGGCGAGGTGCTGGCGACAGGACAATGGCCGCTGTGTGTCCACACCGCAATGTCCCTGGGACCATCTGTGCATTGTTCTTGTAACTGGAAACTTAGCTGCTATTTATTTGCACACATTGGTGGAGGGACCTGCTCCTGACTTGATCTGTGCTGGCGCTGACAGGCTCAACCCTTTTCCTGTCTGGCTTGCACCAGCCCTCAGCCACTGGGCCTCAAGCCAGGACCCTGGGCTCCTGTTCCGCCCCCCCCAACCCCCCTATTTTGGAATCCACCCCGGGGAGCAGGTCCAGCTGGGCCCCTCGGCCTCCCCTGCCTCCACCAACTGGCTGGGTGGGGTGGGGGCTAGACCTCGGTGTCTGCAGTTCAAGCAGCCCCCTCTCCCACCTCCCCCAGCCAGTCTCAGAGACTGGCTCCCACCCAGTGTGGGGGTGCTGGGTGGCGACCCCCACGCAGGGCCTGCCTCACCCCAGTCCTCAGGCCACCTCCTCCAGGAAGGCTTCCTGGCCTCCCTTGGCTGGTAGTGTCTACTAGGAAGGTGAATATTCAGAAGTGACCACTGGCTGGTCCTGGATCAAGTTAGATTTGGGGTGTTTCTATGGGATTCCATTGTTTCCCCAGGTGCTCCCTCTCGGATCCACGTAGGATCGTGGGTTGATGAGAGAGGGCTGTGCCCTATGCAGGGTCAGGAGGGAGACAGAGCCCAT